>NC_000019.10:46331783-46634813 GCF_000001405.40 Homo sapiens | reverse complement strand
CGCGCCCTTCCACCCTCGCACCTGTTACCGGGGCCCGCCCTCTCGCCCCCACCTCGGGACCCAGACGTATCCTAACCTACCCCCACAGCCCCCACTCCCGCGCGTCTTTTAACCCCTTCCCCGCCGCAACCATGTCCAACAACATGGCCAAGATTGCCGAGGCCCGCAAGACGGTGGAACAGCTGAAGCTGGAGGTGAACATCGACCGCATGAAGGTGCTGGGTCGGGGTGGGGAATAGGGCGGGGGTTCTGGGCCTGCGGTCTGTCCGGGGCTGTGTCGGCCCGGCTCGGAGCCATAGTGCAAGGATGCCCCTGGGAACAGGGCTGGGCAAGGGGCGGGGCAGGGCAGGAGGAGGGGCCAGGACGAGGGGAGGGGCAGAACAGGGGAGGGGCCAGGACGAGGGGAGGGATGGGGCAGGGGAGGGGCCAGGACGAGGGGCGGGGTAGGACAGGGGAGGGGCCAGGACGAGGGGGCGGAGTAAGACAAGGGGAAAGGCCTGTATGGGGCGGGGCAAGGTGGGAGGAGGGGACAGGGCAAGAGGCGGGGCCTAAGTGGGCGGCTCCAAGGAGCCGGGCAGGGCGGTGACATCTCCACCCGGGTGCTCGCAGGTGTCGCAGGCAGCAGCGGAACTCCTGGCTTTCTGCGAGACGCATGCCAAAGATGACCCGCTGGTGACGCCAGTACCCGCCGCGGAGAACCCCTTCCGCGACAAGCGCCTCTTTTGTGTTCTGCTCTGAGCCCTCCGGACAGCTTACCCTCCCCTGCCAAAGTATGGATCCAATAAACTTGGTAACTGTGGTGGTGCCTGTGCTTTCAGGGAGACTGAGGCACGCACAGAGCTTGGGGCCACCGTAGGGGAAGCTGTGTCCGTTCTCATTCCTTCTGAGTGTGTGTGTTGGGGGTAGGGGTGGACGTGGAGGGAGTACGACTCCACCAAAGCTTCGGAGGAGATGAGTATTCGGTGCTCTCTCCTCCACGGTCGATCCTGAACTTAATGGTCCCGACAGCCCCAGAAGACAGCTAACTACTTGTATGATACCCAAGAGGAAACTGAGCCAAAGGAAGTCCTTTATTCAGAGTCACAAAGCTAGGCGGTAACAGAGCGCTGACGGGGGTACTCCAGTGCTCCCTGAACCCCTCCGCCATCCTCTCTCCTCTCCTCCCCACTGGCTTGGACATTCTTAGGGTCCCCAGTCCCCATCCCACACTTCTCACCCCCTTAACGACTCCTGTTTTCACACCTGGTTCCCCTCTACCGCAGGCCCACTTCTGTCCTAAAGCCCTGCACTTTTTCCCTGCTCACTTGTTCATTCACTCATTCATTCTTCCAAACACTCCCTGAGTACCTACTCTCTGACCAGCGCTGGGCAATGCTAGGGACATGGCTGTGACCAAGACAGCCTTGGCTCTGCCCTGCCCTGCCCTCTTGGGGCTCAGAGTCCAGTAGGAGAGAAAGACCTGTCCCCAGATGGTAAAAACCCAGAGTGCGCAGTGCTGGGTGGGGGAGCGCAGAGATAACTCCTGACTCAGCTTGGAGGTAAGGGAGGGCTTCCTGGAGGAGGTGACATCTGAGCTGGAACATGGTGGTAATAAAATTTGGGGACCCAGAAGAGAGAAACATGGCTAGAGGGAGGGAGAGGAAAGAAAATAATGAGTACATTCCTTCATTCTTCTTCTATTTTGTCATTTTTCTGGAGACAAAGGGATGACTGTGACAGCTCTGGTTCCTGCCCTCTGTTTTCCAATTCACATACTGCTGGCCTGCAGGACATACGTAGCTTGCAGATCTATCTATCTATCTATCTATCTATCTATCTATCTATCTATCTATCTATAGAGAGAGAGAGAGAGAAAGAGAGAGAGAGAGAGACGGAATCTCGCTCTGTCACCCAGGCTGGAGTGCAGCGGCAGGATCTTGGCTCACTGCAACCTCCGCCTCCCAGGTTCAAGGAATTCTCCTGCCTCAGCCCCCCAAGTAGCTGGGATTACAGGCATGCACCATCACGCCCAGCTAATTTTTGTATTTTTAGTAGAGGTGGGGTTTCACCATGTTGGCCAGGCTGGTCTTGAACTCCTGACCTCAAGTGATCCGCCTGCCTCGGCCTCCCAAGTGCTGGGATTACAAGCGTGACCCACCCGCCTGGCCGCAGTTATATTTTTATGGCTTTACATGATGTTTAAAGATGTTCTTGACTTGGCTGCCAATTGAAAAACACAGATATTTCACATCAAAGTCCATATTCCTCTGGAATTGCAAAGTCTTCTTTGAAATTGTAAGGTCTGGTGACGCATAGGCTGTGAGACGGTGCCTGGGCTTTCCAGCTCACCAAAGTCCCCACCATGCCCTATTGTCTTCTGGTCAAGGAAGCTGGGGACCAGTTGCCATTTAACCTGAAGCCTGTGTCGGGGGCTTCTTATGGAGGAATGAGAAATAAAATGGCTGGGCGTGGTGGGTCACGCCTATAAATCCAGCACTTTGAGAAGCCGAGGTGGGCAAATCACTTGAGGTCAGGAGTTCAAGATTAGCCTGGCCAACATGGTGAAACCCCGCCTCTACTAAGAAGACAAAAATTAGCTGGGCATGGTGGCATGAACGTGTAATCCCAGCTACTCAGGAGGCTGAGGTAGGAGAATCGCTTGAACCTGGGAGGTGGAGGTTGCAGTGAGACAAGACCACGCCACTGCACTCCAGCCTGGGCAATAGAGTGAGACTCTATTTCAAAAGAAAAAAAAGCAAAGAAAAGAAAAGAAAAATGAAATGTTCTGTGTCTCCATTGAAAATGGGGAGAATGCAGGCCAGGGAAGCTGTAGGTTTGGCCAATTATTTTACCTGGTTGGCCCAAGGGCTGGAGGATCACCCCCTCTCCTCTCCCTCATCTCTTCTTATCTTGTCTAATACTCAGGCTCCCCAGCTTGGGGCTGGTGGAGGCTGGACCCTGGGTCTGGCTGGAGGTGGCTTGCTGGGCCTCCCCTCCACAGGGGGAATGTGCACAAGTCTGCTCCATTATTCACATTGGATTAGGGTCCCCCGGGCCCCTACTCTGAGTTTCCTGTAGGATCCAGGCAGGAGCGTCTGTAATTACATCTCCCTCCTGCTTCCCACCTCTGAGCTGGCTTGGCTCCGGCCTGGTTGCATCATGTCTGTGGGAGCCCCGGGGGAGACGGGGGACAGGGAGTGAGCCAGAGATGAGCTAGGGTGTGGAGGAGGAGCGGGGAGAGAAGCTGGGCAGGAAGGAGCTAGAAGGATTCCAGAATTCACAGATCCTGCATCCTTACAGCTCAGAACCTGAAATGCAAAGGAATCTAGGATCCCAGGACCTCTGAGGGCTGGAATTCCAGCATCTTTCAATCCTATGGGGCCAAGATCCTGGGGTCCTGCACCCTAGGATTCCAGAGTTCAGCATCTCAGAAGAAGTGTAAGGAGTTCCTGAGCCTAGGCTCTTGGGAGCTAGATCCTTCGAGCCCTGGAATCTCAGAGCTGCGTAGTGCAAACCCTTCCTCCTTCACATTCCTGGTCCTGGGGGACAGAAACTATGGAGATGTAAGCAGCTGAATGGGACCTGGGTTGGGGGAAGGGAGGGCTGGTGGGAGTGGGACACAGAGGGGACCAGAAGGAGGTGTCTTTCTGGAGGGGGAGGATGGGGAACTGAGGCTACGGGAAAGGAGAAGTCAGAAGTCACAATCCAGGAGGGACAGGGCAGGTCCCTGCGTGCCCAGCCTCCATGAGAACAGATCCGAATAATCTTATTAAATTTACTGCCTTGTAGCAGCACCAGCTTCTGGTCACCAGCTGCTGCTTCCTGCCACCCCCAGGGGTGAAGTCAGCTCTGGGGCCAGGCCCATGCTGGGGGTCAGAGACAGGCCAAGAGGTAGAGGTGCATGCAGGGCGAGGTGCTTGTTCCTCCAGACCCCAAGGGCTCTCAGCTGCCCTGTTTCAGGCTGTCTTCCCTCTGCACCCACATCGCACGCTGCACCCCAACCCAGGCGCTCAGAGCAGCGCTTGGCTTGGCCGAAGGAGTACAGCGGGGGAGGGAAAGCCTAGAGCCAGCAGGAGCTGCAATCTTGGCCATCGCTTCCTAGGGGAACAGTTCAACAGTCCCATCTTGCTCAATGCTCACGATAGCCCTCAAGGTGACTCTGTTTATCCCCATTTTACAGACAAGGAAAACAGGCATGGGGCCGGGCGCAGTAGCTCATGCCTGTAATCCCAGCACTTTGGAAGGCCAAGGCAGGCGGATCATTTGAGGTCAGGAGTTCAAGACAGCCTGGCCAACATGGTGAAACCCCGTCTCTACTAAAAATACAAAAATTAGCTGAGCATGGTGGCGTGTACCTGTAATCCCAGCTACTCGGGAGGCTGAGGCACGAGAATCGCTTGAACCCAGGAGGCAGAGGTTGCAGTGAGCCGAGATCGCACCAGTGCACTCCAGCCTGAGGACAGAGCAAGACTCCATCTCAAAAAAAAAAAAAAAAAAAAAAAAAAGAGAGAGAGAGAGAGAGAAACAGGCATGGAGAGGTAACCAGCTGGGGTTTGAGACTGGAATGGGAGTGGGAGGATCTGATGGACGACCGCTCAGGAGAGGCTCAGGGGGTGACCAAGAGGCCTTGAAGGCTAGGAAATGAGGGGATCCCCAGGTGAGGGGCACGGCCCATTCAGAGGCAGGGTAGGCAGGAGACTGGGTTATGCCCCCTGGAGCAAGGTGAGGTGCAGCCACCAGAAGGTAGGCCAGGGCCCATTTGCGGTGGAGGGCAGTGAGTGGATAGAGAAAGGAGGCCTCTGGCTCTGGATGCTGGAACCAGCCAAGGCGAGACAGGTCTGGGACACACATAGCAGTTTCTCAAAGCAGTGAGAGGGCACAGCAGGCAGACGGGAGGCCTGGCAGGCACGAGCAGCTGGTGGTGCGTGTGTGCAGAACATGAGATAAGGCCCACTTCCTCCCAGGGCCAGAGCCAGGAGGACGGAAACCAGGGAGTCCGGAGAGGGTCAGGCCCAGGGCAAGCCAGGATCTTAGGTCTGCGGCACTTCCAGATGCAGGCCTGGGCTGGGCGTGATGGGTCAAGCCTGTAATCCCAGCACTTTGTGAGGCCAAGTTGGGCGGATCACTTGAGGTCATGAGTTCGAGACCAGCCTGGCCAACATGGCGAAATCCCGCCTCTACTAAAAATACAAAAATTAGTCAGGCATGGTGGCGGGCACCTGAAGTCCCAGCTACTCAGGAGGCTGAGGCAGGAGCATCGCTTGAGCTCGGGAGGTGGAGGTTGCAGTGAGCTGAGATCTCGCCACTGCACTCCAGCCTGGGCGACAGAGCGAGATTCCATCTCAGAACAACAACAACAAAAAAAAACAGATGCAGGCACCCCTGCTCAGGATCCCCACACTGGGTGGACAAACCTGTTTGAGAACACTCTTCCTGGGCTGTGCCCTCTGAGCCCCTCTGTGTCCCCAGCTCTTAGCACACAGTAAACTGCTGGTTACGGTTTGTTGAATGAATAATATCAACAGCTATTTGAGGGCTTCCTGGGAGGCAGGCAGGGGGAACTGTCTCTTATCTTCACATAACACCCCAACAAGGTCAAGGCAGCCATTTGACGAAGAACATCAAAGCTTTGCTAGGGGAAGTCATTTTCTCAGGTCACATGGTGACTGACTGGTGAGTGGTGGAGATGAACTTCAAAACCCATCCTCAGCCAGGCGCGGTGGCTCACGCCTGTAATCTCAGCACTTTGGGAGGCCAAGGCAGGCAGATCACTTGAGGTCAGGAGTTCAAGACCAGCTTGGCCAACATGGCGAAATCCCATCTCTACTAAAAATACAAAAATTAGCTGAGCATGGTGGCTCGCACCTGTAGTCCCAGCAACTTGGGAGACTGAGGCAGGAGAATCGCTTGAACCTGGGAGGCAGAGGTTACAGTGAGCGGAGATGGCACCACTGCACTCCAGCCTGGGCAACAGAGTGAGACTCCATCTCAAACAAACAAACAAACAAACAAACAAAAAAACCAAAAACCATTCTCGGCCAGGTGCCATGGTTCATGCCAGTAATCCCAGTGCGTTGGGAGGCCAAGGTGGGAGGATCACTTGAGCCCATGAATTTGAGACCAGCCTGGACAACATAGTGGGATCCTATCTCTACAAAACAATAAAAGTATTAGCTGGGCATGGTGGTGAGCACTTGTGGTCCCAGCTATCTGGGAGGCTGAGGTGGGAAGATTGCTTAAGCCTGGGAGGTAGAGGTTGCAGTGAGCTGAGATCGTGCCACTGCACTCCAGCCTGGGTGACAGAGTGAAACCCTGTCTCAAAAAAACTAGGTTGCGCACGGTGGCTCACACCTGTAATCCCAGAACTTTGGGAGGCTGAGGCCGGCGGATCACCTGAGATCAGGAGTTTGAGACCAGCCTGGCCAACATAGTGAAATCCCATCTGTACTAAAATACAAAAATTAGCTGGGCGTGGTGGCAGGTGCCTGTAATCCCAGCTACTCGGGAGGCTGAGGCAGGAGAATCACTTGAACCTGGGAGGTGGAGGTTGTGGTGAGCCGAGATGGCACCACTGCACTCCAGCCTGGGCAAAAGAGCAAGACTCCATCTCAAAAACAAAACAAAACTACAACATAGCTGTGTGCCCATGTGCACACAGAGTCCCACGAGCTCACAATACACATATACACACAATACACACGCAAACACAATCAATGCTGAGAAAAATGCTCACTTAGGTCACATGGGCCGCACTAACTCTACAGAGAGTCACAATCCGGTTACACACCCACAGTCCCCAGCACACTAGCCTCAATCTCTCTCCCCTCCCGGGTGCTGTGTGTGCGTCCCTAATCTCAGTGGTCTCTGAGCTGTCCTTCCTCTTTTTCCCTGCTGCTTCAGGGTCCCCCTCAGGGAGGCCTGGTCCTGTTCCTCGCCATGGGTGGAGAGAGTGTGAGATGGAGGCTACGGACCCACGCCCCCAGGGCAGTTCCTTCCATAGCTCCGCCCACCCTGGAAGCTGCCCCTGGCACAACGCACCGTGGGTGATTTCTCACCCCAAGGCACCTGGCTGGGGAGTGGAACCCCCGTGTGGACCCTGCTGTGGGCTTGGCCCGGCTAGCTGGGGCCACGGCCAAGCAGGAGGCTGGGTTTCAGGGCAAGGTGACTGAGGCATGTCTGGCGCCAGTACGGACTCTGGGGAACTCAGTCCCCTCATTAGGAGGGAGTCACAGTCACTGCCACCCCTACCTGCTCCTGATGCAGGAACACAGAACCGATCCTGGGGTTGCGAGGGCTCATGACTCCTAGTGGCATCGGCGGGGAAACTGAGGCCTGAGGCCAGGCGTGGTGGCCTATAATCCCAGCACTTTGGGAAGCCGAGGTAGGCAGATCACTTGAGTCCAGGAGTTTGAGACCAGCCTGGGTGACACAGTGAAACCCTGTCTTTACAAAAATACAAAAATTAGCTAGCGTGGCAGTGGGTGCCTGTAGTCCCAGCTACTCAGGAGGCTGAGGTGGGAGGATCGCTTGAACCCCAGAGGTAGAGGTTGCAGTGAACCGAGATTGCAGCACTACACTCCAGCCTGGGTGACAGAGCAAGACCCTGTCTCAAAAACAAACGAACAGCCAGGCAAGGTGGTTCACGCCTGTAATCCCAGCACTATGGGAGGCCGAGGCGGGCGGATCACCTGAGGTCAGGCGTTCAAGACCAGCCTGGCCAACATGGTGAAACCCCACCTCTACTAAAAATATAAAAATTGGGCGCAGTGGCACATGCCTGTAATCCCAGCTACTCGGGAGGCTGAGGCACGAGAGTCGCTTGAACCCGGGAGGCGGAGGTTGCAGTGAGCTGAGATCATGCCAGTGTACTCCAGCCTGGGTGACAGAGCAAGATTCCATCTCAAAACAAAAACAAACAAGCAAAAAGAAAAACAACAACAAAAAAGAAACTGAGGCCTGGAAGGGACAAGGGTTTGACTGTGGTCCCACTGGGCATGGGAGCAGAGGGGACTTCCTGAATGTTAACCGTCCTTGTAACAGGAAGCGAGAGAGGGAGTCTCCGGGAACCAGAGGCCCCCCCGATGCCGAAACAAGATGCACGCCTGCCAGGCATCATCCTTCATTAATATGATATAACTTCCTGAGTTCCCTCTGGTCTGTCTGGGGACCTCACGGCATGAGGCGGGACAACGTGGCAGGACCTGGAGCCCACATGTACAGGCACCCCCAGAGCAGGGCTGGGGGGTCCCTTAGGGAGCCACGGTGGGGCTGGAACTTGGGCGTCCATCCTGCTGGAAGCTGCGGGTGCCAGCTGGGCAAGGGTGATAGGGAGATGGGGGGGAGGGGCAAAGGGGTTGTGGTCACACACCGGGGTACAGAGGGCAAGACGGCAGCTGCCCACAGTCCAGTCCTTGGGTTGGACACATCCCTCCTGGCCTTGGACAAGAGACACCCGCACAGCCTCTCTCCTTGTTACAAAGACCAATCTGGGATGTGCTGCAGGCCGAGGCTGGCCACCAGGTCCCTGAGGCCCGTGTTACCCCACGCACAGAGAAGGAGGCTGAAGTCTACCAGCTCCCTCTCCTCACCTGGGACCATCTCGCAGCAAGAAAAAAGGTGGTCAGATGGAAACAGGAAGCCAAGTCGAATGGATCTGAGACCGTCCCCCTGAGAAACAGCGGGGCTCAGAGAGGGTCTCTGAGGTTTTATCTGGCCCTTTTGGGCTGGGAGGCTGCCTGGGAAGCCACCGACTCCGTGGGAAGGGAGACCCGTGAACGCTGTGCGGGTAGCGGGAACATGTGGGTCTGTCACACTGGCCCGAGGCTGCAGCGGTGGTGGCTTGGCTGTGTTTGGGGAGGGTGGGGGACACATGGCAGCAATGTTGGAGCTGTGGACAGCTTCCTGTGATCAAAATATGATTCCTGAAGGTCAAGGTCACCAGAGCTTGGCCTGGGGCCTAGGGGTGCTGTGCGAGAAGTCGGACGGTGGCCCAGTGCTACCTTTCCATCATGGGCCATGGAAGTCTCCCAAGCCTGTCCCTGACAACTGGACACCAAATACACCCCTTCATGCTTTCTTCTCGGGTCTCTGCAGGGTGAGCTGGGTGCCCAGGGACAGGCTCGAGGGACTGGCATGTCTCTCTCTGGCCAAGCCTCCTTCCTCAGCTTTCTGGAAGGAGTGAATTGTGTCCAGGGACCAGAACTCTCAGTGGTGTCTGGAAAACACTACATCAGAGAGGAATTTCCTGGTCATTTCTCAATCCCTGGGCAATGTCCTCAGCCCCGGGGCCTGGAGCCCAGAATAGATCCCAGAGGCCACCCTGAGACAGCCCAGGCCAAGACCACCCCACTGAAGCCTGGTCAACTGTGCTCTTCAGGTCCCTCCTAGAGGCCCCCTACTACCCCGGGAGGCTCCAAGCCTAAGTGATGGTGACTCAGGAATTCCCCACCCAGGCCAGAGAGGGAGACACTGGGGGAGGGAGGAGACCTGTGTGTGGGGAGGTGGCAGGTGGCTCAGTGATGGGAACCAAGAGAGGATGTGGGGAGGAGAGTGGAGGCAGCGATGGGAGATGGATGTCCTGGATTGGGCGGGTGGACGGGGAGTGGGGAGTGTGCCAGGGGGCCCTCTGGAGAACAGTGAGGGAGGGCGGGGCAGAGAGAGGAAATGAAAAAGCTGGGGTGAGCAGGCAAGCTGAGGAGGGTGGGAAGGAGGGAGGGACGGAGGGAGGAGGGAAGGAGAAGCTGACACACAGACCGACACAGGCAGCGAGAGACACGAGGAGCAAAGCAAGTGAAGGCACAGACGCACGGGACAGGAGAGCCTGGGCAAGACTGGAGAGGTGCGGTGAGGGGCTGGGGATGCAGCAACACAGAGCAGGAGCAGGTAGAGGGTGTGGGGTTAGAGGGAGAAAGGTACGGGGAGGACAAGGACAAGGGAGGGGACAGAGACAGGGAGATATCAGCAAGAGACCGAGAGACAGGGAGGGAAAGAACTGGCAATGCCCGGATGTTCTCTGTCTCTTTAATGGCAGAAACAGAGCTAGAGAAGGAAAGAAACAGGAGGTGGTGGGGGGGTGGTGGGTGTCAGGCATGGTGGCTCACACCTGTAATCTCAGCACTTTGGGAAGCCAAGGTGGATGGATCACCTGAGGTCAGGAGTTCGAGACCAGCCTGACCAACATGGTGGAACCCCGTCTCTACTGAAAATACAAAAATTAGCTGGGCGTGGTAGTGGACGCCTGTAATCTCATCTACTCCAGAGGCTGGGGCAGGAGAATCGCTTGAACCCAGGAGGTGGAGGTTGCAGTGAGCCGAGATCATGCCATTGCTCTCCATCCTGGACAACAGAGTGAGACTCTGTCTCAAAAGAAACGAAAGAAAAGAAAGAGAGAAAGAGAAACAGGAAGGTGGGGAGAGACAGAGAGAGATACTGGAGAAGCCAGAGGGGAGAGGACTGCATACCCGCACACACAGGAGAACTGGGGGTTGGCTGGGAGGCCCCAGCTGCCAAAAGGACTGGCCAGCAGGGACATCTGAGTGGGCTGGGTGGTGGGGGTAGCCCTGGCTCCCTCTGACCCCCCACCTTGGGAACCCTCCAGCCCAGACCTGGGATGGCGGATTCGTGCAGGAACCTCACCTACGTGCGGGGCTCGGTGGGGCCGGCCACCAGCACCCTGATGTTCGTGGCCGGTGTGGTGGGCAACGGGCTGGCCCTGGGCATCCTGAGCGCACGGCGACCGGCGCGCCCCTCGGCCTTCGCGGTGCTGGTGACCGGACTGGCGGCCACCGACCTGCTGGGCACCAGCTTCCTGAGCCCGGCCGTGTTCGTGGCCTATGCGCGCAACAGCTCCCTGCTGGGCCTGGCCCGAGGCGGCCCCGCCCTGTGCGATGCCTTCGCCTTCGCCATGACCTTCTTCGGCCTGGCGTCCATGCTCATCCTCTTTGCCATGGCCGTGGAGCGCTGCCTGGCGCTGAGCCACCCCTACCTCTACGCGCAGCTGGACGGGCCCCGCTGCGCCCGCCTGGCGCTGCCAGCCATCTACGCCTTCTGCGTCCTCTTCTGCGCGCTGCCCCTGCTGGGCCTGGGCCAACACCAGCAGTACTGCCCCGGCAGCTGGTGCTTCCTCCGCATGCGCTGGGCCCAGCCGGGCGGCGCCGCCTTCTCGCTGGCCTACGCCGGCCTGG
The DNA here is from genome assembly GCF_000001405.40 of Homo sapiens. NCBI lineage: Eukaryota > Metazoa > Chordata > Mammalia > Primates > Hominidae > Homo > Homo sapiens. Next base: position 46,623,651 of record NC_000019.10, on the reverse strand, counting down.
TGGCCCTGCTGGTGGCTGCCATCTTCCTCTGCAACGGCTCGGTCACCCTCAGCCTCTGCCGCATGTACCGCCAGCAGAAGCGCCACCAGGGCTCTCTGGGTCCACGGCCGCGCACCGGAGAGGACGAGGTGGACCACCTGATCCTGCTGGCCCTCATGACAGTGGTCATGGCCGTGTGCTCCCTGCCTCTCACGGTGAGTCCCCTCCGGAGCTGGGAGGAGTGGGGAGAGGAGGAGGGCAGCTCTGTGGGTTGTGCCCATGTCACAGATGGGGAGACTGAGGCTCAAAAGAGGTGAGACATCGTGGGCATGGTGGCTCACGCCTGTAATCCCAGCATGTAGAAAGGCCGAGGCAGGACCGGATGCGGTGGCTCACACCTGTAATCCCAGCACTTTGGGAGGCCGAGGCCGGCGGATCATTTGAGGTCAGGAGTTCGAGACCAGTCTGGCCAACATGATGAAACCCTGTCTCTACTAAAAATACAACAAATAAATAAATAAAAAGTAGCCGGACGTAGTGGCACATGCCTGAAGTCCCAGCTACTTGGGAGGCTGAGCCAGGAGAATCGCTTGAACCCCGGAGGCGGAGGTTGCAGTGAGCTGAGATCGTGCCACTGCACTATAGCCTGGGTGACAGAGTGAGACCCCGTCCCAAAAAAAAAAAAAAAAAAATAAGAAAAAAAAGAAAAAGAAAGGCGAGGCAGGACGATCACTTGAGCCCAGAGGTTTGAGACCAGCCTGGGCAACATGGTGAAACCCCATCTCTATGAAACATTTAAAAATTAGCCTGGCATGATGGCCTGTGCCTGTGGTCTCAGCTACTTGTGAGGCTGAGGTGGGAGGATTGCTCCGGCCTGGGAGGTTGAGGCTGCAGTGAGCTGTGATTATACCACTGCATCCCAGCCTAGCTGACAGAGCAAGACCTTGTCTCAAAACAAAAACAAAGAAAACAAAAACAAATCAGACAGAGGCTTGGTCCTCAGTCAGACAGCTCCTGGCTTTCTGGAGGGGTCTTTCTGCATCTGACTTCTTCTGATACCTTGTCTCCCAGCTTAGGCATCCTGAGCCCCCCATGATGAAATGCATCCCCCATCCTTCCCCACCCCTGTAATGACAAGACCACCACTCATTGAGCACTTCTCTATGCCCGCCCCGTGCTTAGTGGCTTACAGATACTTCCTAAGATAATTTTCAAAATGATCATAGCCACCCATTCCACAGTATTTGGCAGGAAACCAAGAGAACGTTCTCTCCCATCCCCGTTTTTACAGATGAGGGGCAGTGTCTTTCGCCCAGTCACACAGAGCCAGGTCCTGGTCCTGGGTCCTTCCATTGTAGAGCCTGATCTCCCACCTACCTGGCTCCCCTCTGCCTCAGAGCAGGCCCCACCCTTGCCTCTGCACCTCGGTTTCCTGCGGGGACCCCGTCCTGCCCCTCCCCAATGGGAGTGGCACAGACCCTGGTACCCACTCAGTGTCTGTGACACCTGGTCGTGCCACCTTTCTTCTGAGCTTCAGTTTCTGTTTCTGTAAAATGCAAGAGGCCAGGCCGGATTGGGGGGTCCTTAAATCTTTTTTGGGGGTTACTCTGACTCAGAGACTCAGATGCCGTGGACAGATACACACAGGCACCACCGCAGCTCTGCGGCAGTTTCAGGGGGCCCAGCCGGGTGGCGCCACCTTCTTGCAGGGACGTTATACTCAAAAATCTGTGGAGCCCGAGGGTCCTCCCAGCTTCCAAGGGTGGGGGGACCCACATACCTGGCCCCCATCCCTCTCCCCTTAGGCATCTCTGGCAATTTCCTGGGGCTTTCTCTCCCTGTGTTCCCCAGATACATTTGTTACTTAGTCTTTATCTTATCTCCTTCCCCTCTGACATGTCACCCCTACCTCATCCCTGGTAAGCAAGTGGGAGGAGGGAGCCAGGGTGGGGAGGCTGAGGACTCCTGGGTGCTCCTTGACGCCCTCACCCTGCCCTCAGATCCGCTGCTTCACCCAGGCTGTCGCCCCTGACAGCAGCAGTGAGATGGGGGACCTCCTTGCCTTCCGCTTCTACGCCTTCAACCCCATCCTGGACCCCTGGGTCTTCATCCTTTTCCGCAAGGCTGTCTTCCAGCGACTCAAGCTCTGGGTCTGCTGCCTGTGCCTCGGGCCTGCCCACGGAGACTCGCAGACACCCCTTTCCCAGCTCGCCTCAGGGAGGAGGGACCCAAGGGCCCCCTCTGCTCCTGTGGGAAAGGAGGGGAGCTGCGTGCCTTTGTCGGCTTGGGGCGAGGGGCAGGTGGAGCCCTTGCCTCCCACACAGCAGTCCAGCGGCAGCGCCGTGGGAACGTCGTCCAAAGCAGAAGCCAGCGTCGCCTGCTCCCTCTGCTGACATTTCAAGCTGACCCTGTGATCTCTGCCCTGTCTTCGGGCGACAGGAGCCAGAAAATCAGGGACATGGCTGATGGCTGCGGATGCTGGAACCTTGGCCCCCAAACTCTGGGGCCGATCAGCTGCTGTTTCTCCTGCGGCAGGGCAGTCGCTGCTGGCTCTGGGAAGAGAGTGAGGGACAGAGGAAACGTTTATCCTGGAGTGCAGAAAGAATGGTTCTCTCAAAATAACCAGTGGCCTGGCCGACCTGCTCTGGCCCTGGATTCCCCATCCATCTCATTGTCTAAATATTTAGAAGGCGGAGAAGTTCCCAGAGGCTTCTGTACAGTCAGGTCTGCTCTGGTCTGGGTGCTGGCTCCAATCTGCGTCCACTTAGGAGGCCCAACTGCCCACCCCAAGTCCCCAGGGGATGGCCCTCCCCCTCTACCAAGCCACTCCAAGAGCCAGCCCCTTTCTGCTCCACAAAAACCACAGTTATTGGAAAAGCTCCCTGCCTTCCCTTGCCGCTGGTCCCCCACCAGGCTTGGGAGCCCTGGCATCCCAAAGGGGCAACGGGAGGAAGGGGAGGCTGCTGCATTGTGGGTGATGACGTAGGACATGTGCTTGGTACAAAAAGGGCCTGAGACATTCCACCTAGCTTGACTGGCTGCAAGATGAGAACTGGGGGGGTGCAGGTGGTGGGGAGACAGATGGAGAAGCTGGCAGATGAAGGGTGGGGGCTGCGGATCCCAGGGACTGCCCCAGAACACAAACCTAAGTCCTGTGCCTGTCCCCAGGGTCCTGAATAAATAAAAGCCTCCTTGCAGAGCCTGACCTCATGTTATGTGTCCTTAGAGCCCTCACCAAGATTTCATTCATTCATTCATTCAACAGATACTTGGCTGGGCACCATAGCACATGCCTGTAATCCCAGCACTTTGGGAGGTTCAGGTGGGAGGATCCCTTGAGCCCAGGAGTTTGAGACCAGCTCGGGCAATATATCGAGAACTTGTCTCTACAAAAAAATTTTAAAAATTAGCTGGGCGTGGTGGTGCACACCTGTAGTCCCAGCTCCTAGGAAGGCTGAGACAAGAGGATCACCTGAACGTGGGAGGTTGAGGCTGCAGTGAGCTGAGATCGTGCCACTGGGTGACGGAGTGACACTGTCTCAAAAACAAAACCCAAAAAAACCCTCAACCTTCCACTGAAATTCAGCAGTGCTGATTGCCTGGTGTTAAGGACACAGACAAGCCCCTGCTCCACCCTGGGCCCTGCCGGGGTGATTTCCAGCCTGCCATCCACACAGGCTTCTCATGACCACTCCCTGCCCTCAGAGAGGCCCAGGATGGAGGGTGCTCAGGAGTGAGCTGATGAGCATGGAAGGAAGTGAGTAGGCGTTTAGGGTGGGGGAGGGTGAGTGGGAACTCCCCCCACCCAGCCCCACTGCACTGCCAGTCCCAGTTCCCCTTTCCTACTCTCCCCCTCTGTTAAAACAAAAAATCCACACTTGGGGAGAGGCGCGGTACGTGAGGCCTGAGCCTCCCATGAGGACAACAGCAGCCAACTCTTCGAGGGGTAGGCAGCGCTTCCTCCCACTCCATCCACAGGGCAACCTATTATAAATCCTCTTTCTTTCTTTCTTTCTTTTCTTTCTTTCTTTCTTTCTTTCTTTCTTTCTTTCTTTCTTTCTTTCTTTCCTTTCTTTCTTTTCTTTCTTTCTCTCTCTCTCTCTCTCTCTCTCTCTCTCTCTCTCTTTCTTTCTTTCTTTCTTTCTTTCTTTCTTTCTTTCTTTCTTTCTTTCTTTTTTGAGACAGAATATCACTCTGTCACCCAGGCTGGAGTGCAATGGCACCATCTTGGCTCACTGCAAACTCCGCCTCCCGGGTTCAAGTGATTCCCCTGCCTCAGCCTCCCGAGTAGCTGGGATTACAGGCGTGCACCACCACCTCTGGCTAATTTTTTTGTATTTGTAGTAGAGACGGGGTTTCGTCACGTTGGCCAGGCTGGTCTCGAACTCCTGACCTCAAGTGATCCTCCCACCTCAGCCTCCCAAAATGCTTGGATTACAGGTGGGAGCCTCTGAGCCCAGCAATAAGTCCTTTCTACAGAAGACGGAGTCCAGGTCCAGAGATGATAATCCACCTGTCCCGACTCACACAGCGAGTGGGCGTGGGCTTGGAGCAGGCCCGTCTATCCACTCCGGGACACCTTGGTTTCCTTTTGATCATAATCTAGCACTTAGCTTGCATGGCGGCTTTGGGGATTAAGCAATTCCCTCTGAAAAGCAAATTAGCTCAGGGCTTGGAATAAAGCCCATAAGAAATGTCACTATGATTGCCATTGCTGCAGCTGTTGCTATTGTTATTTGGACAGATACAATTTAAAAGGAAACCACCTCCTGGCTCTGGTTCGGGTGTTTTGACTTCCCCCACCCTGCCCAGGTAACCACGTTTCAAATCACAATAAAGCAGAACAAGGGGTGTCTGGGAGAGTTAAAAACAGGTCAAGGTCACCCATGAATGAGCTTGGGGTTCCCCTTTGGGGTGATGAAAATGTTCTGGAATTGGATAGTAGTGAGGGTTGCTCAACAGTGTGAATGCACTGAATGCCACTGAATTGTAACTTTGAATGGTTAAAATAGCAACTTTTATGTTATGTGTATCTTACTGCGATTAAAAAAAAATTTAAAAAATAAAGTAAGTAGGCAGGGCGAGGTGATTCCCATCTGTAATCCCTGCATTTTGGGAGGCTGAGGCGGGAGGATCCCCTGAGCCCAGGAGTTCAAGACCAGCCTGGGCAACATATCAAGAACCTGTTTCTACAAATAATAATAAAAAAATTAGCTGGGTGCTGGCCTGTCATGGTGGCTAACACCTGTAATCCCAACACTTTGGGAGGCCAAGGCAGGAGGATCACCTGAGGTCAGGAGTTTGAGACCAGCCTGGCCAACATGGTGAAACCCCATCTCTACTAAAAATACAAAAATTAGGCCGGGCGCAGTGGCTCACGCCTGTAATCCCAGCACTTTGGGAGGCCGAGGCGGGCGGATCACCAGGTCAGGAGATAGAGACCATCCTGGTTAACACAGTGAAACCCTATCTCTACTAAAAATACAAAAAATTAGCCGGGCGTGGTGGCGGGCGCCTGTAGTCCCAGCTACTCGGGAGGCTGAGGCAGGAGAATGGTGTGAACCCGGGAGGCAGAGCTTGCAGTGAGCCGAGATCACGCCACAGCGCTCCAGCCTGGGCGACAGAGCCAGACTCCGTCTCAAAAAAAAAAAAAAAAAATTACAAAAATTAGCCAGGTGTGGTAGCGCACACATGTAGTCCCAGCTACTCAGGAGGCTGAGGCACGAGAATTGCTTGAACCTGGGAGGCGGAGGTTGCAGTGAGCCGAGATGTTTACTCCAGTCTGGGTGACAGAGCCAGACTCTGCCTCAAAGAAAAAAAAAAAAAAAGCCCTTGTTAAAAGCAAAAGCACAACAGGTTGACAAACATCAGATTGGGACCTGACTTTGTCACCACGCCTGGCCAAACCTTGGCCAACCCTCCTACCCCCAACAGAGGATGGTGAGGAAGGGATGGGGGGTTCTGGAGAAGGGCATTGAAGGGTGCTCACCTCCTCTCTCTGTGTCACCCCCGAAGGTGGGTCAGTTCTGCCCATCTGGCCTCTGAGGGCTCACTGTGTACCAGGCAGAGCTGAGCGTTGGACCACAGCATCCTTGCCTGCGGTGGGTGCTGCTCTCATTCCCATTTTTCAGATGAGGATTAAGGGGAAGTGAGGATGCAACGTAGAAGCTGGGGTTCTGTGGGCTCTTACTCCCCCAGGGCCTGACATCTCACTGTTTGCTGCAGACCCCTCCCCTCACCCCACCTCTGACCTGGGTGTCTACACTGTCTAACAGGCCAGAGGTTTTCAGACAATGCCCCCCATCCACCCTTTGCCCCTCGGGGGTGATTTGGAAACTCCTCCTAGATGGGATCCTGGCCCCTGACTGTCCAAGTTCATCCTCTCTGCCAGCTGCCCGGGTCCTGTCCAGAGAGCTCTATCTGGCAGTCCCTGCCAGCCTTGGAAAGCTCCCAGGGCTCAGGCGCCACCTGGAGGCTCCTGGCCAGCTCCCGCGCTCCCACCCCCCTGCAGGCCTTGGCTGAGGCCGCAACAGATGGCTGCGGTTTCCTCAAAGAGGCCGTGACATTTTGGGCCCCCGCATCTTTGCTTATTGAGCTCACTCTTCCTGGAACTGTTTTTTCCCTTTTCCATCCGTCAAAAACACCCTTGCCCTTCAAATTCTTTCTTACATTTTTCCTCCTTGAAGATGCAACCACTCCTCCCTCAGCGGGCCCTCAGAACTTTTTCGGCTGCACGATGGCACTGGCCACAGCCTGCCATGGCAAGGACGTGTGTCTGCTCACCCGCTCCGCAGGGTCTTGTTGAGGGACTACTGTATGTCAGGGCTTGTCCCTGTGATGCTGGTGACATGGCAGTGATAGAGATAGACCTGGCCCTGCCCTCCCGTAGCTCAGTTTGGTGGGGGAGACAGCCCTGTCCTCAGAATGGTCATGAAGCAGGGTGGAAGGGTGTCTAGGCAGGAGGGCTTCTGAAAGGAGGGGATGGCTGAGCGGGGACCTGAGGTTTAGCAGAAAGTGAAACAAGTTAAGAGAAGGGTTTCTGGCCAGGTGCGGTGGCTCATGCCTGTAATCCCAGCACTTTGGGAGGCTGATGCAGGCAGATCACAAGGTCAGGAGTTTGAGACCAACCTGGCCAATATGGTGAAATCCCATCTCTACTAAAAATACAAAAATTAGCTGGGTGTGGTGGCGGGCACCTGCATTCCCAGATGCTTGGGAGGCTGAGGCAGGAGAATCACTTGAACCCAGGAGGCAGAGGTTGCAGTGAGCCGAGATCACGCCACTGCACTCCAGCCTGGGCGACAGAGTGAGACTTTGTCTAAAAAAAAAAAAAAAAAAAAAAAAAAGCATTTCTGTCGTGCTTACACCTCCAACTTGGGGCATCTGATGCCTCCCTTCTAAGCCTCCTGTATATTCATTAACTCAACATACATTACCTTGAGTTGCTCTGGTCTGGACCCGAGGCTGCCTCGTGCCCACTGGGAATATAGTGGTGACTGACATAGCCTTGGCCCTACCTCGTTCACAATCCACGTGGGTGATTGAATAATCACATAAAAATGTGTTACAAAGGTCGTGCGCAGTGGCTCACACCTGTAATCCCAGCATTTTGGGAGGCCGAGGCAGGTGGATCGCTTGAGCCCAGGAGTTCAAGAGCAGCTTGGGTGATATGGTGAAACCTCTTCGCTACAGAAAATACAAAAATTAGCTGGGCGTGGTGGTCTGTGCCTATATTCCCAGCGACTTGGGAGGTGGAGTTGGGAGGATTGCTTGGGTCCGGGAGGTTGATGCTGCAGTGAGCCGAGATCACACCACTGCACTCCAGCCTGGGCGACAGAGCGAGACTCTGTCTAAAAAAAAATGTTTTGGCTGGGCGTGGGGGCTCACTCCTGTAATCCCAGCACTTTGGGAGGCTGAGGCGGGTGGATCATGAGGTCAGGAGATCGAGACCATCCTGGCTAACACAGTGAAACCCCGTCTCTACTAAAAATACAAAAAAATTAGCCGGGCGTGGTGGTGGGCACCCGTAGTCCCAGCTACTTGGGAGGCTGAGGCAGGAGAATGGCGTGAACCGGGGAGGTGGAGCTTGCAGTGAGCCAAGATCACACTACTGCACTCCAGCCTGGGTGACAGAGTGAGACTCCGTCTCAAAAAGAAATGTTTTATAATAAGCAGCTCAGATACAAAATCACAAGCCGTACTAAGAGGGCACAGTACAAGGATCTGTGAAAATATAGACAGTCATCCCTCGGTATCCTAGGGGGATTGGTTTCAGGACCCTCCTGGGATACCAAAATCTGTGGATGCTCAAGTTCCTTATATACAACGGTGTCATATTTGTATATAACCTACATACGTCCTCCTTTATACCTTAACTCATCTCTAGATTACCTATAACACCTAATTCAATGCAAATGCTATGTAAATAATTATACTGTATTGTTTTAAAAGTTGTATATTTTATTGTGTTTTTTTTGTTTTGTTTTTTGAGACGGAGTCTCGCTATGTCACCCAAGTGTGCAGTGGCACAATCTCGGCTCACTGCAACCTCCACCTCCCGGGTTCAAGCAATTCTTGGGCCTCAGCCTCTCGACTAGCTGAGATTATAGGAGCCCACCACCACACCTGGCTAATTTTTTTTGGGGGGGTGGGGCAGACAGGGTCTCACTGTTGCCCAGACTGGAGTGCAGTGGCTCTATCTCAGCTCGCTCCAACCTCTGCCCCCTGGGTTCAAACAATTCTCCTGCCTCAGCCTCCTGAGTAGCTGGGACTACAGGTGCGCACCACTACCGCCTGGCTAATTTTTGTATTTTTAGTAGGAACGGGGTTTCATTATGTTGGCCAGGCTGGTCTCGAACTCCTGACCTCAAATAATCTACCTGCCTTGGTCTCCCAAAGTGCTGGGATTAGAAGCGTGAGCCACCGCTCCCAGCTTACCTGGCTAATTTTTGTATTTTTAGTAGAGATGGGGTTTCATCATGTTGGCCAGGCTGGTCTCAAACTCCTGACCTCAGGTGATCCACCTACCTCAGCCTCCCAAAGTGCTGGGATTATAGGCTTGAGCCACCGCACCCTGTGTGTTTTGAATATTTTTGATCTGCAGTTGGCTCAAACCAGCAGACACAGAGGCTGACTGCTCTAGGCGCCTGCCCTAGTCTGGGGTGGGGCTCAGGAAGTGATGTGCTGGGAACGGGGGACTCAAGGGGACTTGATTCATTTTACGATTTCTTTCTTTTTATTCATTCCCATCTCCCTAGCACCCGGCCTGACCCACAAATGGGACTTAAACACCGGCGCACACAGATTTATGCCGTGGGCTGGGCCTGGGAGTTGCAGCTCTTCAGGGTCTTCCGTGGTCATTGCCCCACCTGCTGGTCACACTGGGAGTGACACTCAGGAGTGGCCCCAGAGCCACCCTCTGGGAAGTGAGGGGATCCTTGGGAGCCCGAGGATCCCAGGCGGCCCTGGTTGGGCATCCCTGGTAAGTCCCCTTCTCTAGTCACTTTCTCAGGACAGGTTTTGAGCTGGTCTGGTAGACCTGCGAGGCTGAACTGGAAATGACTCCCGGTCTAGGCATTTCTCTTCTTTGGGCTGGAGCCGGCTCCCCTCAGCGCTTGCCCAGGGGCCATTAGAAGCTGAGTGCGGTCTATTTGTCTTTGATTAATAAAAAATGGGAAGGGAAGTCATGATTATTTAATAATGTAGCCTGTCTGGCAGTAAAAGTCTTTCAAAACATAGGGCCCAAGGGGGAAACTACTTATAGGCCGCTGAGAAGCATGGGTACCGGGATGCGGTGGGAGAAGGCGTGGGCGTTGGGATCCGAGTGCGCTGGGCTTTGAGACCCCGCTCAGCTGCTTCCAGTAAGTGTGGTGCAAGAGGCTTCACCTGCCCGGCCTCCACTCCTCTACTGCCAGATTTCTCTAGTGACTCCTGCCGGCAAGCCTGGGCAGGGTCCGCACACCTTGAGCGGGTGCTGCGTTTTAATCAGTCCATCCAGCCTGGGTATGAACTAAGTGAAATGATGTCTATAAAGTTTGGCACGGCCGGGCGCGGTGGCTCACGCCTGTAATCCTAGTACTTTGGGAGGCCGAGGCGGGCGGACTGCCTGAGCTCAGGAGTTTGAGACCAGCCTGGGCAACACGGTGAAACCCCGTCTCTACTAAAATACAAAAGAAATTAGTGGGGCGTGGCGCCTGTGATCCCAGCTATTCAGGAGGCTGAGGCAGGAGAATTGCTTGAACCTGGGAGGCGGAAGTTGCAGTGAGCCGAGATGGCGCCACTGCATTCCAGCCTAGGCTGGGGGGGAAGGGGGGGCATGGGGGGGTAGGGGGAGGCGAAAAGAGAGAGAGTTTGGCATCCCAGCACTTTGGGAGGTTGAGGCAGGCGGAGGTCATTTGAGGTCAGGAATTAGAGACCAGCCTGGCTAACATGGTGAAACCCCGTTTCTACCAAAATACAAAAATTAGCCGGGCATGGTGGCATGACCCTGTAATCCCAGCTACTCGGGAGGCTGAGGCAGGAGAATCACTTGAACCTGGGAGGCAGAGGTTGCAGTGAACCGAGATCATGCCATTGCACTCCAGCCTGGGAGACAAGAGTGAGACTCCATCTCAAAAAAAAAAAAAAAAAAAAAAAAAAAAAAAAAGTTTGGCACAACCCAAGTTGGTGGATATTTGTATCGTCTTCCTTTACAGATTATTATCCTTTGCCATTTTGCAGACTTGTAAATGGAGGCCAAGGGAAGTTAAATCGCTGCTCCAAGTTTATTGAAGTGGCAGAGGTGGCCCCTTGGGACTTAGTGAGCACGAAGACTCACTCTTGTGAGTGAGTCTCAACCTGGGATTTGAGCCCAATCCTGTGGGAAACCACAGCCCATCTTTGACTCAACTACTAGACCAGAATTTTTCTCAGGTACCCTTACTGCTAAGGGGGCAGCTCCCATTTCAGACCCCACCACTGGGACGCCAGCCTCAGCCTGGCCTCCCCACTGGCTCTGGCTCTGGCCTGCCTGAAGTCTGTCTGTTTTTAAACTACCATTTACCCTAAAGCCCAGCTGCTGTGGGCTTGGACTCCTCAGGGTTAGATCTGGTTCAGATTCCGGCTGTGTCACTTCCTACTTCATAACCTTGCAGTAGTGACTTCACTTCTCTGGGCCTCAGTTTCCTGGTCAGCAAAATGGGAACTAATGGCATCCAGCCCAAATGGTTGCTTTAAGGCTCCGATGAGCTCATGGATGCAGAGCTTCAAAGGCAGCCCATGAAGCAGGAAGCACCCAGCCAGTGGCGGCAGGTGCTCACAGAACACTTCCTGAGCACTGCACACCCCCCTCCTTCCTGTAGCCTCATCCAATCCTCAGCTCAGGAGGCAGGTACCATTATACCCCCATTTTGTGGACAGGGTCATTGAGGTCCAGAAACTCTAAGGCATCTGCCCAAGGCCACAAGGCAGGTAAGTGCTGGAACCGGAATGCTAAGGCAGGTGCTTTTGCTCAGACCCCAAGTTATCCACTATACTCTACCGTCTTTACTGCACCACCAAATGCCAAGCCACAACCAGGTGGCAGGAAAAGGGGGCCCAGAAGCTGGGGCCCTGGAAAATGGCCTGCCACTCCCAATGTCTCCACCCTCGCCGCTGGCTCCGGTGACTGGGATGCACCAGGAAAACCCAGCCGAGGCCTGATCTCTCTGCCACAAGGAGGGCCCTGGGATTGGGCCAGGCTTCCCCTGCCCTCTGAGGCCAAGTGCAGATGAGTGGAAGGACCTCTTTTTATTCCACTGACTTCTGTCTCTGCTCCACCCTTGCCCAGCTCCTGTGTGAGAAGCTCAGAAGTTAAAGACAATGCTTATTAACCTCTCATTCCCCATTCCCCCGAGGGAGAATGAGAAGAGCCCTTGAGGATTCTGACCCATCCCTCCACTATAGCCCCACTGGAATGGGAGGGTCTTGCTATGTTGCCCAGGCTGGTCTCAAACTCTTGGCATCAAGCAATCCTCCTGCCTCAGCCTCTCAAAGTAGGAGGATTACAGGAATGTGCCACTGGGCGCTGTTGAGGCGGCTTCTTCCTCACATCCCCACTTGCCACGAGAAAGTTGAGCTTTCTGTGGTTTGTAATTTGGCTGTGACCGCATAGTGGTTTGTACTCTGCCTTGTGTGGTTTGCAATTGTTTTGGGCTTTTTGTTTCAGATCTTCAAACCAACACTGAGTCCCGTGCCCTCCCTGTGAGCTCAGGACCATGCCTTTCTCACCACTGTAGATCCAAACTTGGCATGTTTTGGCTGCCTGTGAGACTAAAGCAGTGAATGCCACCCCTCTCCCCAAAGCATCAAGAGGCTCACCCACTGCAGGGCCTGCCCCTGCCTTCCTCTCTTCACCCGGCTGGGCTCCAAGCTGCTCGGGGCTCTCACCCAGTCTCGCTGGATTTCCTTCAGTTCCTTGATGTCTGGGCTTCTCTTGCCTCAGGGCTTCCATACATGTCGTCCCCCCGAACTGGAATGCCCTTCCGTCCTTCCCCTACCCGGCTAGGGGACTGCCCATCTTTCAGGTAGGTCTCAGCTCAGTCCTGCCACCTGACTGGGCTGACCCCTTCTCTGTGTGCTCCCATGGCATGATGGGCCTGCCTCAGAGGAGCCTTCTCAGTCCCCGCCTTTCAGTCCATTTGTGCGACTATCTCTAGGACAGGACCCTGCCGTTGATGACCCTGCGATCTAGCTGGGATCAGAACTGTGGTTCAGAGGCGTCCACTGGGCTGCACTGACTGGACACAGCTTCAGAGCCAGCTTTGAGGAGAGGCTCTTCCACCTCTGGGCCAAAGGAGTCAGTGCTGGGGTTGGTGTGTATGTGTGTTGGAGGGGGGCAGGCCAGAAACTGAGACAGGAGGAGAGGAGCCAAATCAGGTAGTCACTGTATTTTATTGGAAAACATTGATATATATTTTTCTTCACAGCTTGAACTGAACACAATATTGCCCGGTTTAAAAAAAACAAAACCAAAACATTCCGAAAATGTCCACAGCCTCACGCCTACCTGCCCTTACCCTCAGCTCTTGGCTGGGTCTCCCACTATGCCCCATCCCTCCTTCCCTCAGAGGCTGGGTGCCAGAGGGTGGATGAGAAGAGATTCTCAAAGCTGGGCAGGTCCCAGGAAAAGCCACTTGATCGACCTGGGCAGTGAGGGGAAGCAGGGGGTGGGGGGTGGGGTGGGGAGGTGGTGGGGGGAGCCAGATGAAATGAACAGAAAAGGGGAAAAAACCCAGACGACTGAACTGCCCACATTGACTTACTTGTCCCAGAGGCGAAAGTCAGAAGCAAGGGCACGGATCATGCTCTCCGCTGGGGGAGTATGGGGGCAGGCAGGTGGGCGAGGGAAGAGGCAGGGAAGAGGGCACGGAGCACAGATGTGAGGAAGCGGCGCCAAGTCACCACGGAGAAGCGGGAGGTGCTGGCGGACCAGGACGCAGAGGCTGCTGTAGCTGCCGTCCCCTGGGCAGCTGGCCGACAAGACTGTTTTATTGCAGGTGCGTTCTCTTGAGAGCGTGGTGGGGCCCATCTTCCCTCTCCCCACCCTTTAGCTAGCCCAGCATGGTTCTGAACAAAATGAAAGTCTTAAGGGCCATAGAGGGGAAAGAAAAAAAAAGAGAACCAGCACATTACAAAGCGACCATCCCCACATCCATTCCTAGGACGGGCCCTCAGGGCGGTGGGTGCATCGTGAGGAGGGAGCGGCATGGGATGTTAGCACCAGGTATTTACAGAACAGCTCGAGAGCGCTTCAGGAACGCGGGCAAGTCCAATTTGCAGAGTGGCCAAATGAGCAGTCCCCACCCAGCCAAACCTCAGAAAGCCAATCAGATGGTTTCAGAACAGCAGCCAGTGGGATGTGAGTGTTGCCCACTGTCAGTCCCCTTCTGTGAGTTGGCCCCCTCGACCCCCTCCTGGGCCACATCCAGTCAACGCCACAATTCCTCAACGCCCCCTCAGTCCTTCTGGAATGCCTCTCTTGGCACCCCTGCCCCAACAGGCTGCTGGGATCTGCACGTGGAATCACAGGGCTGGTTGCATGCAACGGCAAAGGGCATGCTCTTCTGCCTGGGGGAGGGCCTCTTGTCCCTCCCAGCAGGTCCCGGGACAGGGCTGGCAGCCACCCCAGCACCCAAAATAAGATGACAAACAAGAGGAAACAAACCAAAATGGAGGAGAGCCATCCGGGCTGGAGGAGGGCAGAGGCTCCCCAAGGGGATCTGGGGAGGGCTTCAACTTATGAATGCATCAGGCCTTGGAAGACATGGATGGAAGAGGCGAGGGCAAAAGGAAGAGATGAGGGGCATGGAGAGAGACTCAGGGAAGAAGGAGAAAGAGCAATCATGCAGCTTGGGACAAATCTTTTGTTGCTTTATCAGATTCTCAGTCAATCAATTGGTGTTTGCTAGAACCGGGGTACGCAGGGGAGTGTTGAAGAGAGAGTGCGCGCGCGAGAAGAGAGAGATCAAGAGAACGGGCATCGCCAGCTGCCCGGGGGGCCTTCACTTTGCAGTCATCATCTGTACAAACTCTGTGGAGTGAAGCAGAGAGAGAGGAGGTCAGGCGGGCAGGCTAAGTGGCGAGCGGCCCTCCCCAACAAGAGGGATCTGGGGGCTTGTTCCTGAAGCTGCGATTCTCTTCTTGTTCCAGAGATCAAGCCTGGCCTTGACTCACCTTCATAATTGACCTGGCCATCTCCATCGATGTCAGCCTCCCTGATCATCTCATCCACCTCCTCATCGGTCAGCTTCTCCCCCAGGTTCGTCATTACGTGACGCAGCTCTGCGGCGCTGATGTAGCCATTCCCATCCTGGGGGTTGGGGATAAAGCCTTTCACTGGGCACTTCTCCCGGTGGGGAGAGAGGCAGTGAGAGGGGTGGCTGTCATCACCATCCCTCAGCAGTGAGCACAGTGAGGGAGGCTGCCTGAGGTGGCAGAGCAGGTTGGCAATGAGGCTGGCACCGGGACCCGGACCTCCTGGAAGTGGTAGCTCCGTGGCTCCAGTTCCGCCTGTCTGCCTGAAGGCTGGCGTCAGTCTCAGAGCCGCCCCTGGAGAGGGCTGCTTACCTTGTCAAAGACACGGAACGCCTCTCGGATCTCCTCCTCACTGTCTGTGTCCTTCATCTTTCTGGCCATCATGGTCAGGAACTCCGGGAAGTCAATGGTCCCGTTCCCTGGAAGGTGGGGAAAGGATGGAGAATGCTCTTGGCCTGGGCCCTGAGAGACACGGGCTCATCCATCACCCTGAGAGAGGCTCCCTGCAGTCACTCGGGGTGACCAGGAGCAGGGCTGCCCACGCGCTCTGTGGGGCTCACCATCTGCATCCACCTCATTGATCATATCCTGCAGCTCTGCTTCAGTGGGGTTCTGTCCCAGGGATCTCATCACTGTCCCCAACTCCTTGGTGGTGATAGTGCCATCTCCATCCTTGTCAAAGAGGGAGAAGGCCTCCTTGAACTCTGGGGGAAGAAGGGGGAGGAGTCAGAGGTCACAAGGTCCACAGGAGAATCCTTACCTCTGGATGCTGGATGCCTTCCCTGGAGGAAGGCCAAGGGCATCAGTCCCACCTAAAGAAACTGAGACAGACTTCAAGTCCCACGCAACCAGCTCTCTCTCCTCAGTGCTCAGGGCAAAGCCCTTCCAACCTTCATTCAACAGTTATTGAACATCAACACTGTGCTAGGTGAAGCTATTTTTCTGGCCAGCCAGTGAAGACAGTGGGGAAAATGGTCTGACAGCTGTCCTTAGATGATTCTACATTTCTGTTTGGTCCCTGGCTTTGACTTCTCCCTTGAAATGATGAAATGAACCAAAGTCATGGAGTGAATGAGAGCCGAAAGGATTCTTTGTCTGAGTGTGTTAGCCAGGGTTGGCTGGCTGGGACGAGGAGGGGAGGCTGCAGAATGCCTCTGGCCGGCCTGAAGAGGAAATGCAGGCATCCACTCCCTTCTGACTGGCAGCCCTGTTCCTTGCCGTGGGTGCTACCAGCTTCCAAAGGAGCTGAGCCACTGCGTGTGGTGAGCGTGGGGGTGGTCGGCAGCAGAACATGGCTGACGGACAGTGCGTGGGGTTGATGGGGGGATGGAAAGCGAGGGGACGGCTGCCAAGCCAGGAGGATGAGGAGCTAGCAGTGCTGAGTGGGAAGGCCACAGCTGGGGCCGCATCAGGGGCAGGGAGAAAAGCACATGGCTCTTGCCCTCCCACTGGGCCCATTTTGGCACCTGGTGCTCCTCTACCCCCAAGCCCTCCAAAAACAGATGTCCGGCAGCCTATTCCCAGAGGGTGTGGGCTGGGGTGAGGCGGTGGACAGTTTGCTAATGGGGACAGGGTGAAAAGCAGACCGTTTATGTTGCACAAGGCCAGAGTTGGGAGATGGGTGGCAGGTGCATTGGGAGGGACATGCACAGCTGGGAAGCTGTGGCCCTGAGCCTCTGGGCCCTGGGGACATGGCAAGAGTCTCTTTGGGGAGGCTGGCACCTCCCTGTGCTGAGGCCTTGTTGTTCTTGGGGAGGGCAGGTAGTGAGTGGGTCATGGGGCACCCCGAGCTCATGATCACTAAACCAGGCCATCTTCTGGCTTTCCTCAGGGGTCTCCATAGCCACCCAGGGCCAAAATTTTGAAGCTGCAAAGGTGACTCTGTGATGCGGGTTGAGGGGAGAAAGGAGAGAAGGCAAGTCCGTTCCTGCCTCCCACCGCAGAAGCTGGGCCTTTAGTACTTGTTACACAGCCGGTTGAACCTGACAGCAGAGCTGGGGGCTGGGTAGCTGGTGGGGAGCAGAGGCCCATTCTCTGGATCGCTACTCTGGTCTACTGTGTGCTGGCCCCTGGCTATGGAGATAAACCAAGAGTTGCTCTCTGTCCTCGGGCAGCTCAGTATGGGCGGGTAGGCAGGCACGGATCTGTAATTACACAATAGTTCCTGTAGCTGACCCTTCTGGGGTTTTGGAGGGGTTAGAAAAATGAATTAGATGGGATCCAGGGATTTCTTCTAGCTTGCTGAGAGAGAGATGTTTGTTTAGCCAGCAAAAGTTTGCGGAGGACCTACTACGTTCTAGGCAGGCATTAAGGCTATAGCAGGGACCAACAAAACCAAGTCCCAAACTCAATGGAACTCACATCTAGTAACAGGAGATACAACAGGTGAAGACATAAGAAAATAATTTCAGACAGCGAGAAAGGTTATGAAGAAAATAAAGTGATGTGAAGGAGAGTAAAGGAAGGCTGTGTACTTGAGATGGGGGTCAGGGAAGGCCTCCCCGAGGGGACATCTGAGCTAAGGGACGGGAAGGAGCTGCCCATGCAAAGCACTGGGGAGGCACTTCCGCCAGCAGAACAGGCAGGCGCAGGCACATGCGAAAGGAAGTGCAAAGCGCAGGCAAGCGCAGAGGTGGGAGTGACGAGCCAGCTCCTGGGCGGCTCCTAAAGTGGGACAGGAGCTCTGCAGGCCCCACAGGGAGGCAGGGAGCTCACCTTCTAAGCCAACCTGGCTGAAGCTGGGAGAGAGAGTTGGGCTCGTCCTGCAGCCACTGATATCAAGCCCCTAGATGACCCAGGCCCAGGAGAGGAACACAGCCTTTGGTGTCTGGTAAAGGCCTGTCTCAGGGCCATGGGGCTTCGTGTCATTGGGGCACTGGTGTGCTCTTACACACATTTATCAGCATTCTAGGCACAAGGCATAGTGTTAGGTGACACAAGGGATACACAGGTTCACCCATCAGATGTCACTCCTCAGTGGCTAAGATTTGGCTGGGGATGTGGAGGCTTTCCTGAGCTAAGATGAGGGGGATAGCAGACTCACCTGCAATCTGCTCCTCAGTCAGCTGGTCAGCCTGTAAAAGCATGAAGGGGAAAGTCAGTCACCAGGCCGGACAGCACGGACGCATCTTCCTCACTCAGCCCAGACCCTCGGCCCCAGTGAGGCCAGCTCCACGTGCCATTCCCGCCGGGCCAGGGAGGAGCATGCCAGAGTCAGGGTCTGAGGCAGAGCCAGCGCCTGATGATAAAGTCTGGTGATTCAGAAAGCTGGGTACCAGGGTGGGCTGGACACTCAGGCCTGCTGGACGCACGGCCCGATGAAGCTGCCCAGACCCACGGGCTTCCAATCTCAACTCAGCATGTGGGAGCCACAGGGGCGGGAGAAAAGCCTGCCCCAGCCCCAAACCAGCAGCGCTGGTGAGGCCTGGCACAGGTTTGCATCTCATCAGTGAGAGCCCCAGAGGCCGAGTGAAGGGAACGATTGCCCTGGAGGCCTCATCAAGAAGCTCTAGAAGGCTCCAAACTGAAGCAGGCCAGTCCTTGGGTAGGGCAGAGGGACGATGTCTGGGGCTATCTCTGCTAGTTTCTGTGTCACCTATTTGGAGGCGGTTGGCTCAGGCAGAGTCCACCCAAGTGGCAAAAATTCTCCTAACCGGCGGCCCGAGTTGCTCAAGCACCTAAAGAACTCTGGTCAGGCTGGAGGCAGGCGCTCCACCCCCTGCGCACAGTGAGGGCACAGGGCCATTCTGTTTTGTTTCTTTTGGGCAGAAGGGACAAACGTCAGGGAGAGGGCTGCAGCGGGCAGCAGCAGAGGACTGAAGCTGGCTTGCACTGCAGTTTTTAACCCTTTCCAGCTTGGGCACTCTGGGGACTGGCCAGTGGGTGGCAGGCAGCCCTTGCTGCATGCGGGGTTTGGGGGTGGGGAGGAGATGCGGGGACTGGCTTCTCCTGCACTGGTGTGCTGGGCATCAGCCAGGCATAGTGATCCTATGGGGCAGGAGCGGGGCTGGGGGGTTGGGGAGGCTGAATCCCAACATTTAGCTTTAGCAGCCAAAAGACACATTTTCCCTGGTTTTTGTTGATGCTGTGAAGAAGGCACCACCATCCCGGGACCATGGTGGGTCTGTTCCCCTTCCTTTCACAATCAGGGAAAGGGGCTCCAAGTCTATAGCATGTTCTAGTCTCGAGTCTGAGAGCCTCAGAAATAGAAGCAGACTATTATGTGAATTTGCAGTATTCTACGGAGAGGTTCCAGAAGCTAGGAACAAACCACTGCCTGCCTCCCCTACCCCCATCCCCGTCCCAAATATTAACAATCACTGATCTAAAAAAGTTAGAAAAAAAAAAAAAAAACCTAACGGAAGAAGAACTTGCAAGCCCCAAATAGGCAGAATGGGAGGGGTAATCAAAATGATGATCACAGAGGGGAGAGGGCTTAGGGAGGGGGAAAGAGGAAGGGAGAAAACGGCACACATGCACATTCTGGAAAAGTCCAAAGTGTAAAGGGGAGGTGGGGAGGCCAAATGAAGATTCTTCTGCATTGCCTTCAAAAAAGACAGGGTGGTTGGGCTTCTAAATGCCAACCTGGTAGCCCCAGGCCCATGAGCCTCTTGATCCACCTGCCCCCCACCTCCCACCATGGACAAAAAAGCCTGGAGCCATCCCTTAGGTCCTGACACCTGAGGAAGAGGCTTAGGGAAAGTGAGAAGGGAGGATGGGCTTCTGGTTACCGAGACCAGGCAATGCCCAGGGAGGGTCAGGGAAAGAACAGAGAGGAGGGCAGCAGTGTGGGGAGGTGGCTGCCATCCCATCTGCTTTTCATTCTTTCCCCTGGCCTAGAATGGAAAAAGCGAGCCAGGTCAGGGCCTTCCCAGCCCACTGTTCCGCCCTGCAAGAAGTCCAGCTCCCCGGACCTTTGGGCAGCACTGTAAGGGGCTGGGGGTGGGGGCGAGGAGGCTGTGACAGGCTGCAGACTGCCCCGAGCGGCTCTGAAGGCCACCGTTTGCCAGTCTCCACCAAAAGACTGGAAGATGCAGATGAGGCACTGCCATGTTCAGTTCTGTCACAGGGTTGCTGCAAATAGGCGTGGCTCTGCATGGAGGGCCTGTCAGATGCTCTCCCTCCCATGTTGGAGACCCACTTCCCTGCTTGGTCAAGGAAAGGTACAGATCTCAAGCAAGGTTGCCGCCCAGAAAACCGACCGCCTAAGAAGATATCATTGATCCTTGCTCAAGGTTTCTTCCCTTTCTAGACCTGAAGACTAAACTTTCAACAAAAACTGTTTCCAAAATAACTCAGCTGGTCTCCTGCTTCCTTATCCCTCATCTTAGGCTCCAGCAAGGGGCTGGACAAGAAAAAAAACCATGAGGTGGGGGAGGGAAGAGGGTGTGATTTCTCTGCCTTGCCCCAGCCCCCAGCCAATGCCAGAGAGCAGTGTTAGATGAGATCAGAAACCAAGGCCAGGGCCCCTCACCCGGGCCAAGGAGGAGCCACAGAGCTCAGGCCAAAGTCCAAGGCCAGTTACCAGTGACTTGTCCCACCTCTACCTTGCTGATTACAAACAGAAAGAGAAACTAGTTGTGGCCAAAGCTTGGGTCCTATTCTGGAGGTAGGGGGCCTGCTAGTGCTTCAGGGCCCCTTTTAGCCAGGTTCTGCTGGGGGAAAATGGGGTAGCGGCAAGAGGAGCCATCAGGTCTGTGTCAGCAAGTATGAGATCTGATACACAGCAGCGGCTGCCTGTTCTCCCCAGCCTTGCCAGGGAGGATGGCTGCACACGGTTCCCAGGCTCAGCCTGGTGGGGCTGTGGGTGTTGTGGGTGGCAGGGAGTAGGAAAGAACTAGTCTGCTGGTTTTCTCTCAAAGCCCTGTGAATTAACAGACACGCTCAGCGAGGGCCCTGAATGGAACAAGTGGCCCTCAGGCCGATCAAGGGGTCTCCCCAGAGGCACTCTCTGATCAAGCTCTGCAGCCCCCACCCCGAGGGCACGGGAATAGGCATCTGATTGTCACTGACGCCACACTGTACTGCACTGTCATTTGGCACAAGTGACGAGGTGCAGCATGGTGCGTGGGGCTGGGGATCATGAGAAAACCGGCGCTCCTGCTGGGAAAAGGCAGTGCTCTTGGCCTGAAAAGGGCAGCGACAGAGTGAGGCTTCTAGGCTTGAAAAAGCTGGCTCATTCGAGGCACCCCAAACTTTGATCTCCCATCCCCATTTCATGAGGCTTCAGTGCGCAATAGGGGCCCGAACAGCTCCGCCCACCTGCTCCCACTGCCCCGGTGTCTTCCACCCAGCCGCGTTCTTCCTGAGGAAGGAGGACGGTAGAAAAGCTTCCTCCGGGCCCTGCAGCCCACTCCCCATCCACACTGAGCCGTCTTTGTCCTGGCCTGTCCCTGGAGACTGGCAGGGTGCTACCCACATCCACCCCCAAACCTAGGCCCCCCTGACTGCCATTCATTTTCTCCTTCCACCTCACCTCCCAACCACCCAAGCCCAAGTCCTCCCCCACCCCTCACCTTGGAAATCCATCTTCTCTTGGACCCAAACACAACACTCCCACCCCGTTAAAAAAATTCTGTCTTTCTAGAGCAACAGTCTTAACCCACTAGTAACCTCGGAACCTTTTCTAGCTACTTCCAAATTAACCCCAAGGGTCCCTGTCCCCCGACTACTGGCGAGCCCCACTCTCACCATCCCTTTTCACCACCTCCACGACCCTGATCCTTCTCCGTCCCGGAAGCCTTCAAGAGTATCTTCTAATCTCCGCTGCCACCCACCCCAGGCTCTTCCTCCCATAAGCTTGCACCTCACCCTCCTCCTCCTCTGCAGTGCTGGGCTCTGGAGACCACCCTCCCCCACCCTCCCCCACCCTCGGGAGTCTCATCTGTAGAAGTGACCGCCCATCCTTGACCCTCTCCTCTGCTCCACAGGAGCCCAGGGGTCGCCCCTCCCCGCCCGGGCCCAGCTACCCTCCACCACCCCATCCAGGAGCAGCCCAGCCTCCCTTCGTCCCCCGTTCCCCGCATCCTCTCAGGACCAAACGCCTTCATCAGGGCCCGAATAGCTCCCCTCCCCAGCCCATCTTTCTTATTTCGTCCCCTGGGGTCCAAACACCTCCATCCTGAAACCCAACGCCCCATCCTGGGTCCAAAATCCTTTTGAGGGGTCCCACTGAGGGTCCCGATCCTCCATCCGGGGTTCAAATGTCCCCTTTAGGGGCTCAGATACCCATTTGTGGACTTAAACATCCCATTTGGTGCTAAAGTCGCTTCTGGAAACCTCTGGTGATCCAGACGTCCCGCTCTGGGTTCAACAGCCCCCGACAACGCGGGTAGAAAAGGGTCCCGAGGCTCTCGCCGGGCCCGGACGCCCCCCACTCTGGGCTCTGTCGCCCCCTCAGGGGTCCTGCCCCGTTAAGCCCGCCTCAGAGCCCGCAGCCTCGGCGACCCCCCAGCCTCACTCACCATGGCGAGGCCCGGGGTGTCCGGAGCACGGGGATCAAGGTTCCTCCGGCGGCGGCAGCAGCTGCAGCAGTTCCAGCTCCGCCGCGCGTCCGCGCCTCCACACTCACTGCCCGCAGCGCGCGCCGCCGCCGCCGCCGCCTCCCGCCCCAACGGTCCCTCAACGGCCGCCGCGCGCGCCCCGCCTCGCTCGGCCCCGCCCCACCCGGCCCGCGCGCCGCCGCACTGCGGCTCCCACGGATCCCTCCGCGCCCCGCTCCACACCTACGGGCCCGCGAATCTCTCGTCCCCACCCTGCACAGGAATTGGGTTTGCCGCCGGGCGCGCGCGCGCTCGCTCCCGTCGCCGGACTACTTTCCCTCGCCGCGCGCCCCGCCTCCCGGGCCCACTTCACTTTCTTCGGCGGAGGGGCACAGCTCGGCGGTGCGTGACGCGTCCCTCTGTGAGCCGCGTCACTATTGGGCCTGGCCCATGGCGGAAATGAGAGCTTGGCGCCCATTGGTCCGACCTTCCCTGCAATGCGTCAAACTGGGGCGAGCCACTGCAAGGTGGTGGTGGGTAAGTCTGAACTCTGTGGCCGCGTGGGGCTTTGAGGAGTAACGAGGCGAAGGGGGAAACGGCGTCGCCGTTAGAGAAGCAAATACGTCGTTTCTGTGGCCAGGAGGTGGTAAAAAGGCTGGCGACAAATGCAGAAGGGCTTTCTCGGCTCTCCCCTTTAACCGACGGACGATGGTTCAATCCAAAATGCTAGGGTTTAGAAGCTCCGCCCCTAACTGGGCCTTTGGAGGTGGCGGGGTCTCCAAGGTGCCACCTAACGCTCAGAGGTTCCGCCCTCCGTGGTCTTGTCTCTGCGTCCTAAGACGCACTCAGCCGGTGGGCGGGACCCCTGGGCCCGCTTCATTCTTGATCCGCTCAGGGTCTGTGAAATTAGGACCATCCCAGGACAGCCTGTGGGAACGGGGTATTCATTCAGTCATTCGTGCTATAAGCATCAATTAGGCGCCTGCTGTATGCAGGGACCTGAGCTTGGCTGGGCTGGGGAGACCATACTCCCCAACCAGCCTCTCCAGACAGACGACCTCTTTCCTTATTCCAGTGTTCCAGCCATAGGAGGAAAAAGAACTGAAACTTTGTTTATAGGAGCTCAGAAAATGATCACCCCTGCCCCCTCCCCCGTTTAGGATAGGAGCTGACAGTCTCCTGCGTGTCCCCTCCCCACCATGTTGATGGTTAAGAGATGGGCAAACGAGTCAGGCTGGACCAATCATTATGCTCCACCTGGAACAGAATGGAGACTGAACCAATGAGAGTCCTTCCCTGGGGTTTGGATCTGCAGCCTGGGCACAAGAAGCCTTTTCCTTTTGGGTGGGTCCTTCCCATAGATTCTGACTATGGTCATTTTCCCACTCTGCCCCCTATCTTGAGGAACAAAGTGTCTAGAGAAGAAGAGAAAAATAAAACTGACACAGTGGAGAGGTAAAGAAGATGGCCGGGCGCGGTGGCTCATGCCTTTAATCCTAACACTTGTTACTCAGTCTCAAATCTCATGTTAAAATGTGATCACCAATGTTGGAGGTGGGGCCTGGTGGGAGGTGTTTGGGTCATAGGGGTGGATCCCTCATGAATGACTTGGTGCTGTCCTCACGGTAACAAGTGAGTTCTTATTCTGTTAGTTCACACAAGATCTGTATTTTTTTTGAGACGGAGTCTTGCTCTGTCACATAGGCTAGAGTGCAGTGGCATGATCTTGGCTCACTACAACCTCCGCCTCCCAGGTTTAAGCGATTCTCCTGCCTCAGCCTCCCAAGTAGTTGGGACTACAGGCACCCACCACTACACTTGGCTAATTTTTGTATTTTTAGTAAAGACAGGGTTTCACCATGTTGGCCAGGCTGGTCTCAAACTCTTGAGCTCAAGTGATCCGCCTGCCTTGGCCTCCCAAAGTGCTGTAATCACAAGAATACAACCATCAGGAGTGCCTCAAGGGAGAAATATCCTCTGAGAATAGCCACAGACAAAGTGGGGAGGTGGGACTACCATCCCCAGCCCTGGAAACTCTCTCTACTCTATAACTTGGCCAAAGGAGATGCCAAATCAGAGTGGCTGTTCGTTAGCACCATGCTGTGGGAGGTTTCTTCCATAGCTCCCCTGGGAATGAACCCCTAGCCAGCTTTCCTATGCTACTGGGATATCCCCTTTGGGACCTCCCCCATTCGGGATGGGAGACGCTCTGATCTTTAATAGAGCCAAGGCAAACCTGGTTTTAAGGTGCCACTGAGTGCTAAAAAGGAGGCAGCAACCTAGCAGAAAAAAAGAAACCAACAGGTCAATTACGAAGAATCTGTAAGCAAATGGAGCCAGTAAAAGCCAAAACAAGCCAGACGGAGAAGGCTGGAATAAGTGACTAATCCTTCAGTGCAAAGGCATAGATGTACATTAACAACAAACCAAAGCAAACAGGGAACCATGAGCTCCCCAAATGGACCAAGTAAGGGACCAGTGACTAAACCTAACAAGACAGTAATATGTGAGCTTTCTAAGAATTCAAAATGGCATTTTTAAGGAAACTCAGTGAATTCCAAGACGACATAGAAAAGCAACGCAGAAATTTATCAGTGAAATTTAACAAAGAGATTGAAATAATAATTTAAAAAAAACCCAAACAAATCTTAGAACTGAGAAATACATTTGCTGAACTGAAAAGTTCATTAGAGGTTCTCAACAGCAGAGTGGGTCAAGCAGAGGAAACAATCAGTGAACTTGGAGACGGGCTGTTTGTAAATACATACAGAAGAAAAAAGAAAAAAGAATGAAAGGAATGGAAATCACCTACGAAATATAGAAGACAAAATCTAAGAATTATTGGTGTTCAAGAGGGAGCTGAGGAGGAGCAAGGGGATAGAAAGGATATTCAAAGAAACAATGGAAGACATTCAAAAATTGCAAATATCCAGGTACAGAAAGGCCAGAGAACACCAAATAGATTTGATTACCCCAAGGCATATAATAATCAAACTCTCAAAGGTCAAGAACAAAGAGAGGATCCTAGAAACAGTAAGAGAAAAGAAGGAAATAACACTTAAAAGAGCTCTAATTTACCTGGCCACAGACTTCTCAATCAAAACCATGAAGGCCATACAAGAATACTGTATCAAGCAAAGCTATTATTCAAATATGAAGAAGAGATAAAGTTTTTCCCAAATAAAAGCAGAGAGAATTCACCACTACCAGATCTGTATTATAAGAAATGCTCTCTTGAAGAAAGACAGTTCCAGAGAGTTCCTCAATCCGGAAAAAAAAAAAACCATGCAAAAAGAAAAAAAATTTTTTTTGAGACACGATCTTGCTCTATCACCCAGGATGGAGTGCAGTGGCCCAATCATAGCTTACTGCAGCCTCAAACTGCCAGGCTCCAGTGATCCTCCCACCTCAGCCTCCTGAGTAGCTGGGACTACAGGTGCACACCACCATGCCTGGCTAATTTTTGTATTTTCTTTCTGGTAGAGATGGGGTTTTGCCATGTTGCCCAGGCTGGTCTCGAATTCCTGAGCTCAAGCAGTCTTCCCCCATTGGCCTCCTAAAGTGTTGGGATTACAGGTGTGAGCCATCATTCCTGGCCAAAGAAAATATTTGAAGGTATAAAACCCATTGGTAAAATTAGGTGCACAGAGAAACCCAGGATACTCCAATACTGTAATTGTGGTATGCAATTCATTCTTAACTCTACCATAAAGCCTCAAAGACAAATCTATCAAAAACAATAATATTGAGCTGGGTGTAGTCTCAGCTACTTGGGAGGCTGAGGCAGGAGGATCACTTGAACCTAGGAGTTTGAGGCCAGTCTGAGCAACACAGTAAGACCCCATAATTAAAACAATAATAGCTATAGCAGCTTGTTAAAAGACAAGCAAAATAAAAATATGTAAATTGAGGAAACAAAAAGTCAAAATGTGGGAGGGAAGGAGATAAAGTGTGGAGTTTTTATTCATTGTTTCTATTTTTTTCTTTGTGATCTAAGATGTTATCGCTTTAAAATAACTTGTTATAAGATTTTTTTTAGAAGCCTCAAGGTAACCACAATGCAAAAACCTATAATAGATTCAATAAAAATAAAAAGTAGCAAGTTAAAACGTACTACCAGAGAAAATCACTTAACCACAAAGGAAGACAGTAAGAAAGGAAAAAAGGGGGCCAGGCACGGTGGCCCACACCTATAATCCCAGCACTTTGGGAGGCTGAAGCAGGCGGATCACCTGAGGTCGGGAGTTCGAGATCAGCCTGACTAACATAGAGAAACCGCTTCTCTACTAAAAATACAAAAAATTAGCCGGGCGTGGTGGCACATGCCTGTAATTCCAGCTACTCGGGAGACTGAGGCAGGAGAATCGCTTGAACCTGGGAGGCGGAGGTTGTGGTGAGCCGAGATTGTGCCATTGCACTCCAGCCTGGGCAATAAAAATGAAACTTCATCTCAAAAAAAAACAAAAAACAAAAAACTTGTTATAAGATTTTTTTATAAGCCTTAAGGTAACCACAATGCAAAAACCTATAATAGATTCAATAAAAATAAAAAGTAACAAGTTAAAACATACTACCAGAGAAAATCACTTAACCACAAAGGAAGACAGTAAGAAAGAAAAAAAGGGGGCCAGGCATGGTGGTTCACGCCTGTAATCCCAGAACTATGGGAGGCCGAGGGAGGCGGATCACTTGAGGTCAAGAGTTCGAGATCCACTTGGCCAACGTGGCAAAACCCCGTCTCTACTAAAAATACAAAAATTAGGTGAGTGTGGTGGTGGGTGCCTGTAGTCCCAGCTACTCGGGAGGCTGATGCAGGAGAATTGCTTGAACCCGGGAGGCAGAGGTTGCAGTGAGTCGAGATCGCGCCACTGCAGTCATGACTGGGCGACAGAGCAAGACTCTGTCTCAAAAAAAAAAAAAAGAAGGAAGAAAACAACCAGAAAATAAGCAACAAAATAGCAGTAGTAAGTCCTTACTTATCAATAATAACATGAATGTTAAGGAAATAAATTATCCAATTAAAAGGCATAAAGTGGCTGAATGGATAAAGAATAAGACCCAGGCCAGGCATGGTGGCTCATGCCTGTAATCCAAGCACTTTGGGAGGCCAAGGCAGGAAGATTGCTTGAGCTCAGGAGTTGGAGACCAGCCTGGGCAACATAGTGAACCTCGTCTCTACCAAAAAAAAAAAAAAAAAAATTTGCTGGGCGTGGTGGCTGGCGTGCACTTGTATTCCTGACTACTCAGGAGGCTGATGTGGGAGGATCACTTGATACTGGGAGGCGGAGATAGCAGTGAGCCGAGATTTCCCCACTGTACTCCAGCCTGGGCCACAAACCTTGTCTCGAAAGAAAAAAGAAAAAAGGCCCAACTCTATGCTGTCTACAAGAAACCCAGTTCACCTATAAAGACACACTTAGACTGAAAGTGAAGAGTTAGAGAAAGATATTCCGTGCAACTGGAAACCAAAAAAAAAAAAAAAAAAAAAAGCAGGGGTAGCTATACTTGGTATCTATATATGGTATCAGATAAAAGAGACTACAATTCCAAGCTTGTGAAAAGAAACAGAGCAGGTCACTGTACAATGATAAAGGGGTATATTCAGTGAGAGGATAACACAGTTGGTTTTTTTTTTTTTTTTGAGATAGAATCTCGCTCTGTTGCCCAGGCTGGAGTGCAGTGGTGCGATCTTGGCTCCCTGCAGCCTGGTTCAAGCGATTCTCCTGCCTCAGCCCCCGAGTAGCTGGGACTATAGGTGCTTGCCACCACGCCTGGCTATTTTTGTATTTTTAGTAGAGACAGGGTTTCACTGTGTTGACCAGGCTGGTCTTGAACTCCTGACCCCAAGTGATCCACCCACCTCAGCCTCCCAAAGTGCTGGAATTACAGGCATGAGCCATTGAGCCCGGCCTGTTTAATTTTTGTATATGGTGAGAGCTACAGCTCTAGTTTCATTCTTCTACGTACAGTTTTCCGATTTTCTCAGCACCATTTATTGAAGAGATTGTTCTCCCCCCATTGTATGTTGTTGGTGCCTTTGCTGACAATGAGTTGGCTGTAAATGTGTGGATTTATATCTGGGTTTTCTATTCTGCTCCAGTGGTCTACATGTCTGTCTTTATGCCAGTATCATGCTGATTTGGTTACCATAGCTTTGTCGTCTATTTTGAAGTCACGTAGTGTGATGCCTTTAGCTTTGTTCTTTTTGTTCAGGATTGCTTTGGCTATTTTGGGGTCTTTCGTGGTTCTGTGTAAATTTTAGCATTGTTTTTTCTATTTCTGTGAAGAATGTCGCCGGTATTTTGATAGGGATTGCACTGGATCTGCAAATTCCTTTGGGCAGTATTGTCATTTTAACAAAATTAATTCTTCTAAACCATGAGCATGAAATATCTTTCAATTTTTTGTGTATGTCCTCTTCAGCTTCTTTCATTAGTGTTTTTATAGCTTTCCTTGTACAGATCTTTTACTTCTTTGGTTAAATTGATTCCTAGGTATTTTATATTCTTTGTGGCTATTGTAAATGGGACTGCTCTCTTGATTTCTTTTTCAGATTGTTTGCTGTTGGCATATATAAATGCTACTGATTTGGGGTTTTTTTTGGTTTGGATTTGTTGTTGTTGTTTTTGAGACAGAGTTTTGCTCTTTTTGCCCAGGCTGGAGTGCAATGGTGTGATCTCGGGGCTCACTGCAACCTCTGTCTCCCAGGTTCAAGCCATTCTCCTGCCTTAGGCTCCCAGGTAGCTGGGATTACAGGCGCCCGCCACCACACCCAGCTAATTTTTTGTATTTTTAGTAGAGACAGGCTTTCAACATGTTGGCAAGGCTGGTCTGGAACTCCTGACCTCAGGTGATCCACTTGCCTCGGCCTCTCAAATTGCTGGGATTACAGGCGTAAGCCACTGCACCTGGCCAAACGCTACTGATTTTTGTATGTTGATTTTGTATCCTGCAACTTTACTGAATTTGTTTATCAGTTTTAACAGTTTTTTGGTGGAGTCGAGTATAAGATCATATCAGGCCAGGCATGAGGTTTTGCCGTGTTGCCCAGGTGGCTCATACCTGTAATCCCAGCATTTTAGGAGGCCAAGGCAGGAGGATCACTTGAAGCAAGGAGTTCAAGGCCACACTGGACAACAGAGCAAGACCCAACCTCTACAACAAAATTAAAAAATTAGCCAGGCATAGTGGGGTGCACCTGTAGTCCTAGCTACTCAGGAGACTAAGACAGGGAGGTCACTTGAGCCCAGGAGATCAAGGCTGCGGTGAGCTATAATGGTGCTACTGCACTCCAGCCTGGACGATAGAGTGAGTGAGACCCTATCTCTAAAAAATAAAATAATAAATAAAGCTATTGTAAAAAAAATGTCATCTATGAACAAGGCTAATATGACTTCTTCCTTTCCAGTTGGGATGCTCTGGAAAATTAGCTGCGTGTGGTAGCGTGAGCCTGTAGTCCCAGCTACTGGGGAGGCTGAGGCTGGAGGATCGCTCAAACCCAGGAGGTGGAGATTGCAGTGAGCCGAGATTGTGCCACTGCACTCCAGCCTAGGCAATAGAGGGAGAATCTGACTCAATAAATAAATAAATATATATATAAAATAAAAATAAATAAATAAACAAACAAAAATCTATTAAAGACTTAAATCCAAGACCTGAAACTATGAGATTACCAGAAGAAATCATTGGGGAATTGCTCCAGGACATTAGTCTGGGCAAAGATTTTTTGTGTAAGGCTTCAAAAGCACCGGCAACGAAGTGAAAATAGACAAATGGGATTGTATCAACCCAAAAAGCTTCTGCAAAGCAAAGGGAACAATAAACAAAGTGAAGAGGCACACCACAGAATGGAAGAAAATATTTGCAAACTATCCATCTGACAGGGGATTAATAACCAGAATATATAAGGAGCTCAAACAATTCAACAGGAAAAAAAAATCTAGTTAGAAAGTGGGTGTGGGCCGGGCTCAGTGGCTCACGCCTGTAATCCCAGCACTTTGGGAGGCCAAGGTGGGCGGATCACTTGAGGTCAGGGGTTGAAGACCAGCCTGACCAACATGGTGAAACCTCTTCTCTACTAAAACTACAAAAATTAGCTGGGTGTGGTGGCACATGCCTGTAATCCCAGCTATGCAGTAGGCTGAGGAGGGAGAACTGCTTGAACCCAGAAGGCAGAGGTTGCAGTGAGCTGAGATCACACCACCACACTCCAGCCTGGGCAACAGAGCGAGACTCCGTCTCAAAAAAAAAAACAAAAACAAAAAAACAAAAACGGGTGTGATGGTTAATACAGAGTGTCAGCTTGATTGGATTGAAGGATGCAAAGTATTGTTCCTGGATGTGTCTGTGAGTGTGTTCCCAAAAGAGATTAACATTTGAGTCAGTGGACTGGGAGGGGCAGACCCACCCTCAATCTGGGTGGGTACCCACCAGCTGCCAGCACGGCTAGGATAAAGCAGGAAGAAGAAAATGGAATGGGCAGACTCGCTGAGACTTCCGGCCTTCATCTTTCTTCCGTGCTGGATGCTTCCTGCCCTTGATCAGTCTCCAAGTTCTTCAGCTTTTGGACGTGCGGACTTTCACCAGTGATTTGCCAGGGCCTTTGGCTACAGACTGAAGTCTGCACTGTCAGCTTCCCTACTTTTTTTTTTCTTTTTGAGATGGAGTCTCACTCTGTCACCCAGGCTGGAATGCAGTGGCACCATCTCGGCTCACTGCAACCTCTGCCTCCCGGGTTCAAGCAATTCTCCTGCCTCAGCCTCCCGAGTAGGTGCGATTACAGGCGTGCACCACCATGCCCGACTATTTTCTGTGTTTTTAGTAGAGATGGGGTTTCACCATGTTGGCCAGGCTGGTCTTGAACTCCTGACCTCAGGTGATTCACCTTCCTTGGCCTCCCAAAGTGCTGGGATCACAGGCTTGAGCCACCATGCTCAGTCGGCTTCCCTACTTTTGAGGTTTTGGGACTGGCTTCTTGCTCCTCAGCTTGCAGACGGCCTATTCACCTTGTGATCATGTGACTCAATACTCCTTATTACACTCCCCTTCATATATACATCTATCCTATCAGTTCTGTCCCTCTAGAGAACCCTGACTAATACAGTGAGCAAAGGATCTGAATGGACGTTTCTTAAAAGAAGACATTCAAATGGCTAAGGGGTATATACAAAAATGCTCAACATCGCTAATTGTCAGAGAAATGCAAATCAAAGCTACAGTGAGCTATCACCTCACCCCAGTTAAAACGGCCTTTATAAAAAGGTGGATGCTGGCAAAGACGTAGAGAAAGGGGAACCCTCATACACTGTTGGTGGGAATGTAAATTAGTACAGCCACTCTGGAGAACAGTATGGAGGTTCCTCAAAAAATTATAAATAGAACTACCATATGATCCAGCAATCCCATGCTATGAATACACCCAAAAGGAAGGAAGTCACTGTATCCAAGAATTAAACAAAAATCTATTAAAGACTCAAATCTAAGATCTGAAACTATGAAACTACCAGAGGAAAACACTGGAGAAATGCTCTTTGCATTCACATGTTTATTGCAGCACTGTTTGCTGCAATAACCAAGATAATGGAGTCAATCTAAGTGCCCATCAAAGAGCGAATGCATAAAGAAAATGTGGTATATGGTTGAGTGAGGTGGCTCACGCCTGTAATCTCAGCACTTTGGGAGGTGGATCACTTGAGGTCAGTTCAAGACCAGCCTGCACAACATGGTGAAACCCCATCTCTACTAAAAATACAAAAATTAACCGGTGGTGGCTCATGCCTGTAATTCCAACTACTAGGGAGGCTGAGGCACGAGAATTGCTTGAACCCTGGAGGCAGAGGTT
Organism: Homo sapiens; assembly: GCF_000001405.40. Classification (NCBI taxonomy): domain Eukaryota; kingdom Metazoa; phylum Chordata; class Mammalia; order Primates; family Hominidae; genus Homo; species Homo sapiens. The sequence goes on along the minus strand of NC_000019.10, from coordinate 46,591,578 downwards.
ACAGGGAGCTGAGATTGCGCTACTGCACTCCAGCCTGGGTGACAGAGAGAGACGCTGTCTCAAAAGAAAAAAAAAAAGAAAAAATGTGCTATATGTACACAATGGAATATTATTCAGCCATAAAAAAGAATGAAATTCTGACATTTGCAGCATCATGTTAAGTGAAATAAGCCAAGCACAGAAAGACAAATATCGTATGTTTTCATTCATGTGTGGGTGCTGAAAAAGTGGATCTCATGAAGATAGAGAGCAGATAGGTGATTCCTACCAGTAGCCAGGAAGGGTAGGGTGGAGGGGGGAAATGAAGAGAAATTGACTAATGGGTACAAATGTATAGCTACATTTGGAAGAAATGTAAGATGGAAGAAATAAGATCTGGTGTTTGATAGATCAGTAGGGTGAGTATAGTTTACAATAATCTGTTGTACATTTCAAAATTAGAATAATAGAAGAAGACTTCATGTTTTTAGCATAAAGATGAATATTTAAGGTGATGAATATCCTAATTACCCTGATTTGATCTTTTTTTTTTTTTTTTTTTTTTTTTTAGACAGAGTCTTGCTCTGTCGCCCAGGCTGGAGTACAGTGGTGCAATCTCAGCTCACTGCAACTGCCGCCTCCCGTGTTCAAGCAATTTTCTACCTCAGCCTCCCGAGTAGCTGGGATTACAGGTGCCCACCACCATGCCAGCCTAATTTTTGTATGTTTAGCAGAGACAGGGTTTCATCATCTTGGCCAGGCTGGTCTTGAACTTCTGACCTTGTGATCCACCCACCTCGGCTTCCCAAAGTGTTGGGATTACAGGCATGAGCCACCACACCTGGCCCCCTGATTTGGTCTTTACAAATTATATAAATTTATTAAGTTACCGCATGTTCCCTGAAAATATGTATATCTGTTATGTATCAATAAAGAAATAAAATTTAAAAAAGAAAAAAAAATTGCAACCCAATGCTCTCAATTCCCTTTACCTGGCTTTAATGTTTTTCATAGCAGTGCCCACCTGCTAAAATAAAATATAATATTATCTTCTTTTTCATTATATTTATTGTTTGATTCTTTCACTGGAATATAAGTTCCATGAGGTCACAATTTTCTGTCTATTTTGTTTGCTGTTGTATCTCCAGTGCCTAAAATAGACCCAGGAACATAGTAGGTGCTCAATAACTATGTTTTTTTGAGTCAGTGTCTTGCTATGTTGCCCAGGCTGGAATGCAGTTGGTGCAATCTTGGCTCATTGCAACCTCTGCCTCCCAGGCCCAAGCAATCCTCCCACTTCAGCCTCCCAAGTAGCTGGGACTACAGGTGCATGCCACCAGGCCCAGCTATCAATAACTTTATTTTTGTTTGAGATGGAGTCTCTCTCTATCTCCCAGGCTGGAGTGCAATGGCATGCTCTCTGCCCATTGCAACCTCCGCCTCCCGGGTTCAAGGGATTCTCCTGCCTCAGCCTCCTGAGTAACTGGGATTACAGGCATCCGCAACCATGCCTGGCTAATTTTTTGTATTTTTAGTAGAGATGGGTTTTCATCATGTTGGCCAGGTTGGTCTCGAACTCCTGACCTCAGGTGATCCAGCCGCCTTGGCCTCCCAAAGTGCTGGGATTACAGGTGTGAGCCACCACACCTGGCCAATAACTATTTTTCGAATAAATAAATAAGTATGGGGAGATGGAAATTCTCATAAAATGCTGATGGGAGTATTGATACAATCATGCCAGCGAGTGTATAATTTAGGATAGACTAGGTCACAGTGCAGTAACAAATAACTTCAAAAATCTCAGTTAGCACAATTAAAGTTTATCTCTCATTCACACAAAGTCCACTGTAAATCCCAGCTACTCTTCAGGCCAGCTCCATGTGTTAACCCTGTAACCTAGCATCTTTCATCTCTCCTAAAGGCCTCTATGCTGCCAGAGCTGGGGAGAGAGAGATGAGAAAATCTCTCAGGCTGGGCGCGGTGGCTCACGCCTATAATCTCAGCACTTTGGGAGGCCGAGGCGGGCGGATCACGAGGTCAGTAGATCGAGACCATCCTGACTAACATGGTGAAACCCCATCTCTACTAAAAATACAAAAAAGAAAAAAAAATTAACCGGGCGTGGTGGCGGGTGCCTGTGGTCCCAGCTACTCAGGAGGCTGAGGAAGGAGAATGGCATGAACCCGGGAGGCGGAGCTTGCAATGAACCGATATTGTGTCACTGCACTCCAGCCTGGGCGACAGAGCAAGACTCCGTCTCAAAAAAGAAAAAAAACAACAAAAAAAAGAAAATCTCTCAGGAGGTTTTCATTGCCTCGGTCTAGAAGTGACATATGTCACTTCAGCTTATATTTCCTTGTCCAGAACCAGTCGTGTGGTCTCATCTCACTGCAAGTGGATGGAGAAATATATTTTCTCATGTGCCTTTGAAGAAGGAACTGGAAACAGAATTTGGTGAGTGTATACCATGGTCTCAGCCACAGACAACCATTTGACAATGTCTATTGGCAAGTTGAGCATGTAGGTTTACTAAGACCTAGAGATTCTCCTCTTGCATACATCCTTAGTGGCTTGAAAACAGAAGGCAGTACTGTGTATTAGAAAGTTTACTGGCTTGGGAGTCAGGAGACCTCACTTGTAGAAATGTGGTGTCCAACATGGTACTTACTCTAGTAAGTATGATATGCGATCATATGAATTAAAATTCATTAAGATTAATTGCATTAAAAATATGAAGTCTCAGTTGCACTAGCCACGTTTTAAGTGCTCAGTAACCACATGTGGCTACGGTGTTGGGGAGGACAGAAGAGCATGTACATCATCACAGAAGGTTCTTACTGGACAGCACTTTGTACAACTAGCTGCACCATTCACACCATCTCTGTTGGAGCCAGCTTTCATATGTGTAGAAGGAAAGGGTTACACCAGCTGCATCAGCATCAACTGTAAACTTTTGAGAAAATCCAATTTCTGGGCCCCACCCCAGACTTACTAAATCAGAAACTCTGGGATTGGGCTCCAGAAATATGTGTTTTGACAAGCCCTCCAGATGACTTGGAAACATCCTAAAATTTGAGAATGTTGTTAGACTATCTTTAAGACCAATTCCTCCTAGCTTGGAACTTCTACCACTCAAAAATGTAGGATACTAGAGGGTGGGAAGGGATAGGGGGAGGCTTGTTAGAGGTGTGATCCAAAAGTATCTGAGACAGGTTGCAATCAATTTAGAAAGTTTATCTTGCCAAGGTTAAGGACACTCCTGTGACACAGCCTCAGGAGGTCCTGATGACATGTGCCCAAGGCGGTTGGGGCACAGCTTCACTTTATACATTTTAAGGAGACATGGACACCACTCAATATATGTAAGATGTATATTGGTTCTGTCTGGAAAGATGGGACAACTTGATGCACCTACCAGGGTTGGGGGGTGGGGTGCTTCCAGGTCACAGATAGATAAGAGACCAACAGTTGCATTCTTTTGAGTCTCTGATAAGTCTTTCACTGAATACACAATTTATATGTGAGACGCCATAGAGGAGTAGTCACTTATGCCTGAGTCTCGCTTAGTGAATCTGCATTTTTACATAAACAACTGGGCAGAGGAAGCCATCAGATATGCATTTGTCTCAGGTGAGAAGAGGGATGGCGTTGGGTTCTGTCTGTCCTTTGTCCCCCATCTGTGAAGATAAGGTATCAGTTATCAATTTACATTGCCAGGGTGAAATTCAACAGAACTGTTTCAGGATAAAGATCTTGAGGCTCACAAGAAATTTCCTTTCTGACATATTTTGAGGGAACTGTGTAGCTTTTTAAATTTTTGTAGTTATCTTATTTAGGAATAAAACAGGAGGCATGTTTGCCTGATGGATGTCCCATCTTGACTTTTCCCTTTGGCTTAGTGATTTCTGGAGGAGATTTATTTTCCTTTCACAAAGGACATGAAATTACCCTGCTCTGATCATCATACATTTTCTTTATTGAAATATCACTATGTTTCCCATGAATATATGCAATTATTTGTCAACAAACAAAAAACCCAAACAATCAAAATGTATTGTCAACAGAAGATTTGTAAGAGTAACATTCCCTTGTCCAGGGACCATGGAGGGGGAAGATTTCATTTGACTTGGGTAGTGGCCACCATTTTAATCCATCCATTTAATTTCTTTTTTTTGAGACGGAGCTTTACTCTTGTTGCCCAGACTGGAGTGCGATGGCGCGATCTTGGCTCATGGCAACCTCCACCTCCCGGGTTCAACCGTTTCTACTGCCTCAGCCTCCTGAGTAGTTGGGACTACAGGTGCCTGCCACCACGCCTGGCTAATTTTGTATTTTTAGTAGAGACAGGTTTTCTCCATGTTGGTCAGACTGGTCTTGAACTCCCGACCTCAGGTGATCTGCCTGCCTTGGCCTCCCAAAGTGCTGGGATTACAGGTGTGAGCCACCGTGCCTGGCTCATCCATTTAGTTTCTTTAATGACTAATGATGTTAGGTATATATTTATGTGCTCCTTGGCCATTTATATATCTTCTTTGGAGAAATGTCTACTTAGATCTTTTGCCCATTTTAAAATTGAGTTATTTGTCTTCTTGCTGTTGAATTGTAAGTGCTCTTTATATATTCTGGAGTCTAGACACTACTTATCAGATTGTATCAGATGATTTGCAAATCTCCCATCCTGTAGGTTTTCTTTTCACTTCATTAATAGTGTCTTTTGAAGCACAAAATTTAAAATTTGATGAGGTCTAATTTGTATGTATTTTTTTATTGCATGTACTTGTGATGTAATATCTAAGAAGCCATGATGTCATATCTAAGGTTACAAAGATATACAGTCGTGCACCATATAATGACATTTTGGTCAGTGATGGACCACATACATGATGGTGGTCTATAAGATTATAATACTGTATTTTTACTATACCTTTTCTATGTTTAGGTATGCAAATACCCATTGTGTTTCCATTGCTTACAATATTCAGTAAAGTAACATGCTGTACAGGTTTGTAGCCTAGTAGCAATAGGTTTTATCCTCTAGCCCACGTATTCAGTAGGCTCTACCATTTAGGTTTGGATAAGTACACTCCATGATGTTTGCACAATGATGAAATCACCTAACGATACATATCTCAGAATGTATCCCCATTGTTAAGCAACGCACGACTATACATCTATGTTTTCTGAGAGTTTTCCAGGTTTAACTCTTAACATTTAGGCCTCTGATCCATTTCAAGTTAAGTTGTATATGTGGTGTGAGGCAGGGGTCCAACTTCCTGTTTTTACCTGTGGATATATAATTGTGCCAGCACCATTTGTTGAAAAGGCATTGAATTTCTTCATTGATTTTTTTGGCACCCTTGTTGAAAATCAGTTGACTATAGACATATGAGTTTTTAAAATAGACTCTCATTCCTCTGTGTTTATGTAAGTACCAAAAATCTTGATTACTCAGCTTAGTAGTAAGTTTTAAAATTGGGAAGTGTAGGTCCTCTGACTTTGTTCCTTTTCAAGATTATTTTGGCTATTCTGGATTCCTTGCATTTTCATATAAATTTTAAAATCAGCTTGTCAATTTCTACAAAAAAGGCAGCTGTAATTTTGATGTGGATTGTGTTGAATCTGCAGTTCTATTTGGGGAATATTGCCATCTAAACAATATTAAATCTTCCAATTCATAAACACAGAGTGTCTCTCCACTTATCTATGTCTGTTAACATTTATTTTGATGTTGGTTTTGTGCATTATAGTGTAAAATTCTTACAAAGTCTTCTTAAGTTCATACCTAAGCCTTTTATTCTTTTTGATGCTATTACGAATGGAATTGTTTTCTTAATTTTATTTTCAGACTGTTAATTGCTGATGTATACAGAAATACAACTGATTTTTAGATATTGATCTTGTATTCTGAAAAATTGCTAAAATTGTTAATTAGCTCTAGTAGTTGTGTGTGTGTGTGTGTAGATTCCTTAAGACTTTCCTATGTGTAAGATTATGTCACCTGCAAATAGAGTTTTCCTTCTTCCTTTATAGTCTGAATTTTTTTTTTTTTTTTTTTGAGACAGAGTCTTGCTCTGTCGCCCAGGCTGGAGTGCATGCAGTGGCATGATCTCAGCTCACTGCAACCTCCATCTCCCAGTTCAAGCAATTCTCCTGCCTCAGCCTCCCAAGTAGCTGGGACTACAAGCATGCACCATCACGCCCAGCTAATTTTTGTATTTTTAGTACAGACAGGGTTTTGCCATCTTGGCCAGGCTGGTCTCAAACTCATGACCTCAAGTGATCCGGCTGTTTCGGCCTCCCATTGTGTTGGGATTACAGGCATGAGCCACCACGTCTGCCTGGATGCTTTTTTTTTTTTTTTTTCCTTGCCTGACTGTCCTGGCTAGAACTCCCAGTACAATGTTAAATAGACACAATAAGAGTAGACATCTGATCATGTGCCTGATCTTAGGGGAAAGGTTTCAGTCTTTCATAATTAAGTATAATGTCAGCTGTAGGTTTTTCATAAATGCCCTTTATTAGGTTGAGGAAATTTCATTCTATTCCTAGTTTATTGAGTTTTAATTTTTTATCATGAAAGAATGTTGGATTTTTTGTAAAATGCTTTTTTTTCACCTGCAGAGATGATCATGTACTTCTTGTTCTTTAGTTTGTTAATATGGTTTATTACACTGATGAATTTTCATGTCTTGCATTCCTAAAATAAATCTCACTTGGTCATGGCATATAATCCTTTTTATATGTTTCTGGAATCAGTTTCGTAGTATTTTGTTGAGAATTTTTTTTTTTTTTGAGATGGATTATCTCTCTGTTGCCCAGGCTGGAGTGCAGTGGCATGATCTTGGCTCATTGCAACCTCCAACCCCTGGGTTCAAGCAATTCTCTTGCCTCAGCGTCCCAAGTACGTGGGACTACAGGCATACGCCACCACGCCTGGCTAATTTTTGTATTTTTAGTAGAGACGGGGTTTTGCCATGTTGGCCAGGCTGGTCTTGAACTCCTGACCTCAGGTGATCCGTCCACCTTGGCCTCCCAAAGTGCTGGGATTACAGGTTTGATTCTCTGCGCCTGGTGGAGAATGTTTTTATCTATATTTATAAAGGATATTGGTCTCTTTTTGGTTTTCTTTTTTTACGATGTGTTTGATTTTGGTATCAGGGTAATATTGACCTCATGGAATGAGGTAGGAAGTGTTCTCTCTTGTTCTATGTTTCAAAAACATTCGTGAGGGATTTGTGTTGATTCTTCTTTGAATATTTGGTAGAATTCACCAGTGAAACCATCTGATTGTGGACTTTTCTTTGTGAAAACTTTTAAAATTACCATTTCAATCTCTTGTTATAGGTGTACTCAGATTTTCTATATTTTTCAGTCAGTTTTGATAGTTTGTGTCTTTCTAGGAATTTGACCATTTTACCTAGACTATCTAATATGTTGGCACGCACTTATTCATGGTATTCCCTTATAAGCCTTTGTATTTGTGTAAGGTCAGTAGTGATGTCTCCTCCTTCATTCTTGACTTTAATAATTTTAGACTTTTCTTTTTTCCCTTGGTTAGTCTAGTTAAAGATTTGTCAATTTTGTAGATCTTTTCAAAGAACCAAACTTGGTTTGGTCGATTTTCTCTTGTTTTTCTTTTCTCTGTTTCATTTACTTCCTTTCTAATCTTTATTATTTCCTGCCTTCTGCTTGCTTTGGGTTTAGTTTGCACTTCTTTTTCTAGTTTCTTAAGATGGAAGATTAGGTTATTGATTTGAGACCATTTTTCTCTTTCAATATAGGCAATTTGCAGCTGTAAATTTTCCTCCAAGCACTACTTTAGTGTATCCCATATGTTTTTGTATATCATGTGTTCATTTTCATTGATCTGATTTGTCTTTCACTTAAAAAACTTTTTTTTAAACTTTTCTTTTTATTTTTTAGAGACAGGATCTTGTTCTGTTATCCAGGCTGGAGTGCAATGGTGCAATCGCAGCTCACTGCAGCCTCGAACTCCTGGCCTCAAGCAATCCTCCTATCTTGGCCTCCCATAGTGCTGGGATTATAGGCATGAGCTACTGCACCTGGCCTTATTCTTAGATATTTCAATTTTATTTTTTTGACAGAGTCTTGCTCTGTCGCCCGGACTGGAGTACAATGGTGTCAGCTCACTGCAACCTCTGCCTCCTGGGTTCAAGCGATTCTCCTGCCTCAGCCTCCTGAGTAGCTGGGACTACAGGTGCATGCCACCATGCCCTGCTAATTTTTGTATTTTTTGCAGGGATGGAGTTTTGCCATGTTGGCCAGGCTGGTGTCAAACTCCTGACCTCAGGTGATCCACCTTCCTCAGCCTCTCAAAATGCTGGGATTACAGGTGTGAGCCACTGCGCCCGGCTGGTATTTCAAAAACTTTTGTTGACAATGTTAATGGCATCCAATTTCCACAACTTTAAAGTTGTGGCTCTTTGTTTTTTTTTTTACATGGAGTCTTACCCTGTCGCCCAGGCTGGAGTGCAGTGGCGCGATCTTGGCTGGCTGCAACTTCCACCTCCTGAGTTCAAGCAATTCTCCTGCCTCAGCCTCCCAAGTACGTGGGGATTACAGGTGTGTGCCACCATGCCCAGCTAATTTTTGTATTTTTAGTAGAGGCGGGGTTTCACCATGTTGCCCAGGCTCATCTTGAACTCCTGACCTCAGGTAATCCACCTGCCTCAGCTTCCCAAAGTGTTGGGATTACAGGCGTGAGCCACCGCGCCCAGCCAAGATGTGGCTTTTTATAAGTTATCTTCAATTCAGCCAGGGTGACCCGGTTGGAACAGCTAGTGCCCCTATAGGGGCAGGCACTGATGGCACAGATGGAGATAGATGCTGGCCACAGAGGGCCTGAGGCAACAACAATACTGGGTTTTACTCTGGATTCTGCTCTGGCTCATACACCACCAGGTCTCAGGCTTCACCTAACCTCTACTACTACTACTTATTATTATTATTATTTTTTGAGATGGAGTCTCGCTCTGTTGCCCAGGCTGGAGTGCCGTGGCGCCATCTCTGCTCACTGCAAGCTCTGCCTCCCGGGTTCATGCCATTCTTTTGCCTCAGCCTCCTGAGTAGCTGGGACTACAGGTGCCTGCCACCGCGCCCGGCTAATTTTTTTTGTATTTTTAGTAGAGATGGGTTTTCACAGTGTTCGCCAGGATGGTCTTGATCTCCTGACCTCAAGATCTGCCTGCCTCGGCCTCCCTAAGTGCTGGGATTACAGGCGTGAGCCACCGTGCCCGGTCCTGTACTATATATTATTTTTATACCAATTTTACAAATGAGGAAACTGAGGCTGCAGCAGACAAGGAATACATAGATAGTGACCAAGGAATACATAGATAGCTGGAACTGGGACGGTGGCCTACCTGGCCCCAATGTCTAGGATCTTGACCTTCGTGCTATGTCTAGGATCTTCTTCCAGAGCTAGCCATGAGTTATCTAGAGATCTTTAGTAGTTATTTAATAAAAGGCAGGTCCAGCCCATGGATCCTTAAATATCCCCCAAAGAGACACCTTCTCTCCAAGTGACCCTCTTGTCCCTAAAACTATTATTAGATTCTTGGATTCTTAGAGCTCCAAGGCCAAGACCTTGCTGGGTCTTCACCCTCCCATCCTCTGCAGTAAAACATCCCCCTTTTCCCAGAGAGTGGGCAACGAGGGACCAAGTGGGATATTCCAGTCTACCCTACACTGCCTTTGAGAGTATGTCAGATTTTACTTTCTACAGATAGCGACAATAATATCTCCTATTCCACATGCTTCTAGAATCAAGAGATGGGGTCTATGTCTCTTCCCTTGAGCTTGAGCAGTCCCTACTGCCTTGACTAATAAAGTGGAAGCGATGATATGACTTCCAAAGCTGGATCATACAAATGCTATGCATAGGCCAGGCATGGTGGCTCATGTCTGTAATTCCAGCACTTTGGGAGGCTGAGGTGGGCGGATTGTGTGAGCCCAGGAGTTCAAGACTAGTCTGGGCAACAAAGGGAGACCCTGTCTCAAAAAAAAAAAAAAAAAAAAAGACATGCCTTGTTCTCTTAGAATGCTTGCTCTTGGAATCCAGCCACCATGTTGTGAGGAAGTTCAAGGAGCCAGAGGAAAGGATCATATGAATAGGAATGAGGTCCCAAGCTCACACTTCCCAGAAAATAGCTAGGAAAGTAGTTGTCTTCTTCAAAGCAGATTCTGATGCTATTCAGCTAACACCTTGCAGAGCAGAGAACTGTCCCTGACAAACCTCTAAACTGCAGATTTGTGAGTAAAATAAATAATTGTTGTTCTTTTAAGTTGCCAGGTTTGGGGGTGATTTTTTATTCTCTTAGCAATTTTCAAGAGTAAAATACATTCTTGAATATTATAGTATAATTAGATAATTATAGAATAATTATAGTTGTAATTAACCATAGTGGCCATATTATACAATAGATCTCTTGAACTTATTCCTCCTATCTAATTAAAAATCTGTGCCCTTAGACCAACATCTCCTCAACCCTCCACCACCTATAACCATTACCTTTCTACTCCCTATTTACTTTAACTTTTTTACAATCTCCATGCGAGTGAGATCATGTGGTATTTGTTTTTCTTTGGCTTATTTGGCTGGCTTATTTCTGGGTTATTTCACTTACAGTATCCTCCAGATTTGTCTATGTTGTTGCCAGGAACAAAATTTCCTTCTTTTTAAGGCAGAATAGTACTCCATTGTGTCTATGTACCACATTTTCTTTATCCATTCATCTGTTGATGGCAACTTAGGTTCATTCCATATCTTGGCTATTGTGAGTAGTGCTGTAATGAACAAGGGAATACGGAGATCTCTTTGACATACTGATTTCATTTCCTCTGTATGTATATTGAGTTGTGGGATTGCTGGATCTTGGGGTGATTTGTTATACAGCCATAAATAACTAATACAAAAAACGAAACAGCAAATCGGAAAATGGCAGGGCCTTTACTTGGGCCCAGAAAGCACTTACTGCATTGAGTCAGGCCCACACCCATATCCAAAGCTGGTCTTTCTAAATAGTCTACTGGAGAAGAGTAGAAGCTTTGGAGCCAGGCAAACACGAGTTTACAAACCTGGCTCCAATACTTCCCAGCTGTGTGACCTGGGGCAATATAATGGGCCTCTCTGAACCTCAGTCTTCTCTTCTGTGAAATGGGCACAATCGTAATTTTTCTCCCAAAATTTGTCAGGAGGATTTAGTGGGATTATACATCCAAAGTACTTAGCCCAGAACATAGCACTTGATGAGAGCTCAATAACTGTTAGCCATGAATCACCCTGATTATTAGATAGCTGGATGTTGGATGCCTCTTGCTGATAAACCCAATCAGTCCTGAAAAGTCTCTCTTGAGGGTGGATTGGGAGCCTTTTGAGTCCCGCCACATTCCCTCTACGCTGAAGTTCTCTGCCTACTGTCAGAGAGACCTGGGTTTGAATAACTCATAGGTCCTCCAGTTTATGTGTGACCTTGGGCAGGAGACTAAACCTCTCTGGTTTTGGAATCCTCATCTGTAGGTAGGGCAGTCATAATTCCCCACTTAAGGGGTTGTAGTGAGCATGGAGAATGTAGAGGGGATAGAACAATGTCTGGTACACAATAGGAGACCATGACGGGGGCTGAGAGCAGGAGGGGCCATCCTCCCATCCTTGGTAGAATATCCAGGGATTTCTGTCCCTAGTTCTGCCCTCCACTGCAAGCCTGGCTATTTGGGGTGGTGAACCCTCCAGAGAGGAAGGGAGGGAAGGGGGTCTCCTAGCTGGGATAGCCCTGCTGTTCTCTCATTACCCACCAGTGGGCGCTCTGATGAAGTGAAGATGACAGCCGACCACAACCGCGATGCCCACAGCTACCACCATTTATGTCTATCTGTGCGTGGGGATGAGTGCTTTGATTCATTTAAATGAGACAGGACTCTCAATGTCTTTGTTTTTTTGAAAAAATCTAGCAGAGTCACAGGCTTTTATTTCCATTATGTTTGTGGGAGAAAAGTGCCAACGATCGTCTTCTGGTTTAGAGAGAGAAAACCTACAGTCATTTCTTCCTTTTAATAATAGAGAGATGATGGCTGTCACCATGGCAACAGATGATCAGGAAGAAAACCAATCAGAATTGCAGGCTTCTCTGGGAGATTATTTTTCTCAAGATTGGCAACAATTTCTAGGAGAATCTCACAAGCCTCTTTTGTTCCAATTATCTTTCCAAGGACCGTCTTAAATGAACAGACCAGGTGGTGACAGGAACTCAGGGCTCCTGACCGCACAGCAAAACAAGACAGGCGTTCTTGGGAATATTTTCAATTACGTTATCAGGACAGATTCTTTAGACAGTTTTATTATGCAAAACAGTATCTCTTTCAGTGTAGTTGCAGGGAAAAAATATATTCACTTCTATTTTACATTTTAAACGTTATCTTTATGTTCCTTAAATTGTTTTTTAAAAAACCCTTTTTTCCATGACTTTTTGACACTCCCTTTGTTAATGGTTGGAGACTTGCATTTTATTTAATTTTTAAATGAATTTACTTATGTTTTTAAGATAGGGTTTTCCTCTGTCGCCTAGGCCGAAGTGCAGTGGCATGTACATGGCTCACTGCAGCCTTGACCTCCTGGTCTCAAGCGATTCTCCTGCCTCAACCTACCGAGTAGCTGGGATCAAAGGCCTGCACCACCATGCCTGGCTAATTTTTAAAAGCATTTTTTTGTAGAGACAAGGTCTCACTATGTTGCTGAGGCGGGTCTCGAACTTCTAGGCTCAAGTAATCCTCCTGCCTCCTTAGCTGGTCTTGGTGGTACAATCCTGCTGCCTCTGCCTCTTGGAGGCAATCCCTCTGCCTCTGACTCTCAAAATATTGGGTTACAGGTGTGAGCCACCATGCGTGAAGCCCAAGTTATGTGACATTAGGCAAGTTACTTAGCTTCCCTGTGCCTCGGTTTTCTTGTCTGTAAAATGGGCATAAAAAAGTACCTACTGTGGTAGTTTTAATAAGTGTCTACAATTTATTTAAATTCCTCTTATACAAAGATGGATTCTGGCCAGGCATGGTGGTTCACACCTGTAATCCCAGCACTTTGGGAGGCTGAGGTGGGAGCATTGTTTGAGCCCAGGAGACCAGCCTGGGCAACAGAGCAAGACCCTGTCTCTATTAAAAAAATATATATATATATAAAATATTAAATATATATTAAATAAATATATATTTTAAAAATACATATATATATATATATATATATTTTTTTTTTTTTTTTTTTTTTTTTTTTTGAGATAGAGTCTCACTCTGTCGCCCAGGCTGGAGTGCAGTGGCGTTATCTCGGCTCACTGCAAGCTCCGCCTCCCGGGTTCTCGCCATTCTCCTGCCTCAGCTTCCCGAGTAGCTGGGACTATAGGCGCCCGCCACCACGCCCGGCTAATTTTTTGTATTTTTAGTAGAGACGGGGTTTCACCGTGTCAGCCAGGATGGTCTCGATCTCCTGACCTCGTGATCCGCCCGCCTCGGACTCCCAAAGTGCTGGGATTACAGGCGTAAGCCACCACGCCCTGCCTAAAAAAAATATTTAAAAATTGAAAAAATAAAAAGGTGGATTCCAGTTCTTGTCCTCTAGAATACGGGCAGCCCTATTGACTTGCTTCTCATGAACAGATGATAAGTGATTTCCGAGGCTAGATTAGAAAAGGTGACACAGCCACTCCCTGGGTCTCTCTGTCTTGGGATTTGTGCCTTGGGAGCTCTGAGTCACCATGGTGGAGAGACCCTATGGAGAGAGAAGGGAGCCAAGGAGCCTTTGGTACCAGATATGTAATTTAGGAAAGCTTTAAAATGATCCCACACCCAGCCACTATCTGACTGCAAACTTATTAGAGACCTAGAGCTGCCACTCCCTAGCTGGGCTGCTCCTGAATTCCTGACTCCTAGGCACTGCAAGAGATAACAAATGATGATGATAATGATGATGATGATGATTTTTGAGATAGAGTCTCAGCCTGTCACCCAGGCTGGAGTGCAGTGGCATGATCTTGGCTCACGGCAATCTCTGCCTCTCTGGTTTAAGCGATTCTCCCACCTCAGCCTCCCAAGTAGCTGGGATTCCAGGGGTGCGCCACCAAGCCTGGCTAATTTTTGTATTTTTAGTAGAGACGGGGTTTCATCATGTTGGCCAGGCTGGTCTCCAACTCCTGACCTCAAGTGATCTGCCTGCCTCAGCCTCCCAAAGTGCTGGGATTACAAGCATGAGCCACCACGCCTGGCCCATTGTTGTTTTATACCAGTGTATTTGTCTGTTTTCACACTGCTATAAATAACTGCCTAAGACTGGGTAATTTATAAAGAAAAGAGGTTTAATTGATTCACAGTTCTGCATGGCTAAGGAGGCCTCAGGAAACAGACAATAATGCCGGAAGGGGAAGTAGGGATGTCTTGTATGGCAGGAAATGAGAGGTCATGTGAAGGAGGAACTGTCAAACACTTATTAAACCATTAGATCTGGCCGGGTGCGGTGGCTCAAGCCTGTAATCCCAGCTCTTTGGGAGGCCAAGGTGGACGGATCACGAGGTCAGGAGATCGAGACCATCCTGGTTAACACGGTGAAACCCCGTCTCTACTAAAAGTACAAAAAAAATTAGCCGGGTGTGGTGGCGGACGCTTGTAGTCCCAGTTACTCGGGAGGCTGAGGCAGGAGAATGGCACGAACTCGGGAGGCGCAGGTTGCAGTGAGCCGAGATCGCACCACTGCACTCCAGCCTGGGTGACAGAGCGAGACTCCGTCTCAAAAAAAAACAAAACAAAAAACATTAGATCTCACTGTCATGAGAACAGCATGGGGAAACCATCCCCATGATCCAATTACCTCCTTCCCTTAACAGGTGGGGATTACAATTTGAGATGAGATTTCGGTGGGAACACAGAGCCAAACCACATCAACCAGTAAATCTTGGGCTGATTTGTTACACAGCGATAGATAACTTACTACGTCAGGATCATGGTAAGTGAGATCATGTATATGAACATAATGTGTATGATCATGAATATCTCGCACACAGACAATGGACTGAAAAAGAGAAATCATATTATTCTTACCATTTTCTGCTTGCTTGAGTGTTGTAGACTGAATGTTTGTGTCCTCTCTGAATTCATATCTTGAAGCCAAAACCATCAGTGTGATATTATTTGGAGGCAGGGAACTTTGGAGGTAATTAGATTTAGATCAGGTCAGGAGGCTGGGACCCCCATGATAGGATTAGTACCCTTATAGGAAGAGGAAGAGAGGCTGGGAGTGGTGGCTCACCCTGTAATCCCAACATTTGGGAGGCTGAGGCAGGTGGATCACTTGAGCCCAGGAGTTTGAGACCAGCCTGGCCAGCCTGGCCAGCCTGGTGAAAGCCCATCTCTACTAAATACAAAAAAATTAACCAGGCATGGTGGCGGGTGCCTGTAATCCCAGCTACTTGGGAGGCTGAGGCAGGAGAATCGCTTGAACCCTGGAGGCAGAGGTTGCAGTGAGCCGAGATCACGCCACTGCACTTCAGCCTGGGCTATGGAGCAAGACTCCATCTCAAAAAGAAAGAAAGAAAAAAAACAAGAGGAAGAGAAACCAGAGCTCACGTTCTCCACGTGCACACACTGGGGAAAGGCCATGGGAAGGCACAGCAAAAAGGCGTCTGCTTGCAAGTCAGGAAGCAAGGCCTCACCAACAACTGAATCTGCTGGCACCTTCATCTTGGACTCCCCAGCCTCCAGAACTGTGAAAAAATAAATGTCTGTTGTTTAAGCCACCCAATCTTTTTTTTTTTTTTTTTAATTTTTTGTAGAGACAAGGTCCCATCATGTGGTTCTGCCTCTGCTTTCCAACCTGTTGAAATTACAGGTGTGAGCCACTGCACCTGGCTGTTTTTAATTTCTTTCTTTCTTTCTTTTTTTTTTTTAAAGGGATGGGGTCTCACCCTCACCCAGGCTGTAGTGTGATCCCAGGTCACCGCAGCCTCGAATTTCTGGGCTCAAGCCATCCTCTTGTTCAGCCTCCCAAGTAGCTGGGACTACAGGCCTGCACCACTTTGCATAGCTAATTTCTAAGTTATTTTCAAAGAAAAAGGGTCTCATTTTGTTGCCAGGGTGGAGTGCAGTGGTGTGATCTTGGCTCACTCCAACCTCCGCTTCCTGGGTTCAAGCAATTCTTGTACCCTCAGCCTTCCAAGTAGTGGGGGTTACAGGCACACACCACCACACCTAACTACGTTTTTGAATTTTTAGTAGAGACAGGATTTCGCCATGTTGGCCAGGCTGATCTCGAACTTCTGACCTCAGGTGATTCACCTGCCTCAGTCTCCCAAAGTGCTGGGATTACAGGCATGAGCCACTGTGCCTGGCCTCCCAATATCATATATATCATATATATAAAATATGTATCTCATATATAATATCATATATATATATATATATATATATATATATATATATATATATGTACTTTTTTTTTTTTTTGAGGAGTCTGGCTCTGTCACCCAGGCTGGAGTGCAGTGGCACGATCTCAGCTCATTGCAACCTTACCTCCTGTGTTCAAGCAATTCTCCTGCCTCAGCCTTCTGAATAGCTGGGATTACAGGCGCCAGCTACCATGCCTGGCTAATTTTTGTATTTTAGTAGAGACAGGGGTTCACCACGTTGGCCAGGCTGGTGTTGAACTCCTGTCCTCGGGTGATCTGCCTGCCTCGGCCTCCCAAAGTGCTGGGATTATGGACGTGAGCCCCTGAGCCCGGCCTGTCACACACTTTTAAACCATCAGATCTCATGATAACTCATTCACTATCATGAGAACAGCGTGGGGGAAACCGCGCCCATGATCCAATTACCTCCCACCAGGTCCCTCCCCCAGGCATGTGGAGATTACAATTTGACATGAGATTTGGGTGGAGACACAGAGCCAAACCACATCACAGTGTGTGGCGTGGGGGTTGGGGATTCCTGCCCTAGAGCCTCCAGAAGGAGCACATCTTTGATTTTAACCCAGTGCGACCCGTGCTAGACTTCTACCCCTCAGAACTGCAAGAGAGCAAATTTGTATTGTTTAAGCCACTTAGCCTGTAGTCATTCATTACAGCAGCAAGAAGACCTGAACACACTGGGGCTGAGGACAGAGATGCACAGGGAGGGAAAGGAATGAGAGACAGAAGTGGTGAGAATGAATGAGATCGGGGAGAACAGGTGAAGATGGCAAGAGGGCCTGGGCACAGGGCAGCCACGGATCATGCTCAGGGGAGGGAAGAGGAGGTGCCTGGGGAGGCTGGCAAGAAACGGTCAGAGAGATGACTTGAGCTTGAAGGACAAAAGCCCAAGGCTGACATCTGTTGCTTGTGTGGGCAGTCAGGAGCTCCCACTTCTCAGGGATGTTCCCAGCATTGTCTCTGTGCTGATGACTTCCAGTGTGGCTGTCATGCCCAGCCCTGTGGCTGGAGCCCGGGGCCCCATTCAGCCTTGGTTGCAATTGTGTGGAAATCAATAACTACAAATTCCAAAGGTATAAATGGGAAACCTGAATGGAGAGATAAGGGCATAGGTTTCAGAGGGAGTATGGCCTTGCCAACACCTTGAATTTTTTTTGTTTGTTTGTTTTTGAGACAGGGTTTCGCTCTGCCATCCAGCCTGGAGTGCAGTGGTGCAATCATAGCTCACTGCAGCCTCAAACTCCTGGTTTTAAATAATCCTTCTGCTTTAGCCTCCCAAGTAGCTAGGACTGCAGGTGTGTGCCACCACGCTCAGCTAATTAAAAAAAATTTTTTTTTGTAGAGGCCAGACACCGTGGCTTATGCCTGTAATCCCAGGAGGCCAAGGCGGGCAGCTCACTGAGGTCAGAAGTTCAAGACCAGCCTGGCCAACATGATGAAACCTTGTCTGTATTAAAAATACAAAAATTAGATGGGAGTGGTGGCGGGCGCCTGTAATCCCAGCTACTTGGGAGACTGAGGCTGGAGAATCACTTGAACCCAGGAGGTGGAGGTTGAAGTGAGCAGAGATCGTGCCATTGCACTCTAGCCTGGACAACAAGAGTGAAACTCTGTCAAAAAAAAAAAAATTTTTTTTTTTTTTGGTAGAGAGGGGGTCTTGCTATGTTGCTCAGGCTGGTCTAGAACTCCTGCACTCAGGCTATCCTCTACCATCGATCTCCTGAAGTGCTGGGTTTACAGGCCTGAGCCACTGCACCTGGCCATGACTTTATGTTCATTTAATTAATCATATCTGCAACAACCCTGTTTCCAAATGAGGTCACATTCTGAGGGACTGGGAAAGAGGGCTTCAGCATATCTTTTTGGGAAACACCACTCAACCCATAACGCTTATAAAGAGCATTGTGTTTGTGAGGATTGTGTTTATAATGGCCCACCCAGGTACGCTAGGATAATCACCCCATATCAACAGCCTTAGCTTAATTACACCTGCACAGTCCATTTTGCCAAGTAGCAAAGCTGTTCACAAGTCTAGGGATTAGAACGTGGATATCCTTGGAGGGGGCATTTTTCTGTCTACCACGCCAGTTCTCTCTCTGAGCTCCAGGCTTGGCTAGACAAGGGATTCCTGAATGTCTCTCTCCAGATGTCTGCTGGGTACTTTCCACTCACCGTGTCCAAGTTGATCTCAGCATCTTCCCCCACCAGTCCTGTTCCTCTCACATCCCCATCCCAGGGATGACTCCTCTGTCTCTCCCAGCAGACTCATCTCCTCCTGTCCTCCTCTCATCCTTGACTCCTGAGCCAGAGAGCTGAGATTCTTTAAGCAACTCAAAGATTCATTTCTTCAGCCAACATTTCTTCCTTCCTTCCTTGCTTCCTTCCTTCTTTCCTTCCTTCCTTCTTTCCTCCTTTCTTTCTTTCTCCTTCTTTCCTTCCTTCTTTCCTTCTTTCTTTCCTTCTCTCTTTCTTTCTTTCTCTTTCTTCCTTCCTTCCTTCCTCTCTCTCTCTCTCTCTCTCTCTTTCTTTCTTTCTTTCTTTCTTTCTTTCTTTCTTTCTTTCTTTCTTTCTTTCTTTCTTTCTTTCTGATGGAGTCTTGCTCTGTCTCGCAGGCTGGAGTGCAGTGGCAGGATCTCGGCTCACTGCCACCTCCACCTTCAGCGTTCAAGTAATTCTCCTGCCTCAGCCTTCTGATTAGTTGAGATTACAGATGCCCGCCACCATGCTCAGCTGATTTTTGTATTTTTAGTAGAGACGGGGTTTTGCCATGTTGGCCAGGCTGGTCTTGAGCTCCCAACCTCAGGTGATCCGCCCACCTTGGCCTTCTAAAGTGGTAGGATGACAGGCATAAGCCACCACGCCTGGCCTTCAGACAACATTTCTTGAGCGCCTGCTAGGTGCCAAGTCATCTTCTAGGTACTGGGAACACAGCAATGAACAAATCAGACAGCAGTCCCTGTTTTTTTGTGGAGTTTTCCTTCTCATGGGGGGGACTCAGGCAGCAATAATGTAAAGACATTAAATATGTGGTTTATTATGGGTTTAAAAAGAAGCTCAGGGCCGGACACGGTGGCTCACACCTTTAATCCCAGCACTTTGGGAGGCCGAGGTGGACAGATCATGAGGTCAGGAGTTCGAGACCAGCCTGGCCAATATGGTGAAACCCTGCCTCTACTAAAAATACAAAAATTAGCCAGGTGTGGTGGCGCTTACCCGTAGTCCCAGGTACTCGGGAGTCTGAGGCAGAAGAATCACTTGAACCTGGGAGGTGGAGGTTACAGTGAGCCGAGATCGTGCCACTGCATTCCAGCCTGGGCGACAGAGGGAGACTCTGTCTCAAAAGAAAGAAAAAAAAAAAAGCTCAGTCCTCTTCCCCGACATTTTGCTGATCCTGCCTCCATGTCTCCCTCTCCAGGAGTTTGTCATCATTGCGTCCTCACCTCTAACCTGCTGGCTGGTTTTGGTACCATAGTCCCTAGCCTGGCTCCTCCACTCCTGAGCCCTGTGCTGCCCTGGAGGAAGGTGGCCACACTGAGCAACTAAAAAGATAGAAAGCCAAGTTAAATTTAAAGTTCAGATAAACAATGAGGTGTTTTTAAATAAATATATCCAAAATGTTGCATGGGATATACTCATACTAAAAAAGTATTTGTTGTTTATCTGAAATTCAAATTTAACTGGGTGACATGTTTTTATAAAAAATTCTTTTTGAAAAAAAATTTTTTTTTTCTGAGATGGAGTCTCGCTCCGTTGCCCAGGCTGGAGTGCAGTGGCGCCATCTCAGCTCACTGCAAGCTCCGCCCCCCGGGTTCATGCCATTCTCCTCCTCAGCCTCCCAAGTAGCTGGGACCACAGGCACCCGCCACCAAGCCCGGCTAATTTTTTGTATTTTTAGTAGAGATGGGGTTTCACCGTGTTAGCCAGGATGGTCTCGATCTCCTGACCTCATGATCCACCCGCCTTGGCCTCCCAAAGTGCTAGGATTACAGGCGTGCGCCACCATGCCCAGCCCAAAATGTTTTTACGGGTACAGAGTAAGTGTATACATTTATGGGATACGTGAGATATTTTGATACAGGCATGCAATGTGTAATTATCACATTAGGGTAAATGGGGTATCCCCTCAAGCATGTACAATTTCTTTGTATTACATACACCCCAAATATACTCTTTTAGTTATTTAAAATGTACAGTAAAGTATGGGTTTGTTTTTTTCTTTTTTTTTTTTAGACAGAGTCTTGCTCTGTCACCCAGGCTGGAGTGCAGTGGTGCAATCTCGGCTCACTGCAACCTCTGCCTCCTGGGTTCAAGCGATCCTCCTGCTTCAGCCTCCTGAGTAGGTGGGATTACAGGTGTGTGCCACCACACCTGGCTAGTTTTTGTATTTTCAGTAGAGAGAGGGTTTCACCATGTTGGCCAGGATGGTCTCGAACTCCTGACCTCAGGTGATCCACCGCCTCGGCCTCCCAAAGTGCTGTGATTACAGGTGTGAGCCACTGCGCCCGGCCCTAAAATGTATTGTTGACTGTAGTCACCCTGTTGTGCTATCAAATACTAGAACTTATTCATTCTATTTAACTGCATTGTTATAACTACGAACCATCCCCACTTCCCCCTGCTCCACTACCCTTCCCAGTCCCTGGTAACCATTCTTCTACTCTCCGTCTCCATGAACTCAATTGTTTTAATGTTTAGCTCCCACAAATGAGTGAGAAGATGGGACATTTATTTTTCCATGCCTGGCTGATTTTACTCAACATAATGATCTCTGGTTCCCTCCATGTTGTTGCAAATGACAGGATCTCAATCTTTGTTATGGTTGAAAAGTATCCCATTGTGGCCAGGCATGGTGGTTCACACCTGTAATCCCAGCACTTTGGGAGGCTGAGGTGGGAGGATCACCTGAGGTCAGGAGTTTGAGACCAGCCTGCCCCAACATGGTGAAACCCCATCTCTGCCAAAGATACAAGAAAAAATCAGCTGGGCGTGGTGGTGTGCGCCTGTAATCTCAGCTACTCCAGAGGCTGAGGCAGGAGAATCACTTGAACCCAGGAGGCGGAGGTTGCAGTGAGCCGAGGTCGTGCCATTGCACTCCAGCCTGGGCAACAGGGTGAGACTCTGTCTCAAAAACAATAACAACAATAACAACAACGACAACAAAACAGTACCCATTGTGCATAGGTACCACATTTTCTTTATCCATATGTCTGTTGGTGGACACTCAGCTTGCTTCCAAATCTTGGCTGTGGTGAACTGTGCTGCAACAAACATGGGGGTGCAGGTATCTCTTGGATACACTGACTTCCTTCCTTTTGGGTATATACACAGCATGGGATTGCTAGATCATATGGTAGTTCTCTTTGTAGTTTTTTGAAGAACCTCCATACTGTTCTCCAGAGTGTCTGTACTAATTTACATTCCCACCAACAGTGTATGAGGGTTCCCGTTTCTCCACATCCTCGCCAGCATTTGTTATTACATATTTTGGATAAAAGCCATTGTGACTGGGGTGAGGTGATATCTCGTTGTAGTTTTGATTCACATTTTTCTGATGGTCAATGATGTTGATGTTGAGTACCTTTTCATATACCTGTTTGCCATTTGTGTGTCTTCTGAAAAATGTCTATTCTGATCTTTTGCCCTTAGGCTTTTCCAAATATAAGATCATATTATCTGCGAATAAGGATAATTTGACTTCTTCCTTTCCAACCTGGATGCCCTTTATTTCTTTCTCTTTTCTGATTGCTGTAGCTAGGACTTCCACTACTACGTTGAAGAACAGTGGGGGAAGTGGGCATCCTTGTCTTGCTCCAGATCTTAGAGGAAAGGCTTTCAGTTTTTCTCCATTCAGTATGATTCTAGCTGTATGTCTGTCATACATGACTTTTATTATGTTGAGGTATGTTCCTTCTATACCCAATTTTTTGAGGGTTTTTATCATGAAGGGATGTTGAATTCTATTAAAGGCTTTGTCAGCATCAATTGAAATGATCATATGGTTTTTTTCCCTCATTGTATTGATATGATGTATCACATTGACTGATTTGCATATGTTGAACCATCCTTGCATCCCTGGGATAAATCTCACTTGGTCATGATAAATGTGAGTGACCTTGCTTTATCTGGCAACACAACTATGAAGTCAGAAACTGTTCAAACTAAGGCCAGGAGTGGTGGCTCACGCCTGTAATCCCAGCACACTGGGAGGCCGAGGTGGGCGGATCACTTGAGGCCAGGAGTTGGAGACCAGCCTGGCCAACATGGCGAAACCCTGTCTCTACTAAAAATACAAAACTAGCTGGGTGTGGTGGTGCAGGCCTGTGATCCCAGCTACTCGGGAGGCTGAGGCAGGAGAATCACTTGAACCTGGGAGGTGGAGGTTGCAGTGAGCCAAGATCAAGATCACACCACTGCACTCCAGCCTGGGTGACAGAGCGAGACTTGGTCTTTAAAAAAAAAAAAAAACTGTTAAAACTAGAACTTTCTACCTCGTCACTCTGTTTGCCATTGTTTCCCACCAGGTGGAGCCATGGTCATATTTATTATCTTAACATCTTAACATGTTTACTTATGGTAGGATGACCTGCAGTGGTCCAGCCTCGTGGTATTCATGCCCTTCTGGGACCTATACCCCTTTGTGTGTAGATTGGGCATAGTGACAAGCTTCTAACAAACAGCATATGGCAGAAGTGATGTGATGTCACTCCCGGTACAGGTTACTGGAAGACTGGTTTATGTCCTGCTGGTCCTCCCCACCTTGCCTTGCTTGCTCTATGGAAGGGGCTTCCATTATGGGAACTGCCTGGGGAGAGGCTCATGGGGCAAGGAACTGATGCCTCCAGCCAACAGCCAGCAAGGACCTGAGGGCTGCCCACTGCCATGAGTGAGTCTGGAGGCAGATTTTCCACCCTGAGATGCCTGCAGCTCCAGCCAGCCCCTTGACTCTAGCCTTGAGGAACCTACAGCCAAAGCCACCCAGTTACCCTCACCCAGATTCCTGACTGCTGGAAATTGTGACATCGTAAATGTTTCTTGTTTTAAGCCAATACATGTTGGTGTAATTTTTGTTTTGCCTTTGTTTTTGTCTTTTTGAGTCAGTGTCTTACTCTGTTGCCTGGGCTGGCGTGCAGTGGTACGATCATGGCTCACTGCAGCCTCGGCATCCTGGGCTCAAGTGATCCTCCTGCCTCGGCCTCCCAAAGTGCCAAGATTACAGGCATGTGCCGCAATGCCTGGCCTGGTGTAATTTCTTATGTGGCAGTAGATAACTAATACACTTGTTATATGGCAGTAGATAACTAATACATAACTAATAAATATTCTTCTCCCCACTCCCTCTCTTTCCCCCATCACTGGACAGTGATGTCTGTGAGGGTAGGGACCATTATCAGTATTGTAACCTGTGTGTCATCAGACAGCACAGCACAGAGTATGTTTGTGCATGGCGTTCAAAAGTTCGTGGAGTAGGCCAGGCAGAATGGCTCATGCCTATAATCCCAGCACTTTGGGAGGTCAAGGCAGGCAGATCACCTGAGCCCAGGAGTTTGAGACCAGCCTGGACAACGTGGTGAAACTCCACCTCTACAAAAAATGCAAAAATTAGCGGGCCTGATGTCATGTGCCTATAGTCCCAGCTACTTAGGAAGCAGAGGCAGGAGGATCACTTGAGCCTGGGAGGCAGAGGTTGCAGTGAGCCAAGATTGCACCACTGCACTCCAGCCTGGGTGACACAGTGAGACCCAATCTCAAAAAAAAAAAAAAAAAGATTTGTGGAATAAATGCAGGAATGCATGAACAAGAGTTGTTAGTTCTCATATAAGCTTTTAAAAGACAGATGCTCAAGAGCAAGTAGGAAAGTGAAATACCAGCAAAATAAAATATCTTCTCTGGGTTTGCTCTGGGAGAGCAAAGTACCAGCCAGGTGTCAGCCAGAGAAAGAGAATGATGAGGAGTAAGATGTGGATATGCATATACGTATCCAGGTATCAGTCCTGGTTCTCCAGAAGAACAGAACCAGTAGGAGATATAGATATGATATATACACGTATGCATATAAATACACATATATGCTGCTGGAGTTTGGATATTTGACTCTCCAAACCTCATGTTGCATTTTGATCCCCAATGTCAGGGGTGGGACCTAATGGGAGGTGTCTGGGTCATGGAGGTGAATTTCTCACAATTGGTTTGGTGTCAGCCTCTTGGTAGTGAGTGAGTTATCTCTCTATTAGCACCTGCAAGAGTTCCCCTGGGAGCTGGTTATTAAAAAGAGACTGGCATCTTCCCATTCTCTTGCTCATTCTCTTGCCATGTGATTTGGACATGCCAGCTACCCTTCCACTTCTGCCATGAGTGGAAGAAGCCTGTGGCCCTCACACTGCAGACTGGTGAGTCAAATAAACCTCTTTTCTTTATGAATTACCCAGTACCCAGGCTCAGATTGGTTCTTTTTTTTTTTTTTTGAGATGGAGTCTCGCCGTGTCGCCAGGCTGGAGTGCAGTGGCGCAATCTCGGCTCACTGCAACCTCCGCCTCCCAGGTTCAAGCCATTCTCCTGCCTCAGCCTCCTGAGTAGCTGGGACTACAGGCACACGCCACCATGCCCAGCTAATTTGTTTTTTGTATTTTTAGTAGACACAGGGTTTCACCATGTTCACCAGGATGGTCTCGATCTCTTGACCTTGTGATCCACCCACCTCAGCCTCCCAAAGTGCTGGGATTACAGGCGTGAGCCACCGCGCCCAGCCCAGGTATTTTTTTGATAGCAAAGCAAAACAGACTAAGATATATGCACATACACATATATATACATACATGTATATATGTATGCATATATGTGTACATGTATTTATGTATTTATGTATTTACTTATTGCAAATGAATGGGCTTCTGCCATTTTAGGGGCTGGCTAGGTAAGTCCAAGATCCACAGGGCAGGCTGGAAACTCTCAGGCAGGAGTTGATGTCATTCAAAAGCAAAATTCCTTCTTCCTCAGGGAAACCTCAGTTCTGCTCCCCCAAAGGCCTTTCAACTGATTGGATCAGGCTCACCCAGATTATCTAGGATAATTTACTTAAAGTCAACTGATAGTAGATGTCAGTCACATGTACAAAATACTTTCATAGCAACACCTAGGTTAGTGTTTGATCAAATAACTGGATACTAGTGTTTGATCAAATTACTGATAAAGACATACCCAAGACTGGGTAATTTATAAAGGAAAAGATGTTTAATGGACTTACAGTTCCACATGGCTGGGGAGGCCTCACAATCATGGCAGAAGGGAAAAGTCACGTCTTACCTGGTGGCAGGCAAGAGAGAATGAGAATCAAGTGAAAGGGGAAACCCTTATAAAATCATCAGCTCTCATGAGACGTATTCACTACTACAGAACAGTACGGGGGAACCATCCTCATGATTCAATTATCTCCCACCAGGTCCCTCCACAACACATGGGAATTATGGGAGCTACAATTCGGAGACAAGATTTGGGTGGGGACACAGCCAAACCATATCATCTAGGTAAATGGATATAGGAAGCTGAATATCACAATTCATAAGGGATGGGTGATAGGGATTTGACCATATGCATTGCATAAGCTGGTTGAGCCATCTATGTAAGGGTGATCTCTCTGCATCTGCTGGTACAGCCTGAAGTCAGCAGGGCAGGTATTGGGAAGGGAAGATGGGATACAAAGTGGGGAAGCCAGGGAAGACGAACTGAGAGGATCAGTGGGAAGCCATGTAGACAGACGGGACCCTCACAGTCTCCAGGACTCCAATTTTCATGAGCGGATGTCTTCCAGGAGAAGTCACTGCTCTTTGATTTGGAGTTAAATGTGTACCTGCAGGAGGATCCTGTGGGAGCTGGGAGAGGTAGGGGCCTGGCTGCTGCCTCACATCCCCAGGGAGAGCCTCAAGGTGCAAACAACGTGCATGACAGCCACAGTGCCTGGGCCTGCACCCACCTGCCCAACACAAAAGCATGTGGCTTCTGCTTCCCTTCTGCCTTCCACATTCATGCACGTTGTCTCCTGGGGCCCATGCTAACTTTCAGCTGCATAGGGAAAGGCTTGTGGGAAACCTCCTTCAGCTTAATGAAATTGACACATTACAAATTCATGACCAGTGGGAACTGGGACCTTGTTCACCTCTTTGGCTGTGGCCAGAGGCCCTCCTAGAAGCAGAAAGAATTGAGAAGTGGTGCTTCCTGCAAGCAGAACCTATTGGGAAGCCATCTCACAAGGGAAGCTGGGCAATATAGTTTGCAGGCTTCTAGCCTGGTGGTACAAAGGAGGGTGCTGATGACTAAGAATGAAGCAGAAAGCCAGCAGATAAACACTGACACCAAACCAGAGGGGTGGAAATGCTGGCTGACAAAGTGAATGACACTCTGTTGACCTCCAACACCAGCACTTCTAGATCTTAGGGCCCTGTTCCAATTCTCCTTACATCTATTCCTTTTGTCTTATTGGTTGGGGCCCTATTTTTCCCTTGGTGATTCTCCTGTCTTATGAACCTTGATGTCACATAGACTTGTAGTTGCTCTGGGGACAAATCCATTTTCGTGAGAACACAGGTTAGTCATGCCTCCAAAATCAATCCCAAATCTGAATCTACCTCCCTCTCCCCCTACCCTCACCCAAGCCACGATGCTCTCTCTCCTGCTTGAGCAAACAGCCTTCTAATCTGGCCACTCATTTCCACCCCTGCTTTCCTCAAATTTTCTCTCTACATTCAGCCAAAGGGACTTTTATAAGGCACAATCCAGCTGGGCATGATGGCTCATGCCTGTAATCCCAGCACTTTGGGAGGCAGAGGCAGGTGGATCGCTTCAGTTCACGAGTTTGAGACCAGCCTGGGCAACACAGTGAGACCCTGTCTCTACAAAAAATACAAAAAAATTAGCTGGGTGTGGTGGTGCACACCTGTAATTCCAGCTACTTGGGAGGCTTAGGCAGGAGAATTGCTTGAACCCGGGAAGCAGAGGTTGCAGTGAGCCGAGATTGCACCACTAAACTCCAGCCTGGGTGACAGAGTGAGACTCTACAAAAAAAAAAAAAAAAAAAGCACAATCCAGGTCTTGTCACCCCTGTTGAAGACTCTCCAAGGCTCTGTCTTATGCATGAAATAAAATAGGAGCCTCTATATCTTGATCTCTTCCTGCCTCAAGTTGAGAACTCACTGAGTCTTGCTCACTGGGGGCTGTCCTCTGGCCTCTCTCAGATCCTCAAGTCCTCCAATTTCTTCACTAAAGAGCTCTGTACTGGCCGGGTGTGGTGGCTCACACCTGTAATCCCAGCACTTTGGGAGGCCGAGACAGGTGGATCACCTGAGGTCAGGAGTTGGAGACCAGCCTGGCCAACATGGTGAAACCCCGTCTCTACAAAAAATACGAAAATTAGTCATGGTGGCGTGCACCCGTAATCCCAGCTACTTGGGAGGCTAAGGCTGGAGAATTGCTTGAACCTGGGAGGCAGAGGTTGCAGTGAGCTGAGATTGCACCACTGTACTCCAGCCTGGGAGACAGAGCAAGACTCCGTCTCAAAAAACAAAAAACAAACAAACAAAAATCTCTGCACTTTCACTTTCTCTTCTCTTCTCCATGCCTGGGCCTCTCCTCTTGTCACTCCCCTTGCCCACCATGGCTACCTCCTTTGTATTCCTTTGTATTCCTTCCTGCCAGGTGTCACCAACTTCCCCAGCCCTGCTACCTAAAGCAGAGTCCTCCTGCAGTCACTTTCCACCACATCACCTAGTTGGACTTTCCTGGTAGCATGTGTTTTTGCTCCATGAAATGATTGCATTTCTAGTTGTTTATTTAGTTTCCACTTATCCTAGTAGACCGGAAGCCCCAGGAGAGCCCAGACTTGGTCTCGTGACTGCTTTCTGTCCCATCAGTGACAGTGTCAGCGTCCTCAGATCTGGGATTATTCATGTGAGTCCAACACCCCCCAGAGCCCTCAAGAGGAAAGGGAGAGGCGGTGGCCGGATGGACACCCCTGCCTGCTCAGCCCTTCTCCCTGAGGTCTCTTGGATCTGAACAGCAGCAAGAGATCATGGCAAATAAATCACTCAATGCTTGTGTGTTTTGTGCATGTTTTTAGTGCCTCCAAATGCTGAGCATTTAGGGTTTGTTTCCGAGGTTTTCTGAAATACGCCAGGGCCTTGGTGTTGGAAGCAAATTAGGATACCTGTTGTCTGCCTGTGCTCTGAGTCAACCTGAGGAGCTCTCAGCTGGGCCACGTGGAGTGTACACGGGGTGGGCCCCACAACCCCAGCCCCAGCCTTCCTTCCATTTGTGTTTTTTTTTTTTTGAGACAGAGTCTCGCTCTGTCGCCCAGGCTGCAGTGGCACAATCTCGGCTCACTGCAAGCTCCGCCTCCCGGGTTCACACCATTCTCCTGTCTCAGGCCTCCCGAGTAGCTGGGATTACAGGCGCCCGCCACCATGCTCAGCTAATTTTTGTATTTTTAGTAGAGACGGGGTTTTGAAATGTTGGCCAGGCTGGTCTCAAACTCCTGACCTCAGGTGATCCACCTGCTTCGGCTCCCAAAGTGCTGGGATTACAGATATGAGCCACTGCGCCAGACGAAAATCATTTTTAAGTCTTATTTTCCAAGTGTTGAATAAGTTTCCTGCACAGAGCTCCTGAAATCATGTTATCTCTAAAGGTAGCTATTGATAAAATAAGGGGTTGGTCTGATTCTGGTTTGTACTATTCTTAATTAAAATATCGGATAACTCACAAATGTTACGGGAAATAGAAAACAAATTGGAGCTTAGTTTGTGGCATATATTCCCAATCCCAATGATCAATAATGTTTGTATATCATTTATATTAGTACACAGACTCAGTGGTGGCTATTTCATGTGGTCTCTGAATTGTACCTTTATATAGCGTAGGCTCTGTCCTATTTGGCTTGGTAAACTTACATAGATAAAACAAGAGGTGTTAATTGCACACAGAGGCCTCCTTGTTGTATGGTTAGTAAATCTAGAATTATGTGGTGGTGAGCACTGCTAAAACCAGAGAATTAGCTTCTGTCTGGATATTATGTAAGGAATCTAGAGTTGTATATTTGGACTGGACTCTATTAGTCTGGAACGAATAGAACTTTCTTTTACTGCCTACTTTTTTTTTTGAGACGGAGTCTCCCTCTGTCACCTGGAGGTGGAGTGTAGTGGCGCAATCTTGGTTCACTGCAACATCCGCCTCCTGGGTTCAAGCGAGTCTCACACCTTGGGCTCTCGAGGAGCTGGGATCACAGGCATGTGTCACCACCCCCAGGTAATTTTTGTATTTTTTGGTAGAGACGGGGTTTCACCATGCGGCCAGGCTAGTCTCAAACTCCTGACTTCAGGTGATCGCCTTCGAAAGTGCTGGGATTACAGGCGTGAGCCACCACACCCTGCTGCCTACTTTTATGGGTGAATTCTTCCTCCTTCAAGATCCTTTAAGTCTGGACTGAGATCCTGTAAACCACAGCATATATACTGGTTTAATTTCCTGGGAGGGCTTGTAGGATCTGGTTCTACAAATGAAGTTCTACACATCAGCCTTTGTTCCATAATGGTGGGCTTTTCTGACTAGATTAACTGGCTTTATTCTCACATACGATATTGTCAGTATAGCCTTGGTAGTACATTTGATTTGTCTATATCCTTGCAACAATGGGAGCCAATGCATATTAAACTCATGAAAATGCTACATTGTCAGGATGGATGAAGTTATTCTGCATTGTCAGAAAGGATGAAGTTATTTGTAATAATATCTACCCATTATTCTAAGTAGTTGCACCGACTACTTAGTCAGTTGATGTTTTTCATATTTTTATCAGAATCATTATGGATCTTTCCAGATATAATATATATAAATATGGTTCAGTTATTTATTGATACATTATAACCATAAAATTCAAGCACAACCAATGTTCTTTGCTAAGGAGCAGTTATAATTTTTCTAAGCCTTACCCATCATAAATGCATTCATCTGCATTCTGATTAGAATTATTATAATATTTCAGTCTCTGATGATTTGTTAGCTTACAATTTTTTTTTTTTTTTGAGACAGTCTTGGTCTGTTACCCAGGCTGGAGTTCAGTGGTGCAATCATGGCTCACTGTAACTTCTATTTCCTGGGCTCAGGCACTCTTCCCACCTCAGCCTCCTGAGCTGGGACTACAGGTGTGTGCCACCTCGCCTGGCTAATATTTTTTAAAAATTATTTTTTGTAGAGATGGGGTCTCGCTGTATTACCCAGGCTGGTCTTAAACTCCTGGGCTCAAGACATCATCCTACCCCTGCCTTCCAAAGTGTTAGGATTACAGGTGTGAGCCACTGCACCCGGACAGTTTATAATTTATATTGAGATTTGACACAGGATATATTTTCCAGAATTTGGAAGAGTCAGATGGAAAAATACTACTGAGAGGCTTTCATTCCAATTTCCTCAAGTATAAATGTTAAATTGAGAGTTGGCAGTGGGTCACGAAGAAAGGAAAAGAGCTTCTTCCTATGCGCATAAAAAGAAAGAACATTTGTAAAGCAATTCTCAATAATATTAAAAATAACCACAAGCAGATTTCCTTCATCAGTTTCATTTTGTTCTATGTAAATAGGAGTCTGTTTTTTTAAAAAATATTTATTTATTTATTTATTTATTTATTTATTTATTTATTTATTTTGGGACGGAGTCTCGCTCTGTCACCCAGGCTGGAGTGCAGTGGCACAATCTCGGCTCACTGCAAGCTCCGCCTCCCGGGTTCATGCCATTCTCCTGCCTCAGCCTCCCTAGTAGCTGGGACTACAGGGGCCCACCACCACACCCGGCTAATTTTTTGTATTTCTAGTACAGACAGGGTTTCACCGTGTTAGCCAGGATGGTCTTGATCTTCTGACCTCGTGATCCGCTCGACTCGGCCTTCCAAAGTGCTGGGATTACAGACGTGAGCCACCGCGCCCGGCCTATTTATTTATTTATTTTTATCAGATACAGGGTTAGTCGTCATGAAATAATCTACTTATGGAATAGAAAGAACTCTGGAAATTCTGGTTCTGCTTCTGGTACAGAATATCACAGGTGTTTACTTGGGAGGACAATGCTGGTTTACACGGTGATATGGTTTGGCTGTGTCCCCACCGAAATCTCATCTTGGATTGTAGCTCCCACAATTCCCACGTGTTGTGGGAGGGACATGGTGAGAGGTAATTGAATCATGGGGGCAGGTCTTTCTTGTGCTGTTCTCGTGATAGTGAATAAGTCTCACGAGATCTGATGGTTTTTTTGTTCTTTTTTTTGGCTGAGCATAGAGGACTTTATTGATGGTACATGACAAGGTGGGGCTCCCTAGGCCCCTCCCTCTTCGGGGGATCGGCATGGAAACTGTGAGGAGGGGAGATTCGCAGTGTGGTGGGGGACTGAGTGTGGCAGGGACTCCCCAGCAGTGAGGACCTCTCTGTTCCTCTCATGCTCTCTCTGGAGCTGGTGGTCTGGGGGTCTTACTCCTTGGAGGCCATGTGGGCCATGAGGTCCACCATACTGTTGCTGTAGCCAAATTCATCGTCATACCAGGAAATGAGCTTCACAAAGTGGTTGTTGAGGGCAATGCCAGCCCCAGCATTGAAGGTGGAAGAGTGGGTGTCGCTGTCGAAGTCAGAGGAGACGACCTGGTGCTCACTGTGGCCCAGGATGCCCTTGAGGGGGTCCTCCAATGCCTGCTTCATCATTTTCTTGACATCATCATATTTGGCAGGGTTTTCCCAGATGGCAGGTCAGGTCCATGACCAACACGTTGGCAGTGGGGATATGGAAGGCCATGCCTATGAGCTTCCCATTCAGCTCAAGGATGACCTTGCCTACAGCCTTGGCAGTGCCAGTAGAGGCACGGATGATATTCTGGAGAGTCCGACGGCCATGATGCTACAGTTTCCCGGAGGGGCCATCCACAGTCTTCTGGGTGGCAGTAATGGCGTGGACTGTGGTCATGAGTCCTTCCACGATACCAAAGTTGTCATGGGTGACCTTGGCTGGGGCACTAAGCAGTTGGTGGTGCAGGAGGCATTGCTGATGATCTTGAAGCTGTTGTCATACTTCTCGTGGTTCATGCCCATCACGAACATGGGAGCGTCAGAAGAGGGGGCAGAGATGATAACCCTTTTGGCTCCTCCCTGCAAGCGAGCCCCAGCCTTCTTCCTGGTGGTGAAGATGCCGGTCGACTCCATGATGGACTCAGCACCAGCATTGCCCCATTTGATTTTGGAGGGGTCTCGCACCTCGAAAATGGTGATGGGATTTCCATTGATGACAAGCTTCCCGTTCTCAGCCTTGATGGTGCCATGGAATTTGCCATGGGTGGAATCATACTGGAACATGTAGACCATGTAGTTGAGGTCAATGAAGGGGTCATTGATGGCAACAATATCTACTTTACTAGAGTTAAAAACAGCCCTGGTGACTAGGCTCCCGGTTCCAACAAATCCATTGACTCCGGACTTCAACTTCACTGTGGTGTCTCAGGGACGTACGTGGCTGGCAAAGCACAAGAAGATGCGGCTGTCTGTTGAACGGGAGGAGCAGAGAGCCAATCTGATAGTTTTATAAGGGGGAGTTTCCTTGCACAAGTTCTCTCTCTTGCCTGCTGCCATGTAAGATGTGCCTTTCGCCTTCCACCATAATTGGAAGGCCTCCCCAGCCCCACGTGGAACTGTAAGTCCACTAAACCTCTTTTTCTTTATAAATCACCATGTCTCAGGTATGTCTTTATCAGCAGCATGAAAACAGACTCATACACATGGGAAAACCTGAACCCAGTGAGCCTATTTCTTGAAGTGTCAGTAGCTCAGGGTATCAGGTATTGTCTATTCATCGAGGCACTTTGACTTTCCTTTGTCCAAGACCCAATTTCTGGCCTGTAGTTTCCAGCTAACCTTCAGGAAAGCATGAAAGGAAAGCAGAAGTCACTTATTGATTGTAGGACTAAATA
This sequence comes from Homo sapiens, assembly GCF_000001405.40. Taxonomy (NCBI): domain Eukaryota; kingdom Metazoa; phylum Chordata; class Mammalia; order Primates; family Hominidae; genus Homo; species Homo sapiens. The sequence continues at coordinate 46,558,158 of NC_000019.10, read as the reverse complement.
ATGATGGGGAATTTACTACAGTGACTAATACTATCTAATAAGAAGAAAACAGAATGCTCTATTAGGGCATACTATATAATTATTCCAAGAGAATTAGATCAATGTTTCTCCTGGGGGCAAGAACAGATTATGGACACTGAAGATATTGACACATCACCATCCTGTAAAAGTGGACAGTCTCTGAGATATATTTATAATAGTGACATTTAATGCACAAAATTAATCTAAGGAAGGCTGAACTCATCTTTTTAGTTTGAAAGCATTTTTCACATTGTGTGTTCAAAAATCAGGGAGGTTTTTACACTATTGTAGAATCATTTTAAAAACAGAAGCACATCAAATATAGGCTGGGCGTGGTGCCTCACGCCTGTAATCCCAGCACTTTGAGAGGCCGAGGCAGGTGGATTGCTTGAGCCCAGGAGTTCGAGACCAGCCTGGGCAACATTCTCCAGCTGAGGCAGGAGAATCGCTTGAACCCGGGAGGCAGAGATTGCAGTGAGCCAAGATCACACCACAGTACTCCAGCTTGGGCAACAGAGTGAGACTCTGTCTTGAAAAAAAAAAAAAGCATATCAAATATACTTAAGAGTTCTAGCATCCTGCCCTGTGTGTGTATTTCCTATGGTGGGTTACAAGGTGAGGGAACAGATCTTTGGTGCTTTGGCCATCCAGGAAGGGCCAAAGATTATTTTGAATGTACAAACATCTTGATGATTTTTAACTTTTCTGAATTTATAGTCTGATTTTATGAAAGGAAACATCAAAAAGAATTGTCCAAAATACTGATCACTTGACTAAAATAGGTGCATAATTGCCTAAGAGAAAGGAGTAATTATAGCTTGGCTACCCTATTAACCATAATGACAATCAAGATATTCAAAAATAGGCCAGGCACAGTGGCTCATGCCCGTAATCCCAACTCTTTGGGAGGCTGAGGCAGGAGGATCATTTGAGTTCAGCCTGGGCAACATAGGGAGACTCTGTCTCTACAGTTTTTTTTTTTTTTTAATTACCTGGGCATTGGTGGTGCATGCCTGTGATCCCAGCTGAGGTGGGATTATCACTTGGCTCTGGGAGTTCAAGGCTGCAGAGAGCCGTGATTGCACCTCTGCACTGCAGCTTGGGTGACAGAGTGAGACCTTGTCTCAAAAAAAAAAAAAAAAAAATAGTAAATATAGGCCAGGAACGGTGGCTCATGCCTGTAATCCCAGCACTTTGGTAAGCTGAAGTGGGTGGATCACGTGAGGTCAGGAGTTTGAGACCAGCCTGGCCAACAAGGCAAAACCCTGTCTCTACTAAAAATACAAAAAATTAGCCAGGCGTGGTGGTGCGTGCCTGTAGTCCCAGCTACTAGGGACACTGAGGCAGAAGAGTCACTTGAACCTGAGAGGCGGAGGTTGCAGTGAGCCAAGATCATGCCACTGGACTCCAGCCTGGGTGACAGAGTGAAACTCTGTCTCAAAAATAAATAAATAAATAAATAAATAAATAAATAAATAAATAAATAAAGTAGAAGGTAACTATAAGGGAATTTAGCTTTTTGTAAGTGACAATCTTTTACTGCACGTTTTAAAAAATAAACAATTCAACAATATGACTAAGGTCAGCAAAAAGGAAAAAAAAGTTAAATCTTCTCAAACAAGAATATTTAGTAAGGCAAGAACCTCTGCTACCCGGACAAATTTCACAGAAAGTAAAGAATAACTTTTTTACTATGCCTTGCTGAGAGCAGACTGAATACTTTAAGATCCCTTTGTCATTTTAAAGACAGAAAAAACATCAAATTCTAGTTTTACTGTTTTTGCCCATCATCCAGATGGCATGATACAGTCTGTTTTTCTTTCTCATTTTCTTTTTAAAATCTTATATATTAACCCATACTTATACATTATCCAGGTGTTCAAAGATTATTCATTAAATAGCTCAGTATTAGTTTGAGTCCATAAAGTTAAAAAGAATCTTATATAGTATGTTTAAGCTGGCACTACAGTATGTCATAATCCTATTTTCACTGAGTATATGTTCTATGTTGGCATTTACTTTTTCTCAGCACTTTAAAAATATGATTCGTTGTCTTCTGATTGAGAAGTCAGCTGTCAGCTTTAATAATGTTCCTCTTTTGAAGGTAATCTACCCTTTTTTTTATATGACTGCTTTTAAGACTTTTCTCTTTGCCTTTGTCTTTTAGGAGTTTTACTATAATGTGTCTGTGTTTGATTTCCTTTGTGTTTATTTTATTTTGAGTTTGAAAGACTTCTTGAATTTGTGGATTGGTGTCTTTCATCAGTTCTGAAACATTTGCAGATGTTATGTCTTTCGATATTGCTTCTGCACCATTTCCTCTCTGTATGTCTTCAGGGACTCTTCAGAAGTCAACTCACCTCTCTGAGACATTGAGCAATTAGTCTTTTATAGATCAGGCTTATGGTTTCCTTAGTAAGAAAATTTCCTCAAATGCTTGGTAAGTTTTTGGTCTATTTGCTTCCAATCAATTCCATTTATGAGTCCCACCCCTAAAGATCTCTTCCAGATATAATTCTTAAGCATTTAGATTTTTATTTTTTCTTTTTGTTATGGGAAATTTCAAACTGTCCAAAAGCAGGGAGAATGTATAATGAACCTTCTTATGTTCAATGATTGTCAATATATGTCAGTCTCATTTCATCTATATACTCCTGCTTTCCCTTATGATTGGATTATTTTAAAACAAATTTCAGACATAGTATTTAACCTGTAAACACTTCAGTATGTATCTCCAAGAGATAACTACTACTAAAAACATAATTACAATATCATTACAATACCCCCCCAATACTAAAAATATTTTCTCTTAATTTTTTTTGAGACAGGGTCTTGCTCCATTCCCCAGGCTGGGGTGCTGTGGCATGATCACGGCTCGCTGCAGCCTCCACCTCCTCGATTCAAGTGATTCTCCCACTTCAGCCTCCCAAGTAGCTGGAATTACAGGCGTATGCTGCCATGCCTGGCTAATTTATTCTTCTTCTTTTTTTTTTTTTTTGTGGACATGGGGTCTTGCTATGTTGCTTAGGCTGGTCACGAATTCTTGGGTTCAAGCAATCTTCCCACCTTGGCCTCCCAAAGTGTTGGGATTACAGGCATGAGCCACTGCACCTGGCCTGTACTTTCTTAATATCGCCAAGTATTTAGTCAGTGTTCAAATTTGTCCAATTGTCTCATAATTTTAAAACATTTTCAATCAGGATCAAAACAAAGCCCATATATTTCATTCAACTAATACACCTCCCCTTCTTTTTTTCTTTGTGATTTTTAAATAGCTTTATTTAGAGAAAATCCATGTATCATATAATCCATCCATTTAAAGGTTACAATTTGATGGCTTTTAGTATATTCACAGAGTTGTCCAACTATTGCCATTATCTAATTCTAGAACATTTCATCATCCCAAAAAAGAAAGCCCATGCCAGTTGGCAGCCCCAGCAACCACTCAGTTTCTTCTTTTTCTACAGATTTGCCTATTATGGTTATTTCATATAAATGAAATCATACAATATGTGGGCTTCTGTGTCTGGCTTCTTTCACTTAGCATAATGTTTTAAAGGTTCATCCATATTGTAGCATGGATCATTATTTAATTTCTTGCAGTTATTTTTTGGAGAAACCAGGTCATTTTCTCCTATAGCTTTTCCACATTCTGAATTCTGCTGACTGCATCCATGTGGGGTTTCTTAATGTATTCCTCTGTTCCCTGTTTATCCTGTAAACTAGTATTTAGAACTAGAAGCTCAATCAAATTTAAATCTCACTCTTTGGCAAGACAACTTTACAGATGGTGCAGTGAGCTTCCATAAGGTGTCTGTAAGCCATTGATAGTTCCTGTGATCACTCCATATTTATAGCAGCTATTTGAGACCATTGGAAACAACAATCTTGAATGGAACAATAATATATGAAATCAGATTTTTGCTTCTGGTCTGATTCTCCTTTTCCGGCCACAAAATCTTAATGTCAATTCTCAAAAAGGCTTGGAGGCTCTCTCTTGTTGTTTAGTAACCTTGTCAATCTGTAAGACTCCAAGCCTCTAGACTCACAATACATTTAGATGTTAGGCTAAAGAAAGAAAATGCCTCTTTCCTTTGCTGAATTTTACTTCTGTCCATTTTTGTTTGTGAACTGGTCAATTCTTGCCTGGGAGCATTTCTGACTTACGATTTTTTAAAAGCAGCAGGAAGTAGCCAGAATACATCAATATCCTGCCTTTTAAAAACCATTCACCCACAGACATATAGATCAATGGAATAGAATTGAGATTCCAGAAATGAACTCTCACATTCATGGTCAATTGATTTTCAACAAGAGTGCCAAGATCATTTAATGGGGGAAGGAGTAGTCTTTTTAACTAATGGTGCTGGGATAATTGGATATCAACAAGCAAAAGAATAAAGCTGGAACCCTACCTCACACCATATACAAAAATTAACTCAAAACAAATCAAAGACCTAATTGTAACAGCTAAAAATATACAATCTTAGAAGAAAACATAGAGTAGGTCTTGATGATCTTAAACTAGGCAATGGTTTCTTAAATATGTCATGAAAGGCATAAACTACTACAGAAAAAAATAGATAAATGGGACATCATCAAATTGTAAAACTTTCACACTTTGAAGGGTACCATCAAGAAAGTAAAAAGACAACAAACTGAATAGGATAAAATATTTGTAAATTATATATATAGTAAGAGTCTAGCATCCAAGAAATATGTATATATATTATATAACTCTTGCAACTCAACAACAACAAAATATAAACAATCCCAATTTAAAATGGGAAAATAATTTGAATAGACATTACTTCGAAGAAGATATACAAATGATCAAGAAGTGCATGAAAAGAAGGCAACATCATTAGTCATTAGGAAAATGCAAATCAAAATCACAATGAGATACTTTATACCCACTATGACGGCTTTAATAAAAATGACAGACAACAACAAGTCTTGGAAAAGATGTGGAAAAAATTATAATTCTCTTGCATTGCTGGTGGGGAATGTAAAATGGCATAGCAACTTTGGAAACCAACTTGGCAGCTCTTCAAAAGTTAAACATAGAGTTACCATATGGCCCAGCAATTCCACTCCTAGATATATACCCAAGAACATATGTTCACACAAAAACTCATACATGAATGTTTAGGGCAGTATTATTTATAAGATTCCCAAAATAGAAATAACCTAAATGTCTCCCAACTGATGAATAGATAAATAAATTTTAGGATATCCATACAATGGAATGTTATCCGGCCATAATAAAAGAATGAAATTTGAATGCATGATACAACATGGATGAACCCATAAAACATTATGCTCAGTGAAAGAAGCCAGACACAAAAGGCCACATAATGTATGATTCTATCTTTATAAAATATCCAGAATAGGCAAATCTACATAGACAGAAAGTAGGTTAGAGGTTGCCAAGGCCTGGGGGTAGAAGAGAATGGAGAGTGATTACTAACGGGTATGGGGTTTCTTTTTAGGGCAATGAAAAAGGTCAAGCATTAGATTGTGGTGATGGTTGCACAACTTTGTGAATATATAAAATACACTAAATTGTATACTTTAAAAGAGGTGAATTTTGTAGTAGATGAATGATATCTCAATTTAAAAATTATAACAACAAATTATTCCCTAAGTAACGATTACAGAGTTCTGTTTGGGGTGATTAAAAGTTCTAGAAATAGATAGTGGTGATGGTTTCACAACATTGTGAATGCAATTAATACCACTTAATTGCACACTTAAAAGTGGTTAAAATAGCAACTTTTATGTTATATATATTTTACTACAATAAAAAATCCTATTTTTTAACAGCTCCCTAAACCATAGATTTCATAAGTATGTGGACTCTCTTCCATGTTATTGCAGATGATTTTTCTACCAAATGATTTTACACAGCCCCATAGGGGTCATTGGCCACAAGGTTTGCAAAATCTGTTTGTTTGTTCGTTTGTTTGTTTTTTTGTTTGTTTGGTGGTTTTTTTTTTTTTTTTTTGAGATGGAGTCTCACTCTGTCGCCCAGGCTGCAGTGCAATGGTGCGATCTGGGCTCACTGCAACCTCTGCCTGCCGGGTTCAAGCAATTCTCCCACCTCAGTCAACTGAGTAGCTGGGATTACAGGCACCTGTCATCATGCCTGGCTAATTTTTGTATTTTTGTAGAGATGGAGTTTCACCATGTTGCCCAGGCTGGTCTTGAACTCCTGACCTCAGGTGATCTGCCCACCTCAGCCTCCCAAAGTGCTGGGATTACAGGTGTGAGCCACCATGACCAGCCAAAAATCTGTATTTTAAATTACTTGTTGCCTGATTGTTAAGCCAATGTCACATATTTTAGGGTTTTGTTACTGCAGTGCCACTACCAGGTGCCAAGTTATGTGTTAGTCAGGGTACAGGCTAAGCTATGAATACCAAAAAACCTCAAAATACAATGACCCATGATTCTGGATATGATGAAATTGTTTATGAAAGACCAATAGTGCTGCTAGGAGTAATTTGAAATGCCAATTAAAAATGTAAAAAGCAGCAATGATTATTTCAAAGCATTGGTGAGCTGCTAAGGCAACTAGGAGTCAAGAGAACAAAATCTCAAATATGGGGGAACAGTATAGAGAGCTGAGCTGAGCCAACATTTTGCAGTTTCTGTCTCCAGGGCATTTGATGCTTCTGGGTATGGGGAAGGAGACTGAAGATCTGGGCAAAAGAGTTGGGCAGAAGAATCCTTCTCAGACACCCAAAGAGCAGGAAGGACAAAATTAGACTTGAAGGACTAGGACCTGGGGAAAGGAGAAGTTAAAAAGAGCCTAATGATTTTCTGGTTCCTGTTTGAGGACATTGCAGAACTCTGAAGCTACATGGGGTAGAGTCTAAGAAGCCAGGAAGAAAGCCTCTGAAAAGCAGAATAGAGTTTCAGCAGACTTGCAATGCTGAAGAGACAAGAAGAGTTCAAGAGCTGCCAGGATCATGGACCCCCAGGTTATAACCCAGGCTCCAGGTTGAAAATCCATGAGCAAGTGCAAACTAGATATGCATGGTGCCTTTCCAAAATGGCAACCCAGTCTAGATTCAGCCCAGTTTTTGACTGAATTAAAGTGATGAGCACCACTCTATCTGCATAAAGATAATTTCCTCTCTGGGGCAGTATGTACAATTTTTCATGTACAATGCCTGACATTCAATAGCTAGACATGCTAGAGGCGAGACCAAATGACTGAAAAGCAAGAGAAAAAACAGATAGTATACATAGACCCATGGATAATCTTAATATTGGAGTTACCAGACAAGGATCTTACATAGCTAGAATTAATATGCTCAAGACAAAAGAAAAAAACATGCAGGGATTATATGAAAGGATGGGTAATTTTACCAGAGAAAGGGCAATTCTAGAGTAGAAAAGTACCATAACTGAAATTAAGAATTCAGTAAGTGGAACACTTATATACTGTTGGTGGGAGTGTAAATTAGTACAATCTCTATAGAAAACAGAAAACAGTATGGAGATTTCTCAAAAAACTAAAAATAGAACTACCATTCGACCCTGCAATTCCACTATGGGGTATATACCCAAAGGAAAATAAATCATTACATCAAAGAGGCAAAGATAGCTGGGCATGGTGGCCTCATGCCTATAATCCCAACACTTTGGGAGGCCCCAACACTTGATCACCTGAGGTCAGGGGTTCAAGACCAGCCTGGCCAACATGGAGAAATCCTGTCTCTACTAAAAATACAAAAAGATTAGCTGGGCATGGTTGCATGTGCCTGTAATCCCAGCTACTCAGGAGGCTGACACACAAGAATTACTTGAACACAGGAGGCAGAGGTTGCAGTGAGCAGAGATTGCACTACTGCACTCCAGCCTGGGCAACAGAGCAAGACTCCATCTCAAAAAAAAGAAAAAAGATACCTGCACTTGTATGTTTACAGCAGCACTATCCACAATAGCAAAGATATGAAATCAACCTAAGTGTCCAGCAATGGATGACTGGATAAAGAAAATTATATATGCGTGTGTGTGTGTGTGTGTGGTGTGTATGTGTGCACACACACAATGGAATACCACTCAGCCATAAAAAGGAATGAAATCATGTATTTTGCAGCAGCATGGATGGAACTAGAGGCCATTTTCTTAAGTGGAACAACTCAGAAACAGAAAGTCAAATACCCCGTGTTCTCACTTATAAGTGGAAGCTAAATAATGTGTATACACAGATAGAGTGTGAAATAATAGACTGGGAAGAGTGGGAGGGTGGTAGGGGGCGAGGGATGAGAAATGACTTAATGGATACGAAGTACACCATTCAGGTAATGATTACACCAAAAACCCAGATGTCACCACTATGCAATATATCCATGTAACAAAACTGCACTTGCACCCCTTAAATTTATACAAATAATAATAACAAGGAATTCAGTCAATGTGCTTTAACAACAGATTAGACACAGCAGAAGGCAGGATGAATGAGCTGGAAGTCAGGCCACTAGAAAATATCTAGACTGAGGCACAGAGAAAATAAAAGAAGAAAAATATAAAAGAGAGTTTAAGACAGTGAAAATAGCTAATGAAAGACTGTGGCTTAACTAAGATGAACTTTTTTCTCTCTCTCTCTCTCCCTCTATCCAAAGGTAGGTGGCTGGTCTGGGGCAGGCAGACACTTTTGCTTCATGAGGGTGTTCAGGCTTGTGAATTGGCTTTGATATCTTTAAGAAATGGCTTCTCTCTTTAGTTATGTTCCTGCTGTAGTTGTTCCCCAGCCAGGAAGGAGAAAGGAAGACAGTCAAGGGCCAGCATCTTTATTTATAGGAACTGACCAGAAGCTGTACACATCACTTGAGCTCATAAGGGCTTGAACTTAGGTGCATGAGCTTACTTAGTTATCAGGAAGGCTGGCAGGTGTTTTGTTTCTTTTTTTCTTTCTCTGTCTCTCTCTCTCTTTCTTTCTTTCTTAGAGATGGGGTCTTGCTACACTGCCAAGGCTGGTCTCGAACTCCTGGGCTCAAGCAATCCTCCCACCTTGGCCACCCAAAGTGCTGGGATTACAGGCATGAGCCACCATGACCAGCCCAGATGTTGTTTCTAATTGGGCAGCCACAATCATCTTATTACTAAAGGGAGGAATGGGAGAATGAATTTTAATAAAAAGAAAGTGTTTCTGCTACTTGGATTACTATGCAGGAGTTAGACACACAGGGCTTTGTAGAGCACAGTAATAAGTGTAGACTAGAGCCAGGGAAGGAGGAACTGCGAGTGCCATCAAAAGAGACATGATTTCCCAGACTAGAAGCCTGCTCCTTGGGACCCACACTGGGTGAGGTTTCCTATTCCCATATTTAGTGCGAGTGGTGAGATCCCAGATGTGGTGAGCCTGTGGTATGGAGGCCCTTGACTCCAGTGACCCTGATGTGAGCTCCTGTGAGTCCCACTGGGTCTTTTGCAGACCCAATCAATGGTGCTTCTTTGTGATGGGGGCTTCTTTGTCATCCACAAGGACCCAGGGAAGACTGAGGCTGAGGACTGCCGGAGCTACACTGGGAAGGGTCTCAGGCACGCTCTTCACCTTCTTAGAGGCCTCTTCTCCTAACAATGTCTCCCCTCTGGACTGTCTTAAGTCAGCTCAGAGTGCCGTAAGACAATACCACAGACTGGGTGGCTTAAACAACAGAATTCTGTTTTCTCACAGTTCTGGAGGCTGCAAATGTGAGATCAGGGTGCCAGCATGTTCAGGTTCTGAGGAGGGCTGTCTTCTTGGTTTGCAGACAGCCACCTTCTCACTATGTCCTCACATGGTCAGGGAGACAGCTTTCTCTTCTCTTTTTAAAAAAAATATTTTTTATTTTTTTAGAAGTGGGGTCTCACTCTGTTGCCCAGGCTGGTCTCGAACTCCTGGGCTCAAGTGATCCTCCAGCCTCAGCCTGCCAAAGTGCTGGGGTTACAGGCATGAACCACTGCACCTGGCCCTTTCTCTTCTTATAAGGTCATAGTCCTATCAGATTAGGATCCTACCTTGTGACTTTATTTAACCTAATTACCTCCTAAAGACTCTTATCTCCAGATACAGTCGTATTGGGGGTTGGGGCTTCAACATATGAATTTTGGGGATAAGGGGACACAATTCAGTCCATAGCATAAGACCTCTGTTCCCTGCCTGCAGCAATTTCTGGCCTCTTGTTTCCAGGTGGTTAAACTGATGCTGGGGAGCAAAACCTTTAAGGACCCTTTTGGCCGTGCCCTGGTGTATTAGACCATTTTCTTTTCTTTTCCTTTCTTTTTTTTTTTTTTTTTTGAGATGGAGTCTCTCTCTGTTGCCCAGGCTGGAGTGCAATGGCATGATGTCAGCTCACTGCAACCTCCGCCTCCTGGGTTCAAGTGATTCTCCTGCCTCAGCCTCCCAAGTAACTGGGATTACAGGTGTGTGCCACCAGGCCCAGCTAATTTTTGTATTTTTAGTAGAGACAGGGTTTCACCATATTGACCAGGCTGATCTCGAACTTCTGACCTCATGATCCACCCACCTCAGCCTCCCCTGCTGGGATTACAGGCGTGAGCCACTGCGCCTGGCCTATTAGTCCGTTTTCACACTGCTGTGAAGAACTGCCTGAGACTGGGTAATTTATAAAGGAAAGAGGTGTAATTGACTCACAGTTCCACATGGCTAGGGAGGCCTCAGGAAACTTACAATCATGGCTGAAGGCAAAGGGGAAGCAAGGCACCTTCTTCACAAAGCGGCAGGAAGGAGAAGTGCCCAGTAAAGGGGAAAGAGCCCCTTACAAAACCATTAGATCTCACTCACTATCATGAGAATAGCATAGGGGAAACCACCCCCATGATTCAATTATCTCCATCTGTCTCTCCCTTGACTCATGGGGATTATGGCGATTACAATTCAAGATGAGATTTGGGTGGGGACATGAAGCCTAATCATATCACCTGGGGAGGTGTCCATGAAAACTGCTGGCACCTCAGAACTATTTATTTCTGCTTTCAGGTAACAAGGAAGACTTTGGGACCCTGAGGAGTATGGCTGCAGCAGTCTTAAGCTTTGGACAGGGGCTTAGAGTGGTGGCTCATGCCTGTCATCCAAGCACTTTGGAAGGCCCAGGTGAATGGAGCCCAGGAGTTTGAGACCAGCCTGGGCAATATGTTGAGACCTAGTCTCTAAAAAAATGCAAAAATTAGCTGGGTATGGTGGCATGCACCTGTAGTCCCAGCTACTTGAGAGGCTGAGACAGGAGGCTCCCTTGAGCCTGGGAGATTGAGGCTGCAGCTACTGCACTCCAGCCTGGGGAACTGAGTGAGGTCCTGTCTCTTAACACAAACAAACAAAAACCTTTGGACAGCAAAAGCCCATCTCCTCTTCTCCTCAGGCACATGGCTGCCTGGCTGGGGACTACATTTCCCAGCCTCCCTTGAGGTTGGCTGCAGCCACATGACTGGGTCCTCCCCAGTGGCTTGCAGTTGGACATGACTTGCGCAATTTCCACTTTACCTGCTTTCAAGGAAATGTCTTGCTCTGAACTTTCTCTTTTTTCCCTTTCACCAAGTCACTCAGAGGTGGCACATTCAATTATGCAAATGCTGACAGAGCATGAGGTCAGTGGCTCTCAAAGTGGGCATCAGAATTCCCTGGAGAGTTTGTTAGGGCACAGTTTTCTGGGTCCTGCCCCCGGAGCTTCCGACTTAGTAGGTCTTGGGGGAACCTGGGAATGTGCATTTCCTATGAATTGCCAGAGGCTGCTGCTGGTCTCGGGACTACACTTTAAGCAACAATCCGAAAGAATCTGGGTTCCTGAATGATGGCCACACGCACAGCCTCACAAGGTCATTCACCCCGGAGCTACTATGGGAAAGAGAATTCAATTTGTTTTTATTGTTTAAGCTACACTATTGTCTTACAATAAGATGGCCAGTGAATTTTTGTTTCTCCTTTAGCCAGTTTGACTTAGATTTCTGTTGCTTGCAACTGAAAATGCCCTGATCATCATATGTAACATTGACTGCTTTTGATTTACTCATTCAGTAACTATTTATTGAAAATCCCACGCTGAGTGCTTTTTATTTATTTTTACTGTTTTTAATTATTTTTTTTTTATGAGATGGAGCCTAGGCTGGAGTGCAGTGGCTTGATTTCGGATCATTGCAACCTCCGCTTCCCGGGTTCAAGCAATTCTCATGCCTTAGCCTCCTGAGTAGCTGGGATTACAGGCATGCGCCACCATGCCTGGCTAATTTTTTTTTTTTTTGGATTTTTAGTAGAGACGGGGTTTTGCCATGTTGGCCAGGCTGGTCTTGAACTCCTGATCTCAGGTTATCTGCTCTCTTCTGCCTCCCAAACTGCTGGGATTATAGGCATGAGCCACCGCGCCCAGCCCCAGGTGCTTTTGAAAGCACTGGGCATACAGCAGTGAGTGAAGCAGTGAGTGAGTAAAAAGTTCCTGTCCTGTCCTTTCAGAGATTCTGATCTTTGTGTAAGGCAGCACACAATGAAGTATTTTAAAGACAAAATATCAGCAAATTCTCAAAGCAACTTTGAGAAGCAGACATCATTTTGAAATCCCATTCTACAGATAAGTGCGCTGAGGCTGCAGTAGCAAAGCTGGAGTTTGAACCTAGATCTGTGCGAGTCCAAAGGCTAAATTCTCTCTCTCTCTCTCTTTTTTTTTTTTTTTTTTTTGAGACAGAGTCTTGCTCTGTTGCCCAGGCTGGAGTACAGTAGTGCGATCTCAGTTCACTGCCACCTCTGCCTCCTGGGTTCAAGCGATTCTCCTCCCTCAGCCTCCTGAGTAGCTGGGATTACAGGTGCCTGCCACCATGCCCAGCTGATTTTTGTATTTTTAGCAGAGATGGGGTTTCACCATGTTGGCTAGGTTGGTCTTGAACTCCTGACCTCAAGTGAGCCTGCCTCGGCCTCCCAAAGTGCTGGGATTATAGGCACGAGCCACCACACATGACTCAAAGGCTAAACTCTTGAGAGTGGGCCATGCTGCCCCAAGAAGCTCCACTGGATTTATTTGAAGGTCCTTGCCAAATCAGTTGGGGAAAAAAAGGCAGATTCAGCCCATGGATCCTTAAGTACCACTCGAAGAGTGGCATGCTTTTCCCAAATGTCACCTTTTGTCTTTAAGGCAAAGGTGGTGCCAGATCTTCAGCTCTCATGTCTCCTGCACAAACTCTCCCAGGCGTGAGAAGAGACTCCACTCTGCAGAAACTCTGTCTCTAAGGGGGAAGTGACAGTCAGAGAAGGGAACAGGGATATTACTGAGGCCAGAAGGCCCCTCTCCCCTCAGTGAGGCCCACGCTCGTGCCCAAAGCCTGTCTGTCTTCCTAAATAATGCAGTGTGGAAGAGTAGAGGCTTTGCAGCCAAGCAGACAGGATTTCATAACCCTGGTTCCAGTACTTCCCAGTGTGTGATCTTGGACCATCAACTGGGCCTCTGAACCTCAATCTCCTCCTCTATAAAAGTGGCACAATGGCCGCAGGCGGTGGCTCACGCCTGTAATCCCAGCATTTTGGGAGGCCGAGGTGGGCGGATCACTTGAGGTCAGGAGTTTGAGACCAGCCTGGCCAACGTGGCGAAACACTGTCTCTACTAAAAATACAAAAATTAGCCGGGCGTGGTGGTGGGCACCTGTAATCTCAGCTATTCAGGAGGCTGAGGCAGGAGAATCACTTGAACCCAGGAGGCGGAGGTTGCAGTGAGCCGAGATAGTGCCATTGCACTCCAGCCTGGGCAACAAGAGCAGAACTCTATCTCAAATAAAACCCAGAAAACCAAAAAAAAAAAAAAAAAAAAAAACCCAAAACAAAACAAAAAGAAAAAACAAAAACAACAACAACAAAAAATGGCACAGTAATAGCTTAATTCCCAAGCTTGTTCAGGATTTTGTGGGTCAGGAATGTGAAAAGGGTTTGACTGGATGTTCATTTCTGTTCCACGTGGCATCATGTGATGAGGGCTGGAGGACCCACCTCCAAGATGGCTTCTTCACTCCCATGTCTGGAAGCTTCAATTCTCCTGGGCCTTCTCACAGCTCCATGCTCTTAGGGGAGCTGCAATTCTTTTTTTATTATTTATTTATTTATTTATTTGAGACGGAGTTTCGCTCTGTCGCCTAGGCTGGAGTGCAGTGGCCGCGATCTGGGCTCACTGAAAGCTCCACCTCCTGGGTTCACACCATTCTCTTGCCTCAGTCTCCCGAGTAGCTGGGACTGCAGGCGCCTGCCACCACGCCCGGCTAATTTTTGTATTTTTAGTAGAGACGGGGTTTCACCGTGTTAGCCAGGATGGTCACGATCTCCTGACCTCGTGATCCGCCGCCTTGGCCTCCCAAAGTGCTGGGATTACAGGCGTGAGCCACCGCGCCCGGCTGGGGAGTTGCAATTCTTACACAGTAGCCTGGGAGCCAAAGAGATCACGACGGAATCTGCTGGTTCCCTTAAAATGTAGATCCAGGCCTGGCGGTGTCACTTGTTTGTTTGTTTGTTTGTTTGTTTAGACAGGGTCTCGTTCTGTCACCCAGGCTGGAGTGCAGCGGCGCCATCATAGCTCACCGCAGCCTCTACCTCCTAGGCTCAAGGGATCCTCTTGCCTCAGCCTCCCGAGTAGCTGGGACTACAGGTGCGGGCCACCACGCCAGCCTATTTTTAAAAGTTATATTTTTGGCCGGGAGTGGTGGCTCACGCCTGTAATCCCAACAGTTTGGGAGGCGGAGGTGGGTGGAAGTCGGGAGTTCAAGACCAGCCTGACCAACATGGATATACCCTGTCTCTACTAAAAATACAAAATTAGCCACGTGCGGTGGCGGACCCCTGTCATTCCAGCTACTCGGGAGGCTGAGGCAGGAGAATCGCTTGAACCCAGGAGGCGGAGTCTGTGGTGAGCCGAGATCACGCCATTGCACTCCAGCCTGGGCGACAAGAGCGAAACTCCGTCTCACAACAAAACAAAAAAGTTATTTTTAGTAGAGTTGGGGTCTTTCTGTGTTGCCCAGGTTGGTCTTGCAGTCTTGGGATCAAGCGATCCGCCCACCTCTGCTTCTCGGTGTTGGAATTACAGGCGTGAGCCGCCATGCCCAGCACAGTGTCACATCTGTCATATTCTATGGGTCAAAGCAGTCAAGGGTTCTTTCTCAATCAGACTAAGACCAACAGGAACAAGCTTATTGTATTAATTTGCTAGGGCAGCCTTAACAGACAAGAAGGGAGGTGAGTCGCCTTTTAGTTTAAGTAGATACGGTCATGCTATTCTCTAATTGGCCACCAGATGGCGCGCTGGACTTACTATTAGTACAGTTTGTAATTGCCCTTCCGAGAGTGGCCACCGCCACTCAAGCGACTGGACACTGGACTAAGTGCTTCTGTTAATTTGGATAAGACAAGACTCTCACTTTCTTTGATAAAATATAAATCTAGAAGAGCCCTAGGCTTTTATTGCATCATGATCATGGAAGGAGAGAAATGATCCTTTTCTGATTTGCCAGAGAAAACCAACCAGTATTTATTCTTTAGGAAATACAGAGATGCTATTTAACCTCCTGGTCACCATAGCAACAAATAATCAAGGAAGACAACCAATCAGAATGCAGGTTTCTTTGGGAGGTTCTTTTTTTTTTTTTTCAGATATTGCAACAATTTCTAAAAAAATCTTAGACTCTTTTGTTCAAATTATCCTTTCAAGGAAAGACACAAATGAACAGAGTTAACAAATGAGGCTGGTAACAGGAAAATTAACTGGAGCTCCTGGCTGCACGGGAGAACAGAATGAATGTTTAGGGTATGTTCTCAATGTGCCACTCTATTAAAATTGATTTTTTTTTTTTTTTTTTTTTTTTTTGTAGACAGAGTCTTGCTCTGTCACCCAGGCTGGAGTGCAGTGGCGTGATCTCGGTTCAATGCAAACTTCGCCTCCCAGGTTCAAGCGATTTTCCTGCCTCAGCCTCCCGAGTAGCAGGGATGATAGGTGCCTGCCACCACGCCCGGCTAATTTTTTTGTATTTTTAGTAGGGATGGAGTTTCACCATGTTGGCCAGGCTGGTCTCAAACTCCTGACTTCAAGTGATCCGCCCTCCTCGGCCTCCTAAAGTGAAAAAACTAATTATTTAGAGCAATTTCATGATGCAGAATAGAACCCCTTCCTATACAGCTGCAAGAGAGAACGGGCTTTTTTTTTTTTATGTTTGAAAGCACTGACTTTGCTAAGCGTGGTGGCTCATGCCTGTAATCCCAACACTGGGAATCTGAGATGGGAGGACCACTTAAGCCCAGGAGGCCAAGGCTGCAGTGAGCTATGTTTGCACCACTGCACTCCAGCCTGGGCAATGGAGTGAGACCCTGTCTCAAAAAAATGCAATAATTAAATATAATAAACACTTGAAACAAACTTTATAGGAACCACAGTCTCAAGATGAAGAGTTACATTCCAGAAAGAATCCACACAAGACCACTGGGCTTAACATTCTGTCTTATAGGCAAGCTTTTTGCTTACAATTCACCCAGGAAATAAACATGATATATATAGATCCAATGTCCATTCTTTGTTTTTATTTGTTTTTTTTTGTTTGTTTGTTTTTTGGAGACTGAGTCTCACTCTTGTCACCCAGGCTGGAGTGCAATGGTGAGATCTCAGCTCCCTGCAACCTCTGCCTCCCGGAGTCAAGCGATTCTCCTGCCTCAGCCTCCCGAGTAGCTGGGATTACAGGCTCCTGCCACCACGTCCGGCTAAATTTCATATTTTTAGTGGAGACGGGGTTTCACCATGTTGGCCAGGCTGGTCTCAAACTCCTGACCTCAGATGATCCGCCCGCCTCAGCCTCCCAAAGTGCTGGGATTACAGGCGTGAGCCACCGCGCCCGGCCTCATTTTTTCATTCATTCAGTTTACATTTACTGAGCATCTCCTCAGTGCCAGTATAATTCAGGAACATAGAAGTGAACAATTCGAACATAGGTTTCTGCTCATATGGACCTTACCATCTTGTAACCTAATTAGAACCTTCCCTTGCCTGCCTGGGAAACACCTGTGCCCACAGTCCCTCCAGTCCCGAGTTTCCCATTGTGACAAATTTAATTGTGTTCCCTCCAAATTCCTGTGTTGAAGTCCTAACCTCCAGTACTTCAGAATATAACTATACTTGGAGAAAGGGCGTTTAGAGAGGCAATTAAGTTAAAATGAGGTCTTTAGAGTGGGCACCAACCCAACATGGCAGATGTCCTCATAAGAAGAGGAAATTTAGGCCGGGCGCAGTGGCTCACGCCTGTAATCCCAGCACTTTGGGAGGCTGAGGCAGGTGGATCACCTGAGCCCAGGAGTTCGAGACCAGGCTGGCCACCATGGCAAAACCCCGTCTCTACTAAAAATACAAAAATTAGCCAGGCGTGGTGGTGGGCGACTGTAGTCCCAGCTACTTGGGAGGATGAGGCAGGAGAATCGCTTGAACCCAGGAGGTGGAGGCTGCAGTGAGCCGAGATTGCACCACTGCACTCCAGCCTGGGCGACAGAGTGAGACTCTGTCTCAAAAAAAAAAAAAAAAAAAGAGAGAGAAGAGGAAATTTAGACACAGATGGTACAGAGGGAAGACCACGTGAAGACACAGGGAGAAGGCGGCCATCTGCAAGCCAAGGAGAGAGGCTGCAGAAGAAACTAATCCTGCCAACACTGTGATCTCAGATTCTAGCTTCCAAAATTGTGAGTAAATAGATTTCTGTTGTTTAAACCACCCAGTATATGTGCCCTAGCAAACTAATACACCCACCAATATCTTTGGAACTAGCTGCCAACAGCTTCAACTATAGTTTTTGTTGTTTTGCTTTGTTTTGTTTTTTGAGACAGGGTCTTACTCTGTTGCCCAGGCTGGAGTGCAGTGGCGTGATCACGGCTCACTGCAGCCTCAACCTCCTGGGCTCAGGTGATCCTCCCACCTCAGCCTCTCAAGTAGCTAAGAGTACCTGTGTGTTAATTTTTTTTTCTTTTATTTGTAGAGATGGGGTTTCACCATGTTTCCCAGGCTGTTCTCAAACTCCTGGCCTCAAGTGATCCACCCGCCTTGGCCACCCAAAGTAGTGCTGGGGTTATAGAGGTGACCGACTGTGCCCAGCCTTAAACCATAGTTTTAACGAAGCCAGAATCTAAGTATCTGAAACTTGTTTTAAAAAATTTTCTGGCCAGGCGCTGTGGGTCATGCCTGTAATCCTATCACTTTGGGAGGCCAAGGCAGGCGGATCACCTGAGGTCAGGAGTTTGAGACCAGCCTGGCCAACATGACAAAACCCTGTCTCTACTAAAAAATACAAAAATTATCCGGGTGTAGTGGCGTGCACCTGTAATCCCAGCTACTCAGAAGGCTGAGACAGGAGAATTGCTTGAATCTGGGAGGCAGAGGTTGCAGTGAGCCAAGATCAAGCCACTGCACTCCAGCTTTCTCAAATAATAATAATAAGTAAATAAAATAATAAATAAAGAAAATTTCCACCAGTAGATGAGTAACTTATCCCCATGCATACACACAATTTTCTGTTAACTTTTCCACAGATGGGAAGTGCATGTATCTTTTTTTTTTTTTTTTTTTGAGACGGAGTCTCGCTGTCGCCCAGGCTGGAGTACAGTGGCGATCTCGCCTCACTGAAAGCTCTGCCCCCCGGGTTCACGCCATTCTCCTGCTTCAGCCTCCCAAGTAGCTGGGACTACAGGTGCCCGCCACCATGCCCGGATAATTTTTTTTTTTTTAGTAGAGACGGGGTTTCACGGTGTTCGCCAGGATGGTCTCGATCTCCTGACCTCATGATCCACCCACCTCAGCCTCCCAAAGTGCTGGGATTACAGGCGTGAGCCACCACACCCGGCTGTGCATGTATCTTATACTCCTGGGAAGTGCTTCCCAAAAGGCTTCTGGGTTTCTGTTTCCTGCCCAAATCACAGATCTATATATATTTGATTCCCTCAGCTAAATCTTTTGACACAAGAAACCCATTTTAGGTCCTTCAACTTCCATCAAATGCTACAGTGTGGTTAAGGGTGCAGTCTTAGTTTCCACAGCTGTAGAACTGGGTACTGATATGATCTGGTGGTGTCCCCACCCAAATCTCAGCTCGAATTGTAGCTCCCATAATTCCCTCATGTTGTGGCAGGGACCCAGTGGGAGATAGTGGAATCATGGGGGCGGTTTCCCCCATGCTGTTCTCATGGTAGTGAATAAGTCTCACGAGATCTAATGGTTTTATAAGGGAAAACCCCTTTTCCCTGGCTCTCACTCTCTTGTCTGCCATCATGTGAGACGTGACTTTTACCTTCTACCATCATTGTAAGGCCTCTCCAGCCACGTGGAACTGTGAGTCCATTAAAACTCTTTCTTTTGTAAATTGCCCAGTCTTGGGTATATCTTTATCACCAGTGTGAAAACAGACTAATACAGGTACTATTGATGTCAATCTTACAGAGTTGTTGTGAAGATTGAATGACATAATAATAGCAGCTTATTGTTACTATGTTCTAGATATTATTTGTTTCAGCTCTTTATTGCTGCATAACAAACTACCCCAGAATGTTGTGGTTTAAACAATAATTATTGACCAGGTGCAGTGGCTCACGCCTGTAATCTTAGTAATTTGGGAGGCTGAGGCAGGTGGATCACTTGAGCCCAGGAGTTCAAGACCAGCTTGGGCAACATGGTGAAACCCTGTCTCTACAAAAAAGTACAGAAAAATTATCCAGGTGTGGTGATGCACACCTGTAGTCCTAGCTACCTGGGAGATTGATGTGGGAGGATCGCTTGAGTCCAGGCGGTCGAGGCTGCAGTGAGCCATGGTCGCACCACTGCACTCCAGCCTTGGTGACAGAGTGAGACCTTATCTAAAAAAAAAAAAAACCCAATAATTATTTTATTGTCTCTTACGATTCTGTGGGTTAACAGGGCTCAACAGGACGGTTTCCCTGCTTCCTGCAATGTTGGTTGGGCTGCAGTCACATGGGGGCTGGAACACCCAAGATGAGCTGGAACACCCAAGATGGGGCACTCACATGCCTGCCAGTTGATGTTGACTATTGGCTGGGATTTCAACTGGGGCTGTCAACTGTAGCAACTACCCATAGCCTCTGCATGTGGCTTGAGCTTCCGCAGCATGGTGGCTGGGTTCTCAGGGACAGTGTCCCAACAGCAAGTGTTCTAAGAGTCAGTAAGCAGAAGCTGCCAGTCTTCTTGAAGTCTACATCCCACATCAGTAACAATGTTACTTCCATCTCATTCTATAAACTCCACCTCTGGATGGGGAGAAGGATAAGGAATTTGTACTCATCTTTAACCCATCATGCTACTCGAGAAACTTTACATGTATTAACTCAACGAATCCTCAATCTCATATTGGCATTACTGTTATTATAATTTTACAGTTGAGGATGCTGGGGTAGAGAGGTCTCCGGTCAGGGCAGTCGTGCTGTTCTGTGATTGTCCAGCAGGGGCGCTCCACACGCAGTCATCAACACACGCAGGATTCCCACAGTGTTCCTACATCCTCATAGCTATGGCTTGTGTTTACATCGCACCAGGGGCATGCTAAATGCTTTGCGTAAAAAATCACGCCTGAAATTCACAAGAATGTCCTGAGGTTGAGTTTTACAGGTGAGGACGTTAAGGCTCAGGGAGTTGAGGCCAAACATAACACGTGGCAGAGTGAGACTCAGACCAGGACCCTCTGGCTCCAAACCTGTGCCCTTGGCCACTTCCCCACAGTGACAACAGCAGCAATAACTGCGTGGCTCACGCCTGTAATCCCGCACTTTGGGAGGCTGAGGCAGGCAGATTGCTTGAGTCCAGGAGTTTGGGGGACCAGCCTGGGTAACGTAGTGAGACCTATGTCTAGACAAAAAGTTAGCCAGGCGTGGTGGCATGAGCCTGTAGTCTCAGCTGCTTGGGAGGCTGAGGTGGGAGGATCACATTAGCCTGGGAGGCAGAGGTTTCAGTGAGCTGAGATTGCACTGCCATACTCCAGCCTGAGCGACAGAGTGATACCCTGTCCCTCCTCTGCAAACAAACAAACAAACACAACAGCTAATTGGTATAGAAGACTCTCTACATACCAGGCACAGGGTGTGTGTGTGTGTGTGTGTGTGTGTGTGTGTGTGTGTGTGTGATAAGTTACAATAACAACCCTATAAAGCACAAAATAGTATCCTTCCCACTTTGCAAATAAACAAATTGAGACCCAGAGAAGTTAAGTATCTATCCAAGGTCACACAGGTGGTAAGCAGTGGATTCAGGATTTGAGTCTAGGAAGCCTGAGTTGGGGAGAGGGGTTGGGGAGAGTCAGATATGAGACAGAAAAGCAAGACTTACTTGTTTATTTATTCATGGATTCAACACATATTCATTGAGTTCTTACAATATGCCAAGCACTGGGGACACAACAATGAACAAAATCTGTCCCCACGGTGGTCACAGTCTGGTGGAGGAGACAAGATCTCATCAGCCACATGGGAAGAGGTGTTGCCTCTGATGGGGGGGCGGGCGATGTGTTAGATTATTTTGTTGTTCCATTCGCTGCCTCCCTGTAGGAGGATATAGGTCCCTGACTGTCGCCATGTGGCTTGGGGTACCCCTGCGGGAGGGGATGCATTCTTACCCCAAAGAGGCAACTTGCGACTTGCATTGGTCTGTGTTGTATGAGTGGCCATGCTGTGAGCCCCTGCAGAAAAGATCCAAACAGGGGGTCTCCCTTCTGCCTGACCCACAGCCACTACTACCAACATGTATGTGAAAATAAACCTTTAGGCTTGGCATGGTGGCTCACACCTGTAATCCCAACACTTTGGGAGGCTGAGGCGGGCAGATCACTTGATGTCGGGAATTTGAGACCAGCTTGGCCAACGTGGTGAAACCTCATCTCTACTTAAAAAAAAAAAAAATTAGCTGGGCGTGGTGGCGTGGGCCTGTAATCCCAGCTACTTGGGAGGCTGAGGCAGGAGGATCGCTTGAATCCGGGAGGCAGAGGTTGCAGTGATCCAAGATGGCGCCACTGCATTCCAGCCTGGGTGACAGAGTGAGACTCCATCTCAAAAAGAAAAAAGAAAGAAAAGAAAAGAAAGAAAAGAAAAAAAAGAAAAGAAACCTTAATCGTTGCAAGGCACTGGGACTTCAGGGGTCTTTGTTACTGAGATAAACACAGTGACAGCCCTCCAAGGTAGGGAGTGAGTTGGGACTACAGTCACAGCAGGTAACTTGTTGTTCATGTAACCTCAGAACCAGCCTAATCCGGTTCAACTTTGTGGAATAAAATGGTGAGTTGCTTTTTCAGTTGCCATGGACCCCCAGGTTGAAGTTCACATATGCTGAGCAGGCCCAGATGAGCCAAACACGAAACCATGGGTGGAACCTAAGTGTTCAGACCAAGGAATGGGACAAGTAAGAAGTGGACACCAGACTGGTCACGGTGGCTTGCGTCTATCATCTCAGCACTTTGGGAGGCTGAGGCGGGAGAATCACTTGTGTCTGCAGTTGAAGACCAGGCCCCGGGGGGCCGTGTGCGCCCTCTTGGCCAGGGGCTTCCTGGACGCCTTGCCCTCAGGCTCCCATGCCTTGCTCTCTGTGTCCTCGAACTCTGCTACTGCTGCCCCTGCAGCTGCCTTTCCCGACTTTATGTCCTCACTGGCAGCCTGGAAAGCTGCGTAGTCCCTTGGTTGCCTTTGGTGTATTTGAATTTCCCACCTCCCCACCCTTTTCCTCTTTCCCTCTTCCCCAGGTGGTGCTCCCGGCTGCAGCAATGCCTGAGCCGCCAGATGCGCACCACCAGCTCCAGGAGCCACTTCGCTCTTTTTGTCCTTTTTGTCTCTTTTAATCCTCGCCCCAGACCCTGAGGAGGCCAGGCTCAGCCTTCTTCCTCCAGGGAGGGGGTTCTGGCTGCGCCAAGGTGAAAATGCACTCCAGAAGGTTCCTGTCATCTCAGGCTTTCCGCGGGACCACAGTGTCCTTGGACAGGACAGACAAGACCTGCGAGAGGGCATCGTTTTTTCTTTCTCATTCCTCCAGCCCAAAGAGTCGATCACAGAAGCAATTTTTTCTTTCTTTCTTTCTTTCTTTCTTTCTTTCTTTCTTTCTTTCTTTCTTTCCTTTCTTTCTTTCCTTCCTTCCTTCCTTCTTTTTTTTTTTTTTTTTTTTGATGGAGTCTTGCTCTGTTGCACAGGCTGGAGTACAGTGGCGCGATCTCGGTTCACTGCAAACTCTGCCTCCCAGGCTGCAGTGATTCTCCTGCCTCGGCCTCCTGAGTAGCTGTGATTACAGGAGCCCACGACCACGCCCAGCTAATTTTTGTATTTTTAGTAGAAACAGGGTTTCACCATGTTGGCCAGGCTGGTCTCAAACTCCTGACCTCAGGTGATCTGCCTTCCTCGGCCTCCCAAAGTGCTGAGATTACAGGCATGAGCCACCGCACCCCGCCTCAGAAGCGATTTTCAACACCTCCTGGCAGCTTTTGGTGTCTGAAGGGCTGGTACAGGCCGCAGTAGTCAGGAACTCAGGGTCCTCCAGCCCCGCTCTGTGACCTGGTGGTTGCACCCGCCCACTTTCTGAAGCTTTACAGCCCTTCAGCATCTCATTCAGGTATGTCTCTGGTGGCCAGAAGAGCCACCATATGGGAGTCACTGCTCCTGCCTTCTTTGATGGTCAAGTGCATCAAATCAGAGGGCTTTCTTCCATCATCTCCTGTTTGGCTTTGTCTGTCCTGGTCATCAGGGCCAAGAACTCCATAGGACCACCTGCCTCGTCTTTGTGGCTTCAGAGGGTCCACTTCTTGTGAACTTGCTCCCTGGCTGCTGCCTGGAGCGCTGTGTACAGCCTGCTGTCATTGTCATCTCTGCTCAAGCCCCCTCATCTGCCTCCTCGATCTTGATGTCCAAGCTCTCCTGGGGAACTTCCTTGGATTCCTTCTTTGCCAAGGGAAATGGACATGTCCCTCGGGCCCTCTTTTAGCTTCCGGCTCGATTTCTGTGACCCCTACTCTTCTTGTTACTATCGCTTGTAGCCCCAGGAGGGGCACCGGCCTTCCCCATGACTGTCCCAACCCCTCAGCCTGGGTCTTTGAAGCGGGAGGGGTGGGCACCTCCCCGGGGGTCCCAGCCACCACGGCCTGCATGGGCCCATCATCCAGCAGCAGGCGTCTCATCTGCCTCAGGAACCTCGTGTCCTGTGCATGGTCCTTCCACAGAACCCTCCAGATCCCATCCTTGCCCAGGACCTCTGTGGGGATGGCAGCGTGATTGACGTCCTCCACAAACTCCACCAGGGCGGCCTGGGCCTTCTTATCCATCAAGCCCTTCATGTGTTGCAGCCCGAACGTGCCCAGGGGCAGGAGGGTCGACTGCAGGACGGCTTCAACATCCACCTGCTCCAGGCCCTCCAGGATCCCGGTGACCAGCAGGGCCCTGTGCGCGTCCATGTCCAGGCCCCTGGCACTAGTCCTGCAAAAGGCTCATGGCCATGGTGCCGCCCACTGGGCACTGATCTTGGGGCAGGAGGGAGCCTGAGATAGGGATGGACTGCAGTGCACGGTGTCAATGACACCCTGGCAAGCCACCCGCAGGGCTTAGAGTCCCAGTTTCAGTGAATGTGGCAATGCTGGAGTGGGGATGAGGGCTCGGGCGTCCTGGATGCCTGCTGGCCAGCTGTTCACAGTGACCTTTCCCCAGGACCCCTCCCCAGAGCTGTCTGAGGATCCGCAGGAGACTATGGATCTGTTCTCCAGGGATGCTCATGGGTCCCTTTGAGAGCAGCGGCTCCCTCTCAGAGCTACCAGATGAGGAAACTCCTCCCGCTCCAGCCACATGGGGACACCCCCCTCCCCGTTGCCCCTTAATCCTGATGGTTCTTCTGTGCCCCATCACCCACCGCAGGAGGCCTGGGCTCTGGGAGGGGCCTGTCTCTCCCTCCTCCATTGGCTACTGCTGTTTCCATGACAACCGTTTTCAGGCTGTTGCAGGGACAGAGCATTTTTTGTTATAAGAAGCCCACTGAAAACGAGACTATGCATGTTGTTTGTTTACTGGGGTCTTTCGTGACTCTGGGAGACAGGCCTCACACAGAGAGCCAGGCTTAGTCAGTGGGACTGGGTGGGCCTCCCTCTGGGGCATCAGGCTCCAGATCTAGGGTAAGTTTGATGTTTAGGACCCAGTGTGGGCCAGGTGAAACAGAGACTGAGTGAAGGTTGTGCGGCGGGCTGGGCCTGATGCAGGGGCACAGATTCTATCCAGGTAAAAAAACTACCACCAGCCGGGCACGGTGGCTCATGCCTGTAATCCCAGCACTTTGGGAGGCCAAGGCAGGCAGATCCAAGCTCAGGAGTTCGAGACCAGTCTGACCAACAGGATGAAACCCCATCTCTACTAAAAATATAAAATCAGCTGGGCGTGGTGGTGGGAGCCTGTAATCCCAGCTACGCAGGAGGCTGAGGCAGGAGCATCACTTGAACCTGGGAGGTGGAGGTTGCAACGAGCCGAGATCGCGCCATTGCACTCCAGCTTGGATGACAAAAGCGAAATTCTGTCTCAAAAATAAATAAATAAATAAATAAATAAATAAATAAATAAATAAATAAAATAAAGTAAAAAATCACAACTGGCTGAGCGCGGTGACTCATGCCTATAATCCCAGCACTTTGGGAGGCCGAGGCAGGCGGATCACTTGACGTCAGGAGTTTGAGACCAGCGTGGCCAACCTGGTGAAACCCTGTCTCTACTGAAAACACAAAAATTAAAAAAAGAAAAGAAAAGAAAATACAAAAGTTAGCTAGACATGGTGGTGTGCACCTGTGATCCCAGCTACTCGGGAGACTGAGGCAGGAGAATCATTTGAACCCGGGAGGCGGAGGTTGCAGTGAGCCGAGATCGCGCCACTGCACTCCAGCCTGGGCAACAGAACAAAAAATGAAAAACCACGACCTCTGGGCAGCCACTGCTACCATGACCCTGCTGGAGCCTGCTGTGCAGTGGGAAGTAGGCGGGGTGCTCAGGTGAGGACTTGCTGGTGGAGGGAGGTGGGAATCTTTGGGCTTCAGGAAGAACCCCTGGGACACCTGCAAATTATTATGTCATGACACCCAGGAGGTCCCTTTCATGTCTTGCTAACTGTCCCACCAGCACCCCCAGGGTGGCCTCAGTTCTTTCCTGGGCTGCACCCCGTGTCTGGGAACACTGTCATGGTGAGCCAAGCCCCAGGCCCTAGGATGAGCCCCAGGGTTCATTCATTCATCCCTTCTTCCACCTGGACAACATAATGGAGAGAAAAATCAGCTGTTTCGTATCTTCAGCCCACCCCATGACTAAGCTGCTGGTCTGACCTCTGTGCAAGCTTGGGTCTGTCCTGCAAATGCAGGGATTGAGAATATGCCTTCCAGACAGATCTGCTCCAGGGATGGTGATACCGTCTCTACCAGGCAGCTGTCATCTTGTTCCCTGTTGACAAGAGACCCAGAGCCCCAGGAACAAGGTGAAAAGACTCAGGAATATGGCAAATGATGGTGCCAAGGTCTAAAAACTCCAGAAGACCCTTTCCCTCTCCCCCTAACTCCTGGTCCAGCATTTGGAGCCAGATGTACTGACTGGCAGGACACTGAGAAGCCACCCCCCACCCTGCTTCCCTTGGGGCCTCAGAGAATGCTTTGAGGAGTGGGATACACAGGACTGTTTAGGTCCCAAGTACAGAAACCCAAGTTAGCCATGTTTAAGCAGGTTAGTGAAAAAGGAATTCATTGGCTCATATTACTATAAAGACCAGGGTTGGCTGGGCACGGTGGCTCACGCCTGTAATCCCAGGACTTTGGGAGGCCGAAGTAGGCGGATCACGAGGTCAGGAGATTGAGACCATCCTGGCCAACACGGTGAAACCCCGTCTCTACTAAAAAAAAAAAAAAAAATACAAAAAATTAGCCAGGCCTGGTGGCAGGCGCCTGTAGTCCCAGCTACTCGGGAGGCTGCGTCAGGAGAATGGCGTGAACCCAGGAGGCGGAGCTTGCAGTGAGCTGAGATCGCGCCACAGCACTCCAGCCTGGGCAATGGAGCGAGACTCTGTCTCAAAAAAAAAAAAAAAAAAAAAAAAAAAAAAAGTCCAGCGTGGCTTTGGCTTCAGGCATGGCTGGTTCTAGGGTTCCTTCATTCATTAATTTAGCCCTGGACCCAGGGCTGACTCCTATTGGATGAACTGGATCATGTGCTTGCCCCTGCCCCAATCACAGTGACCAGGGAGGGAGGAAGCGTACTGACTGGCCAGGCTTGGGTGGGCAGGGGATTGGGTGAGCCCTGTAGGAGTCACCTGGAAGGAGAGTGGGGAGGGGGATTCTCTGGAGAGAAATGGAGGTGAATCATTCAGGAGAGGGAAGTGGACTCTGGGCTGGAAAGCAGGAGACTCTGCCCTAAAGGCATGATGGCATTAGTGAGACTCACTGTACCTGGCCTGGGGAGGGACTGAAGGGAGTATGGGACCCTCTCCAGGAGCCCTAGGGCCTTGGCTTCCAACAGAGTCCTGGCAGCATCCCCCGACAGCCTCAGCAGGATGAATTTTGGGGGTCCTGGGAGCCTGAAGCGTGCACTCTTGGCTAGCGGGTCCGGGATCTTCTCTTCCTGGCTGTGGGTGTTTGTTGGAGAATGTCTCAATTTCTGGCTGAGGGAGAGGGAGAGGGTGTCACTCATTGAGTGTTCATTTATTTAACCCCGTAGACTTCACTCATCCATTCATTCATTCAGTCTTTCTGTAGTGCCTGTGCAGGGCTCTGGGGACACGATGATGACTGAAGCCCTGCCTCCTGGAGCGCAGGGAAAGCCTGGATTCTTAGGGGAGGTGAGTCGGAAGAGATGGAGCTAACCCTGGATCAGGACAGGCTTACTCAGAGGAGGTGACATTGAGCTGAAGGGAGGAGGTGACCATTTGTGGGAGGTGGGGGTAGGGAAAGGGAAGAAGTGCTTTCGAGGCAGCCAATGGGCTAAGATTCCAGTGACTAAATGGGGAACAGGATGTCTAAGGAGCTGGGGGTGGAAGGGTGTGGCTGAGCCTCGGGATGGGGGTTGGGCAGGAGGTGGCAGGGCCAGGCACAGAGGGCATTGTGGTTTGGTCACGTCAGGCTATGACCAAGGAACGGAAGGTTGTGGGGTTACCAAGGCCAGAGCTGGAAGCTTCTCTGCAGCTTATGTGCTGTGTGACACTGGGAAAGTTAAATGACCTCTCTGAGCCTCACTTTCCTCATTTATAAGATATTCTCAGAATTGCTGTGTTGATTTAGGCACGTGGATAATTTAGCATAGGTACTGGTCACAGTAGGGCTTTAAGTATCGATTATTGGTGTCAATCCTTATTTTCATAATTCCCTTTTGTGTGTAGAACGGGCTGTTGCTGTATGAGGAATTTGCTGGGTCAGAGCGCCCTCTGGTGGGCGTGGGGAGCCAGTTCAGGGAAGAAAGATGAAACCAGAGGTTTTGATTTTAAAGGGCACCACCCTCCCTCCCCTTCTTATTCTGTCCCTTCCTCCCTTTCTTTCCCTTTCTTCCCTCCACATGCATTCACCAGGGTCTGATCCTGCCTAGATGGGGACTGAAACAGCCCAGGTCCTACCTTCCCGGGGGGTTTACAGCCCGGTAGGGGGAGGCAGAGGAACCCCACCTGAGTAGAGCTTAACACTGGGGAGAAGGTGGGACTGCGGGATACAGGGCTTCATAGGAACCCGACTTGTTCCCGGGGCACTGGGGAACTAGAGAAAATTTTGGAATAAGGGAGGGGGAGGGTCAAGTTTGCGATGTCATGTGGATGAATGGGACGGGTGAGGCTGAGGCTGGACCCGACGGGGAGGCCGCAGAAGGCGTGGGCTGAAAGCGTGGAATGGTGTGGGCTGAAGGCGTGCAGGGCGTGGGAGGGGGATGTTGGGGCAAAGTCCAGGACCCTAGCCCACTCCTAGTTTGGGAGAGGAGTCTCTCTCACCCTCAGGGTTCGTCCCCAGCCTGGTGATCTGCTGGGAGCTGCCAGCCACTCATCTCTTGAACTGGCCCAGGCCTGGGGCCCTGTGTCCCCAGGCAGAGCTCCCATAGTTCCCCGTTAGCCTAGAGGGTCACAGCTCCCAGTCCCCCAGTGTGGGTCCTGCCACTCATGGGCCCTGGTGGGCCTGAGAATCTAGTGGGCCTCCTGGGGTAGGCTCTGTCCCTGAATGGGCAGAAACAACCTTTCAGCTCTCACAGTGGGGTGACATAGTGGACGAGGGATGGGGGATGCTGGGTCTCTGGACGCATGCCTGGGGGTCTCCCTAGGGGGTTGATGGTTTTGGCCTTCAGGCAGAAAGAACCTGGTGGCAAAGTTCCAGAGGTTAGCGGAGCCTAGCATGGAGGCGGTGAGTGGGGCTGCAGTGTGTGTGCGTGGGGGTTATGATGAAGCTGCAGGGAGCAGATCACGCAGGGCCGTGGGGAGAGCCAGGGCTTTCTGCGGGAGGCTCTGGGAGCCCTGGGAGGTTCCGAGTAGGGAAAGGACAGGGTCAGGTTTGTGCCTTAGGAACACCCCTCTGGAAGGGCAGGACAAGAGGCTGTGAGGCCAGGTGGAGGCTGAGCCAGGAACGTGGGCAGGAGAGGCCAGGTCAGGGCTGGGTGGGGCTGGAGGGTGAGAAGGGAATGGCTGGATCTGAGAGATGTTCAGGAGGCCGACTTGGCAGAAGAAGTGAAGTGACTGCCGGGCTGTGGGGGCTGAGGGGTCGGGAGGAGTCCAGGATGAGGCTCAGTCTCAGCTGGGTGATGGGGTGGAAGGTGGACTTCCCTGGGATGGGAGCAGCCTGCTTGGGGGTTGCTGCTGAGGCTGCGTCAGAGTTCCGGGCAACAGCAGCCTTTGGGAGGGGCCCCTTACCCCCCAGGACCCCGGATCCAGGCTCTCAGGAGTCCTGGGGCTGGGCAGGCAGCCAGAGGGGCCTGGCACTGAGCTGGCACGGAGGAGAACGGCCCTGCTGGCCCAGGCCCCTCGCTGTCTGGCAGGCAGTAGAAGGCACAGAGCCCCAGGCTCCAGGGCTGTGGGAATAAC
This sequence comes from Homo sapiens, assembly GCF_000001405.40. Classification (NCBI taxonomy): domain Eukaryota; kingdom Metazoa; phylum Chordata; class Mammalia; order Primates; family Hominidae; genus Homo; species Homo sapiens. The sequence continues at coordinate 46,528,111 of NC_000019.10, read as the reverse complement.
AATAAGAAGAATAATGACAACTCACCTTGGCCAGGTGCGGTGGCGCATGCCTATAATCCCAGCACTTTGGGAGGCTGAGGTGGGCAGGAGGTCAGGAGTTCCAGATCAGCCTGGCCAACATGGTGAAACCTCCATCTCTACTAAAAATACAAAAATTAGCTGGGGGTGGTGTCAGGCGCCTGTAATCCCAGCCACTCAGGAGGCTGAGGAAGGAGGATTGCTTGAACCCAGAATATGGAGGTTGCAGTGAGCTAAGATTGCGCCACTACACTCCAGCCTGAGTGACAGAGTGAGACTCCATCTCAAAGTAATAATAATAATAATAATTACAGCTCATCTTAATTGAGCCCTGCGGTGGCCAGGTATGCCATGGCGTTTCATCTCCCTAGGGGCTGGGAGATGGCTAGGAACAGCCCTGTTTGTTTCATAGAGGAAGCATATTAATCAGAGTTCTCCAAAGAGACAGAATCAACAGGATATGTGTAGACAGAGATAGGAGAAGGGGTTTATTGGGCAACTGGCTCATTCAATTATGGAGGCGGAGAAGTCCTGAGGCTGTGTGCAGGCTGGAGACCCTGGGATGCAGGGAGTGTGGCTCAGAACAAGTCCGAAGGCCTCAGAACTGGGGAAGCCAACGGTGTAATTCTCAGTCCGAAGCCAAAGGCCTGAGGATTTGAGGGGCAGCTGGCGTAAGTCCTGGAGTCCAAGGCTGGGAAGCCTGGAGTTGTCGCTGCCTGCACTGGTTCCCACGGGGGACCAGGAGCTGAGCCCATGGTCCTCAGACGGGCAAGGTGTTTGATTTTAATGTAGTTATAGCTAAGGTTGATGAAGTGTGCCGGTGTGAGCAGCTTAGCTATGGACAGTTTTGGGGTGCAGAAACCAAGACTTGGAGGTTAAACATGTCCAGGGTTGCACCATCAGCACTGGTGCCCGGGCAGCCTGACTTCCGCGTTCATGGAATCCAGGGCTGGGCAGCCTGGGGACAGCCGCTGTGCCCCCACCTCGGCCTCAGTGTGCACGCCCCTTCCCTCCCACCCAGGTGGTCAAGGTGAAGCCCCACGACAAGGATGCCAAAATGAAATACCAGGAGTGCAACAAGATCGTGAAGCAGAAGGCCTTTGAGCGGGCCATCGCAGGCGACGAGCACAAGCGCTCCGTGGTGGACTCGCTGGACATCGAGAGCATGAGTGAGTCAGGCCTGGATGCTCCACGCTCCAGCCCAGAACATTCCACACGGGCCTTCTCCATTCCCTGGGGGTGGGGGTGGGCTCAAGGGTAGCCCCTTGTTCTGCCCCCAGGCTGCTGTCTGTCGCTCCTCTGCCTGTGTTCCAGGGCGCTCCATCCGCAGCCCAAAGCTCCGTCTCATGATTCCCAATGGGCGAGGTCAGGAGCTGCAACACCCCGCTGATATGGCTTGGCTGTGTCCCCACCCAAATCTCATCCCCACCCAAATCTCATCTTGAATTGTAACTCCCATAATTCCTACATGTTGTGGGAGAGACCTGGTGGGAGATAATTGAATCGTGGAGGCAGTTTCCCCCATACTGTTCTCGTGGTAGTGAGTAAGTCTCACGAGATCTGATGGTTTTATAAGGGGTTTCCCCTTTCACTTGGTTCTCATTCTCTCCTGCCTGTCGGCACATGAGACGTGCCTTTCATCTTCCACCATGATTGTGAGACCTCCTCAGCCACATGGAACTGTGAGTCCATTAAACCTCTTATTCTTTATGAATTACCCAGTCTCGGGTATGTCTTTATCAGCAATGTGAAAATGGACTAATACACCTTCCCTACCCACCAGCATCACCCCTGCCCGGGCCCTTCTCCATGCTGGCTTCTTGGCCACTCTGTCATCCTCTCCTCCCTCCCTCTCTGCCGGCAGTAGCCCCGCCCCCACAGGCTGTGTCTGGTTCACCTCTAGGTGCTGAGAAGGTCCAGCCATTCATCCCACAGATGATTATTGAGCATCTCCTATGTGCCAGGCACTGTCCTAGGCACTGGGGGTACAGCTATGAACAAAACCCTTCCTGTCCGCATGGAGCTGATATTCTAGGAGGCAGATAAGATGATGAACAAGTCACAAAATGAATCGTGCTAAGTGCCATAAAACTGAATAGGGTAAAGGGGGGCGGGTGAAGGAAGAGAAGGAGGTCAGGAAGAGGCCTCTGGGCCAGACCTGACCAGAGAGGGGACTCTTCACTCGCTCTGTCCCTCTCTCAATCTGTGTGTCCAGAGCCAGGTCCACCTCATCCCTGGGAGCAAGACCCCCTTCCCCCTTACAGTGGCCGTGGTCGCTGACTCTCGTGTCTCCCCTGTTCACATGCCAGCCATCGAGGGTGAGTACAGCGGACCCAAGCTTGAGGACGACAAAGTGACAATCACCTTCATGAAGGGGCTCATGCAGTGGTACAAGGACCAGAAGAAACTGCACCAGAAATGCGCCTACCAGGTAATGCACCTGTCAGGTACCGGGCACCCGGGAACCCTGGGATGGCATCACAGCACTGCCAGGCGCGGGCACTGAGCAAAATGACAGGAGAAGGGCAGCCACAACAGCCAACACCAAACAGGAGTCGTGGTCATTATGGATTGGCAGTAATCCCTCCCAATATTCAGATACAATAAACTATCTCTACAAATAAAGCCACCAACCTTGGCTCACTTGTTCAGAAGATAGCACCGTTAGAGAAATCCAAGAAGCACCAACCCTCTCACTACACATGACACTGACTTCCTTTGGTGGACAGAGCTCCAATTCCTTGTATTGGTGTCTCTGATTTAGAAAAGGCTATTATGGGCCAGGCACAGTGGCTGACACCTGTAATCCCAGCACTTTGGGAGGCCGAGGCGGGTGGATCACTTGAGGTAAGGAGTTCAATGCCAGCCTGGCCAACATGGTGAAACTTCGTCTCTACTAAAAATACTAAAATTAGCTGGGTGTGGTGGTGCACACCTGTAGTCCTAGGTACTTGGGAGGCTGAGGCAGGAGAATTGCTTGAACCCAGGAAGGGGAGGTTGCAGTGGTCCAAGATCATGCCACTGCACTCCTGCACTCCAGCCTGGGCAAGAGAGCAAGACTCCATATCAAAAAACAAAAACAGAAACAGAAAAAGAAAAAGAAGGAAGGAAGGAAGGGGCTATTATAAATGCTCTAAAACTTTAGAAAAAAACTTCAATGACACTGTTAATTTCCTCCAAGGCTTACAAACCGAGGTTTCTAGCCTTGCTTCAATAATTTCACAAAATGTATGAGTCTGAGCTACTCTAACTGCCCAAAAAGGAGGTATAATGAATGAAGCTGTCATTTCTGTGTTAATATATCAAGAATTTTTGCCCACACTTCAGAGGATTTTAAAGAACAGATGTAAATCTTATCAGATAGGTGATACTTTTTCCATTTATTTATTTAGTTGGTTACATCTTGGCTCCTGGGAATCTCTCCTCTGGTGAATTTTCCAACCCTTGGCTATATTATTCTCCTCCTAGTCATGATATTAACCTCCCTGGGAGTTGCATCCTCTTAAGGGTTTCCAATGCCTCTCAACAGCCACTGATGCAACTAATGACACCCATCTGCATTAGACAACTTGGAGAACCTAAGGACTCTACCACATATGTCTAAGATGACTATGCAGCTATCAAAAATGACTATACACCCATCTGTCCCAGCCAATAGCACTCCCAGAAAGTAATGCTATACGATTTCATTACCCCCTCAGCTTGCTATGTCAAAAGGGGAAAGTTGTTAAAATAAAATGGGGGGAGCCAGGCGCAGTGGCTCACACCTGTAATCTCAACACTTTGGGAGGCCAAATTGGGAGGATCCTTGAGCCCAGGAGTTTGAGACCAGCCTGGGCAACATGGCAAGACTCCATCTCTATAAAAGTAAAAAAAAAAAAATTAGCTGCACAAAGTGGTGCATGCCTGTGGTCCCAGCTACTTGCGAGGCTGAGGCAACAGGATCACCTGAGCACAGGAGGTTAAGGCTACAGTGAGCTGCGATCGTGCCATTCACTCCAGCCTGGGCAACCGAGCGAGACCCTGTTTCACACACACACACACAAAACTAGGGGGGGTGGATCCGGACTGAGAATTCCCCAAGAAGACAAAATCAGGCCACATAAGCAAAACCTAAGGTACTCTGACTTTTGAATGTAAGCGAAACTCAACTTAGATCTCGATCTCTCTCTCAATCTCTCTCCCTTGTTTTTTTTTTTTTTTTCTGAGATGGAGTCTGGCTCTGTCGCCCAGGCTGGAGTTCAGTGGTGCGATCTCGGCTCACTGCAAGTTCCGCCTTCTGGGTTCACGCCATTCTCCTGCTTCAGCCTCCCGAGTAGCTGGAACTACAGGCGCCCGCCACCTAATTTTTTGTATATTTAATAGAGACGGGGTTTCACCATGTTAGCCAGGATGGTCTCAATCTCCTGACCTCGTGATCCGCCCACCTTGGCCTCCCAAAGTGCTGGGATTACAGGCGTGAGCCACCACGCCCGGCTATCTCTCTCCCTTTCTTTCCTTTCTCCTTTCCTTTCTCTCTTTCTTTCTTTCTTTCTTTCTTTCATGGAATCTTGCTCTGTGACCCAGGCTGGAGTATAGTGGCATGATCTCTGCTCACTGCAGCCTCCATCTCCGGGGTTCAAGCAATTCTTGTGCTTCAGCCTGCCAAGTAGCTGGGATTACAGGCACGCACCACCACGCCCTGCTAATTTTTGTATTTTGTATTTTTTTTTTTTTAGTAGAGACGGGGTTTCACCATGTTGCTCAGGCTGGTCTCAAACTCCTGACCTCAAGTGATCTGTCTGCCTCAGTCTCCCAAAGTGCTGGGATTACAGGGGTGAGCCACCGCACCCAGCCAGCTTAGGTTATTTCTTACAAATGCCTCTGATAATCATAAACGAAACTTAAGTTGCCTTCCCCAAATGATATAAGAGGATTGCTTTTAACCAGTCCCGTGCAATCTGGAAACCTCCACTGTATAGACAGTCACTGTAAAGGTTAAACCACTTCCTGATTTTTGCTTTCTCAGCCATCCTGTAACAACATGCCTCTGAGCTTCTTACTACCTGGGTTGAGGTCTCCTGGATTGTGCCCTGTCCCCACTTTTTTTTAATGACAACAAACTTTTAAATATTTATTCATTGGATCTGATTTTGTTTTGGACACTGGCATGCAAAGGGGAGGGAGATGGTCATAGGACTGTTGTCAACGTTCAAAAGCAAAACAGGATTTATATGAGAAAGGTAAGAGAAGGGAGAGAAAACTTCATACTGAAGTCTGGGTGCCCTGGCTCACACCTGTAATCCCAGCTCCTTGGCAGACTAACACGGGAGGATCACTACAGGCCAGGAGGTCAAGGCTACAGTGAGCCATAATCACGCCATTGCACTCCAGTCTGGGCAACAGAGCAAGACTCTGTCTCAAAAAGAAAAGAAAAATACAACTTTTGACTGAAAACAATGAATTGTGTTTTCACATTTTGGGGGTCAAATTGATTATCCAGAAACTAGAAAAGAGCAGGATGACTGGAGGAGTGAAAGAAAGCTTTTTTTTTTTTTTTTTTTTTTAAGAGACAGGTCTTGCTATGTTGCCCAGGCTGGTCTTGAACTCCTGGCCTCAAGCAATCTTCCTGTCTTGGCCTCCCAAGGTGTTGGGATTACAGGCATTAGCCACTGTGCCCAACCAAGAAAGCAATTTCTGATACTTGGGATTTTCCAGAAAACCTGAAGAGCTTAGCTGTGGAGCGTTTGTAGGAGGCTGTCTCCATGACATCTGCTGTGACCTCCTGTTGGCAATGGCCCATAGTTAGCCCAGGTGACCCCATTCCTTCCTCAAGCTTTCCTCAAGGTCTGTTTTTTCGGTTTGTTTGTTGTTTTTGAGATGGAGTCTTGCTCTGTTGCCTAGGCTGGAGTGCAGTGGTGCGATCTTGGCTCACTGCAACCCCCGTCTCCCGGGTTCAAGTGATTCTCTTGCCTCAGCCTCCCGAGTAGCTGGGACTACAGGCGTGGGCCACCACGTCTGGCTAATTTTTGTGTTTTTAGTAGAGATGGGGTTTCACCATGTTGGCCAGGCTGGTCTCGAACTCCTAACTTCAGGTGATCCGCCCACCTCAGCCTCCCAAAGTGCTGGGATTACAGGCGTGAGCCACCGTGCCCGGCCCTTCAAGGTCTATTTTATCTCCTTCTATGTCTATATCCACAGTAATATCTATGTCTACATTGATGTTTATGTCTATATCCATGTCTACGCCCACAGCTCTATCCTAATCTATACCTACACCATAGGGGCTGCTATATCCTTATTGGTAGCTTATCCTCTATCTGCAACTATATCCACATCTCCATCTACATTCAGATCAGTCTCCCTCTCTCTGTCTATGTCTGTGTTCATTTTCTAGAGCTGCTGTCATAAATTCTCACAAACTTGGTGGCTAAAAATAACAGACGCTTATTTTCTCACAGTTCCGGAGGCCAGATGTTCAAAACAAAGATGCCAGCAGGGCCTTGTTGGCTCTGAAGGTTCTATGGGAGAATCCTTTCTTGCCTCCTCCAGCTTCTGGGGGCTCTTGATGTCTCTTGGCTCCAGTCTCTGGCCTTCTCTTCTTCTCTGTGTCTTTTCTTTTGCTGTGTCTTTTTTTTGGAGGGGGCGGGACAGGGACAGAGTCTCGCTCCATCGTCCAGGCTGGAGTGCAGTGGCTGGCGCGATCTCGGCTCACTGCAACCTCCGCCTCCCGGGTTTAAGCGATTCTTCCACCTCTGCGTCCCAAGTAGCTGGAATTACAATTGCCTGCCACCATGCCTGGCTAATTTTTGTATTTTTAGTAGAGACGGTTTTCACCATGTTGGCCAAGGCTGGTCCTGAACCCCTGATCTCAAGTGATCTGCCCACCTCAGCCTCTCAAAGTGCTGGGATTACAGACATGAGTCACCGCGTCCAGCCAGGTTTCACTTATTTCTGTAGATTCTTGGTCCAACCAACAAGTTTCCCACAATTTATTGCATTATTTAAAAAAATATCTATCATCATAAAAATAATACGTCTGATATTATTTTTCTATAATATTCTAGGCATTATTATATAATATTCTAGGTGGTATTATTATTCTAGGCATACTATTAAACACAGAAAGAAAGACACGGAGGTCAGCAGCCTTCAAAGATGGCTACTAACAATTCCTCCCTTCCCTGTACACACGCATCACTCCTCCCATCACCAGGGGGGTCTACTTCCCCTCCCCTCCATTCTGGGCAGGCCTCGTGACTTGTTTTGACCAATAGAATGTAGCAGAGTGATGCGTCAATTTCAAGCCTAGGCCTTAAGAGTCCAGGAGACTCCCACTCTTACTCACGTGCATGCCAGCTGCCATCTTGCAAGGAAGCTAAAGCTGGGTTACAAAATAGTGAAAGCCCAGGTGAATGCAGAGAGGCTGTGTGGGGGAGAATCAGCCTATTACCAGCTGACATTAGCCACACAAGTGACCGAGGGAGAGACCAGCAGCAGAACCACGCAGTCAACCCTCTGAATGCTAGTAAGTCATTGTTTGAAGCCCCTAAACTCTAGCGGGTTGTGAACAGCAATATATGGCTGAAGCAGACACCCCTCCCTTAAGCCCCCAGCCCAGAGAGGAACCCTGCTAACCTTTTGATGCAGGTCCTACCAGATTTGTTTTTTCCTGTGCTTATACATATAATAAAAAAAAATCCACAAAATAGACATCTTGGCTTATTTTTACATTTCAGGAAAGCTGTTCAGAATGATTTTATTAATAGTACAGCTGCAGCAGGAAGAGGAAATATAGCAAAATTTGCCTCTTAACCACCAAGAGTCATGCTGAGCTCTTCATAGCTATGAAAATCAAAGACCCAAATTTACAGACTTTGCACATTTGTGCTGAGTTACTTTAGTACTTTGTCTACAGGTCTCCACAGGCCCAGTGGGGAGGAACAGTTATTTCTTAAGCACCTTCCAAAAATTTTTGAACCAGAAAAAAAGTATCAGTTTCAAAATACAGAAGAAACTGGCAAAATCACAGTTAACTAATACATCATTAAATATTTCATAGTAAATCAAGTCAAGTAATTGTTAAATATTTCTATCATGTCTTTTTTTTTTTTTTTTTTTTTTTTTTTTTTTTTGAGACAGGGTCTTGCTCTATCACCCAGGCTGAAGTGCAGTGGTACGATCACAGCTCACTGCAGCCTCAACCTCCTGGGCCCACGTGATCCTCCCACCTCAGCATCCCAAGTAGCTGTGACCGAAGGCATGCACCACCACACCTGGCTAATTTTTTTATTTTTATAGAGATGGGTCTCCCTATGTTGCGCAGGCTGATTTCAAACTCTTGGCCTCAAGCAATCCTCCCACCTTGGCCTGGGGATTACAGGCGTGAGCCACCATGCCCAGCCTCCGTGTCTTTACATTTGAGAACAATTTGTAGGTTAGCTTTGTCTTTGTTTTTTTAGAGATGGGGGTCTTGCTGTGTAGCCCAGGCTGGACTCAAACTACAGGGCTCAAGGCATTCTTCATCTCAGCCTCTTGAGTAGGTTTGACTACAGTCATGTGCCACTGTGCCCAACTACCTTTGTCCGGGTTCCTAGGAATTCTCCAGAAGGCAGAATGAGTACAAAGAAAACACAGGCAAGTTTCTGTTAAAGAGTTACCTGTGGCCACAGTTCCTCTGGAAGTTTAACATAGAGTTACCATATACTATGCTATCGCCATCCCCAAATTCATATGTTGAAGTCTTAACTCCCAGCACCTCTGAATGTGACTGTATTTGGAGATGGGGGTCTTTAAAGAGGTAATTAAGGTAAAATGAGGCCGGGTGCTTTGGTGGCTCACAGCTGTAATCCCAGCACTTTGGGAAGCTGAGGCGGGCAGATACCTGAGGTCAGGAGTTCGAGACCAGCCTGCCCAACATGGTGAAACCCTATCTCTACTAAAAATACAAAATTTGCCTGGCGTGGCGGCATATGCCTGTGATCCCAGCTCCTTGGGAGGCTGAGGCAGGAGAACTGTTTGAACTAGGGAGGAGGAGGTTGCAGTGAGCCGAGATCATGCCATTGCACTCCAGCCTGGGCAACAAGAGCGAAACTTTGGTTCAAAAACAAACAAAAAAAAAGTAAAATGAGGTCCCATGTGTGGGCCCTTAATCCAACCTGACTGGTGTCTTTATGAGAAAAGGGGACCAGGACACAGCCCCATGCAGAGGGAAGACCATGTGAGGATACAGGGAGAAGACGGCCGTCTGCACAGCCAAGGAGAGAGGCCTCAGGAGACACCAACCTATCCAACACCTTGATTTTGGACTTCTGGCCTCCAGAATTGTGAAAAAGTTAATTTCTGTCATTGAAGCCACCCATTCTGTGATAGTTTGTTACAGCAGTCCTCAGCGCGTAGAATACGATGCCATTTGTATGGCAGACAGTCTCATTGTACACACGCGTGTTAATGTGTGAGTATCCCTGTGGGGCGCAGAGATGGCTGGGGGAGTTCCCCGCTGCCCTGCTCAAAAGGTGGAGCCTGCCCCGCCCTCCCCAACCCTTTCCTTGACCTTGGCATAATCACTGTGGTCTTTATAAGCTTTGCCTGCCAGTTCCCTCTGAGACTTCATTTCCTCCCAGGACTGGGTCCTGCGCTCCCGTCTCGCTTTAAACTAAGTAAGAACATTTATAGAAAATGCAAGGCCCGGCCGGGCACAGTGGTTCACGCCTGTAATCCCAGCACTTTGGGAGGCCGAGGCGGGCAGATCACGAGGTCAGGAGTTCAAGACCAGCCTGGCCAACATGATGAAACCCCATCTCTACTAAAGACACACAAAAAATTAGCTGGGCTTGGTGGCATGCTCCTGTAATCCCAGCTACTAGGGAGGCTAGGGCAGGAGAATTGCTTGAACCCGGGAGGCAGAGTTTGCAGTGAGCCGAGATTGTAGCATTGCACTCCAGCCTGGGCAACAGGGTGAGACTTCATCTCAAAAAAAAAAAAGAAAGAAAAGAAGCCGCAAGGCCCCAGGATAGAGGACTTCAAACTTTGTTTTGGTGCTACCAAAAGTGTTTTTGAAAACTGTCTCCTCATCATATCAAATATTTTCATCACATAAATTGAAAAAAGTGTATTATTATTATTTTTTTTGAGATGGAGTCTTGCTCTGTCACCCAGGCTAGAGTGCAGTGGTGCAGTCTTGGCTCACTGCAACCTCTGCCTCCCAGGTTCAAACAATTCTCCTGCCTCAGCCTCCTGAGTAGCTGGGATTACAGGCGCCCGCCATCACACCCAGGTTTCACCATGTTGGCCAGGCTGGTCTCAAACTCCTGACCTGAAGTGATCCGCCTGCCTTTCCTCCCAAAGAGCTGGGATTACAGGCCAAGCCACTGCACCCGGCCATGGCTACTAAGTTCTTAGGACATAAATACTTGGGTTGTTTAGACCTCACCTGATGAGGAATTGAACAGTTAGGTATTTATTTGGGGCTGCTATGAAGAAATGACGGCTGGTACATTGAGCAAGTTCAGGGTGATCTGCACAGGGCACAGGGGTTGAGAGCCTGGGCTCTGGGCTCAGAAGACCTTGGTTTGCCACCTCACTTTGCCATTCCTGGGCTCTGTGCAACCTCTGTGCCTGTAAAATGGGACTCGTTCAGAGTTATGGGATTAGTGACAAAAGCCCTTGTAAAATATTCAGACAATCCCTGGCCTGTCTTAGGAGGCAATAAATGTTAGCTTTATGAATTTATTTATTTAACCAAAATGGACTCATTCTATGTACATATTTCTACCAGTTTTTTTTTTCTTCACTTACTATTACCTGGGCATTTTTTCCAGCCTCCCCAAAGGGACCTAGATTGTTTTTTCTAATAAATGCACAATTTGACTGTTACTTCCCTCTTCCTCAGTCTGCACCCTTCAGTTTTGTTTTTTGTTTTGTTTTTGTTTTTGTTTTTTTTTGAGACAGAGTCTTGCTGTGTCTTGCACCCCAGGCTGGAGTGCAGTGGCACGATCTCAGCTCACTGCAACTTCCACCTCCCGGGTTCAAGCGATTCTCCTGCCTCAGCCTCCCAAGTAGTTGGAACTACAGGTGTGCACCACCATGCCCAGCTAATTTTTGTATTTTTAGTAGGGATAGGGTTTTGCCGTGTTGGCCAGGCTGGTCTCAAACTCCTGATCTTAGGCAGTCCACCTGCCTTGGCCTCCCAAAGTGCTGGGATTACAGGCGCGAGCCACTGGCGCCTGACCTCAGGGTCTTTTTAAAATAAGAATTTCCAAGACCTTGAGGTTCCCTGGGCTCCCCTAAACCTGGGATACAGACCTACAAAAGCCTGCCCTTTCCTCATCAGAAAATAGGTCCTTGTTCTCCTCTCCCAGACCCTCACCCTGTAGTTACTTTTCCCTCTTCTGGGGAAGGAGTTCCATTTCCTCCTCCTAGCATTTGAAGTCTCTGTGTCCTGCCCTGGCAAGGCCCCTTGCAGGGTAAATCTCAGTTCTGCCACCTCCATGTCTCGCGACCCAGGACAGGTCCCTCAATTTTCCTGAGCTTCAGTTTCCTAATCTGTATCACAGGGATAAAATAATAGAACCCGCATCCCTGGGCTGCTGTGACACTTTCAGAGGTTAGCCCCTAAGGCTATGAAGAATCTGCCTTAAAGTGTGCAGGCTCCCCGGGCAGTGGCAGTGGGGAGGGCTGCCTGGCTAGAGGCCCCCTTTGCATGAGCTGCCCCCCTCCATCCTCATCAAGGGGTCTAACACCCAGTCACCACTCTCTCTTTTGAGAAACTTTGCCACAAACAGGACAAAGAGCTGTGAAGTCACAGAGGCTTGAGCTGGAAGTTTATCTGCAGTTTGGATGCTGTGCGACTTGGGAAAATTAAACACCCTCCCTGATCCTTGCTTTCCTCCTCCTCTACCTTGGCTGGGTCTCATCTAGCAGTTGATTTAGAGATCAGGTGTGTGAAGCACTTAACAGGGGTCTGACAAGCAGTAGGGCTGATATTAGCAGTTATTCACATTGTTATTGTTATTCCTTTCTCCTTAGGTGGGGGCGGAGGGGGCACGTTTTGGTGGTGGAGGGAGGACACATGGTAGATGCATTGAATTCTAGATTTTTTCTGCCCTCTAGTGGGCATGAGGAGCCACAGCTCTGGGAAAAGGAAAATACATCCACCCTTTAAACAGTTACGTGAATTCATTCTTTTTTTTTTTTGGTAAGACGGAGTCTCGCTCTGTCACCACCCAGGCTGGAGTGCAATGGCACGATATTGGCTCACTGCAATCTCCACCTCCTGGGTTCAAGCAATTCTCCTGCCTCAGCCTCCCGAGTAGTTGGGACTACAGGCGTGCGCCACCACACCCGGCTCATTTTTTGTATTTTTAGTAGAGACAGGGTTTCACCATGTTGGCCAGGGTGGTCTCAAACTCCTGACCTCAGGTAATCCACCAGCCTCGGCCTCACAGAGTGCTGGGATTATAGGTGTGAGCCACGGCGCACGGCCCTTTCTTTTGTTTAATAAACCTTCTCGAGCCCCTTCTCCATACTGGAGACCCAGCAGTGACCATGACAATACTGGACCTGCCCTCTTGGGACTCAAAGTCCAGTGGGGGAGAGAGAACTGACAACCCCAAGGGGACACCCGACCCAGTCCACGTGCTTTAGACTGGATGAAACCAGGGAGAAGGGTTGGCCAGAGCTTTCTTTCCAGATCTGGAGCACATGGTGAAGGGCTGGGTGTTGTCTTGAGGGCACTGGGGAGCCATAGCAGGTTCCAGGCAGGGGGAGGAACAGGGGCAAATTTGTGCTGCCATGGGTGAAATGGGTGGGATGGGGGAAGACTGGGGATGGGAGACCTAGGGCTGAGAGGGGGATAAGGAGGCGCCTGGATAAGGGGTGGGGCCATGGGTGGGGGAATACCAGGGCGAAGCCCCTGGCTCGGAGGAGAGGGAGGGCCTCGCCCTCTTGTGGTCTAAGGGAGGAAAGGATGGTCTCCAGCCAGATGCCCCACCTCATTCAGGCCTTCCTCACTGGGGGCCCCATCTGGAGTTCTCCTGTGCACACCACAGCCCAGAGATTCCAGTAAGTCCGGCTGCCTGGGACAGGCCGCCAGGTCGGCCAAGGATGACCAAGAAAACACCATTTGGCCCCATCCTGGGGAGAAAGAATGGGCATTTGTGTGGCCAGGATTAGGGGTGGACTAGGGGAGGGGACGTGTCAGTGTGTGTGTGTGAGTGTGTGTCAGGGTCGGGGTGATGGTGTGTGTGGACATGTGAGAGGGTTTCAGTGGGTGTGGCATATGTGTGTGCAAAGGTGTGTGAATCGGTATGCTGGATGTGCAAGTGTGTGTGAACATGTCGGTGTATCTGGATGTGTGTGTTAGAATGTGACTAGGAGTGTGAGCATGATTGTGTGTTTTGTGAGTGTGTTGGCACCTGTGTAAGTCTGTGTGTGTAGGTGTGTGCCTATTAGTGTGACTGTGACACTAGCTGACAGGAGCCCACGGCCACACCTTGAACCCGACAACCCCTGCCCTCAGTCTCTGCAAGGACCCATCCTCAGCATGCTCCCAAATTTTGGGTGTCACCTTCAGTATAATCCTCACATATTGGGGACTTCCCAAATACAGGGTCACCAGCTTCTCATGTAGCCAAAACCAAATAAATGCAAAATGAGTAAAAACAAACACAAAAATGAAACCAATGTGAAGAAAGGAAAACATAAAACCAAAGAATGGGTGGGAGAGAATTGCAAACTAAAACGAGGATTTTAAATGGAAAACATGGCCAGGTGGGCAGCTCATGCCTATAATCCCAGCACTTTGGGAGGCCGAGGCAGGCAGATCACTTGAGGTCAAGAGTTCGAGACCAGCCTGCCCAACATGGTGAAACCCCGTCTCTACTAATAATACAAAAATTAGCTTGCGTGTTGGCGCGCGCCTGTAGTTCCAGTTGGGCAGGAGGCTGAGGTGAGAGGATGGCTTGAGCCTGGGAGGCGGAGCTTGCAGTGAGCTGAGATCAGGCCACTGCACTCCAGCCTGGGCGACAGAGGCAGACTCCGTTTCTAAATACATACATAAATAAATAGAAAACATTTACGTTTGGATATATCCCACTTCCTCACCTAACTGTCCCCACTCTTGTTCAGGTTCTGGCCCCCTGGTGGAAGTCGGGCAGGCACCCTCCCGGGGCTGACACTGGGGAGCAACATGAAGTCAAATTTTCATCCCATTTCTCAGATGAGGAAACTGAGGCTCAGAGGTGGGGAAGAGCTCGAACCCCGGTCTGTCGGCCCCTCTGATTGCCACCCCCTTGTCCCTCGGGCGGGTTAGACCCGATGTCGCGCTGGTCCCTACAACACCATCCCCAGGGGCTGAATGCTCAAGCCCCTCCGGCGGTTCAAGCAGGGAGAGGAGCGCCCGAGACACGCGGCTAGGAGGGAGGAAGGAGAGTTCCACAGACAACAGGCGACGCGCTCGTGTTCCCCACCAGGGGGCGCTGCAGGACCGCTGGCTAAAGCGCCGGCTCAGAACGCCCTGGCCCGGTGGCTTGGCCTAGTGGTCCTTAGCCTGGCTTGTATGTTAGAATCACTTGGGAGTGCTTAAAGATCCCAATCTTCAGGCCACACCCCAAAACAGCGGAATCAGAGTCCCTGGGAGTGGAGCCAGGGCATCGGTATTTTGCAAATCTTCCCCTAAGTGATTCCAAAAGTGCAGCCAGATTGGGAACCACTGACTTATAGAGGTTTTCATGACAATGCTAAGAGAACGAGATCCCTATTTTCAGGTACATAAGTGAAGGCCCCAACAGGTAATTAACCAGCCGAAGGTTGTAAGTGACAGCAGGGGCTGGGGGTGGGGTGAGCCCAGGCAACAGCACTGCAAATATCCCTCCCACACCAAGCCCTGTCCCCATCTCTTGTATGCCCCTGCCCCATCCCCCAGCTCCCCACTTTAGAAGCAATAATGTCCCCACTCGTCCTCTCCCTGGGAAGGTAAAGGCTAATTTGGAGTCAAGACTCCAGTTTTCTGGGGCGATTTCATCAAAAATCCTGCTGTCTGGGCTGGGTGCGGTGGCTCATGCTTGTAATCCCAGCACTTTGGGAGGCCAAGGCGGGTGGATCACTTGAGGTCAGGAGTTTGAGATCAGCCTGACCAACATGGCGAAACCCTGTCTCTACTAAAAATAGAAAAATTAGTTGGGCGTGGTGGCATGTGCCTGTAATCCCAGCTACTTAGGAGGCTGAGTCAGGAGAATTGCTTGAACCCGAGAGGCAGAGGTTGCAGTAAGCCAAGATCACACCACTGCCCTCCAGCCTGGGTGACAGAGTGAGACTCCACCTCAAAAAATAAAATAAAATAAAATAAAAAAGAAAATCCTGTTGTCTGAAACCATAACCATGAATTTGGGAACTGAATTTAATCCTCCTTGAGTTAAAAATAATGAATATTGTTGCTGCCATCTCTGGATTACAAAAGTGCCCATCTCATAGCTGAGCCCTTGGCTGATGCTCTTGTGGCGTCCCAGGGGCAGAGATGGTTGTGTCCATTCCAGAGAAACACAGATTTAGACTCTTCAGGTCTTTTCTCTGCCAGCTGTTGCCACAGGGCACACTGTGGGGCATGGTATCCAAGACGATTGCTATCAGTTCTCCTGCCCTATGAGCCCACTACCTTTCCCATCAAGAGATGGGATCTCTTTCTCCTCAGCTTGAATCTGGGCTAGCCTTACGACTTGGTTGGACCAATAGAATTCAGCACAAATGATGTGATACAAGTTCCAGGTGTAGCCCTTAAGAGACATGGCAGGATTCACCGCCTCCCTGTTAGAAGCCAGCCGCCATTGTTTAAAACTTCAGCTGAATTAAATTTAAAGTTTAATTGAACAATGAACAATTTGTGAATTGGGCAGCCCCCAGAATCACAGCAGATTCAGAGAGACTCCAGGGATGCCTCCTGGTCAGAACAAATTTATAGATTAAAAAAAAAGGGAAGTGGCTGGGCGCAGTGGCTCACACCTGTAATCCCAGCACTTTGGAAGGCCAAGGCGGGTGGATCACGAGGTCAAGAGGTGGAGACCATCCTGGCCAACATGGTGAAACTCCATCTCTACTAAAAATAAAAAAATTAGCTGGGCGTGGTGGTGCATGCCTGTAGTCCCAGCTACTCAGGAGGCTGAGGCAGGAGAATCCTTGAACCTGGGAGGCGGAGGTTGCAGTGAGCTGAGATCGCGCCACTGCACTACAGCCTGGCGACAGTGCAAGACTCCATCGCCAAAACACACACACACACACACAAAAACGGGAAGTGACATACAAAAATCAGCAGTGAGGTACAGAAACAGCAGGATTGGTTACATGTTGGTGTTTGCCTTATTTGAACACAGTTTGAATTAGGTTTTCGATCTTGTCTGCCTATTAAGCTAGGTTATAGCTTGTCCACAAGGACTCAAAAATAGAAGTATAGAATCCTTCTCGGGCCATATTTAGTTTGCTTTAACACCATGTAAGAAGCCTGACCCCTGTGATCCTGCCATGGTATGAGGAAGCCCAAGTCAGCCATGTGGACAGGCTGTGTGAAGAAAGAGATGCCAGACAGTCCCCAGCCATTAGAATCATCCCATCCGAGGTGCCAGACATCTTAAGTGAAGGAACCATCTTGGACATCCCTACCCTAATGGAAGCCCATCAAGCAGAAGAACCAGCCAGCTGAACCCAGTCCTGATTGCAAAATCAAGAGAAAAAATATACTGCCACTGCTTTAACCCACAAAGTTTTGGGGGTGGCATGTTTTATTGCAATAGATAACATCCACACGAAAACTCAAAACCAACCCATGGCTCCCATCTCACCCACAGCAAAACGAAACGTTTTTATCAGAGCAGTAGGGCCCTGAATGCCTCCCATTCCTGCATTGTTCTTTTGACTCTCCAATGGGCCAAGCTCCCCTAAGTGCCTTAGTACTTACTGCACACTGTACCTTGTCTCCCCATGTCTTGCCCCTCAGTTCCTTCTGCTCTCTGCTCCTGTGTCACCTTCTCACTGAGATCCTCTTTGAGCACCCCTGCACCCACTTTACACCATGTTAATATTACCTTGGCACTTACACTTGACATGTTATGTAGTTTATTTCTTCAAATATATATATATATATATATACACATACATATATACGTGTGTATATATATATATACACGTATACACACACACACACACACACACACACACACATATATATATATAGAGAGAGAGAGAGAGACAGACAGAGCCCCGCTCTGTCCCCAGGGCTGGAGTGCAGTGGTGCAATCTTGGCTCACTGCAGCCTTGACCTCCTCGGCTCAAGCTATTCTCCCACCTCAGCCTCCTGAGTAGATGGGGCTACAGGTGTGTGCCACCAGGCCCAGCTAATTTTTGTATTGTTTAGTAGAGATGGGGTTTCACCATGTTGCCCAGGCTGGTTTTGAACTCCTGGGCTCAAGTGATCTGCCCACCTTGGCCTCGCAAAGTGCTGGGATTACAGGCATGAGTCACTGTGCCCAGCCACTATATATATATATATATATATATATATATATATATATATATATATATATATATATATATATATATATTTTATCACTTATCCATGTCACCTGTGACATCAGTTCCATGAGGGCAGGGATTTTTGTGTTTTGTTTGATGCTATGTCCCCAGTACCTAGAACATGGTTTGGCACACAGTAGATGCTCAATAAGCATTTTTCCCTGCAGTAACTGAACTTGGTCTCCTCTCCCTAATACTCAGATCCCCATGGTGCCAGCCCCCACCCTCTTGGTACCCAGTATCATCTTTTTTTTTTTTTTTTTTGAGACGGAGTCTTGCTCTGTAGCCCAGGGTGGAGAGCAGTGGCATGATCTCAGCTCACTGCAACCTCCGTCTCCCAGGTTCAAGCAATTCTCCTGCCTCAGCCTCCCAAGTTGCTGGGATTACAGGCTCCCACCACCATGCCTGGCTAATTTTTGTATTTTTAGTAGAGATGGGGTTTCACCATGTTGGCCAGGTTGGTCTCGAACTCCTGACCTCAGACGATCCAACTGCCTTGGCCTCCCAAAGTGCTGGGATTACAGGCGTGAGCCACCGTGCCCGGCCCAGTATCATCTTTTTAAACAATTTTACTACAGGCTGGGCGCTGTGGCTCATGCCTGTAATCCCAGCACTTTGGGAGGCCGAGGCGGGCGGATCACGAGGTCAGGAGATCGAGACCATCCTGGCTAATACGGTGAAACCCCGTCTCTACTAAAAATACAAAAAATTAGCTGGGCGTGGTGGTGGGCACCTGTAGTCCCAGCTACTTGGGAGGCTGAGGCAGGAGAATGGCGTGAACCCAGGAGGCGAACCTTGCAGTGAGCAGAGATCATGCCACTGCACTCCAGCCTAGGTGACAGAGCAAGACTCTATCTCAAAACAAACAAACAAACAAAAAACAATTTTACTACAGTCCTTCCAACACTTTATTACAAAAACTTTCAAACATAGAGCAAAGTTGAAAGATTTCACAACAAGCGCCCCTATCCCCACCTCCTAGATTCTACCATTGACATTTTATCATGCCTGCTGTATCACAGGTGTGGCTGTATCCCATATCCATCAAGCCATCTTTTCTTGTGCATTTCAAAATAAATTATAGATTATCTGTCCACTGCCCTCTTAATGCTTCATATCATTAACTAAGGTTTAATATTTGTTCTTTTGAGAGAAGAATGTAAAATACACACAATAAAATGCACAGATCTCAGGTATAAATTCACTGAGTTTTGACAAATACATACCCCTGAAAAACCAAATGCCTGTCAAAATACAGAACTCAGGCCAGGTACGGGGGCTCATGCCTGTAATCCCAGTACTTTGGGAGGCCGAGGCGGGAGGACTGCTTGAGTCCATGAGTTTGAGACTAGCTTGGGCAACATGGCAGAAGCCTGTCTCTACAAAAACATACAAAAATTAGCTGGGTGTGATGGTGTGCCTGTCATCCCAGCTACTCAGGAGGCTGAGGTGGGAGAATTGCTTGAGGCCGGGAGGCTGAGGTTGCAGTGTGAGCTGAGATCGCTCCACTGCACTCCAGCCTGGGTGACAGAGTGAGACTCCATCTCAAAAAAAAAAAAAAAATACCGAACACCCCATCATCCCAGAAAGTTCCTGCATGTTCCTTTCCAGCCAGTCCCCGAACTCCAGAGGCAAGCACTGCTCTGATTTTTTTCCACCATAGGTTATAGTTTTGCCTGTCCTAGAATGTCATACAAATGGAATCATAGAAAGATGTATGCTTTTAGCTAAGTGCGGTGGCTCACACCTGTAATCTTAGCACTTTGGGAGGCCGAGGCGGGTGGATCACCTGAAGTTGGGAGTTTGAGACCAGCCTGACCAACATGGAGAAACCCCGTCTCTACTAAAAATACAAAATTAGCCAGGCATGGAGGTGCATGCTTGCAATCCCAGCTACTCGGGAGGCTGAGGCAGCAGAATTACTTGAACCCAGGAGGCGGAGGTCGTGGTGAGTTGAGATTGTGCCATTGCACTCCCACCTGGGCAACAAGAGCAAAACTCCCATCTCAAAAAAAAAAAAGATGTACACTTTTGTGTCTTGCTTCTTTACTCATGAGGCTATCTTGAACTTAAACCAGGGTCTTTTTCCAAGGAAAAGCTTTTTCTGGCATTGTCCATCTCTTGACTAATTCCTTCCTTCTCAGGCCGGTGTCCCAAGGGTCCAGTCATGCAAACTATTTGAAAAACTAAAGACTTTTTTATGTGGTCCCCTGGGATACTCTGGTCTTTGGAGACCTCTTCATTCCTTGTCTTAAAGCAGACCCTGGTCAACTTGGGTCACTAGCTGTTTCCTCCCAGGAGTGGTGTTTTTTTTGTTTTGTTTTGTTTTGTTTTAACGGAGCTTCCCTCTTGTCATCCAGGCTGGAGTGCAGCAGTGGCACGATCTTGGCTCACTACAATCTCCACCTTCTGGGTTCAAGTGATTCTCCTGCCTCAGCCTCCTGAATAGCTGGGATTACAGGTGCCCGCGCCGTGCCCAGCTAATTTTTGTATTTTTACTAAGACGGGGTTTTACCATGTTTGCCAGGCTGGTCTCAAACTCCTGACCTCAAGTGATCCGCCCTCCTCGGCCTCCCAAAGTGCTGGGATTACAGGCGTGAGCCGCGGGGCCCCGCCCCAGGAGTGGGTTTTATCCCTTGGGACCTTGATTTTGTTTCTCACAACCCCTCCGGCCCCCCAGAGCCATTACTCGTCCTACAGCACCTCATGTGTCTCCTCCTTGGTGCATGTCACATCTTACTGAATGCTTGCTTTTATTGTTTTTCATTTGTGTGTGTGTGTGTGTGTGTGTGTGTGTGTGTGTGTGTGTGTTTTGAGACAGAGTCTCATTCTGTCGCTCAGGCTGGAGTGCAGTGGTGCGATCTCAGCTCACTGCAACCTCTACTTTCTGGGGTTTAAGTGATTCTTCTGCCGCAGCCCCCTGTGTAGCTGGGATTGCAGGCACCCACCATCATGCCCGGCTAACTTTTGCTTTTTTAGTAAAGATGGGGTTTCGCCATGTTGGCCAGGCTAGTCTCGAACTCCTGACCTCAGGTGATCCACCGGCCTCGGCCTCCCAAAGTGTTGGAATTACAGGCGTGAGCCACTGCGCCCAGCCCAGCTTTTTGTTTTCTTTTGCAAATAGTGGGTTAACATTTTTTAGCATTTTCTAAGGTGGAACATGATGAGGCTTGACTAAGGTTGAAATCCATATTTCATGGTCCGCTCTAGTGTGAATGGAATCACTGATACACTTCATCCTATATCTTGCTTCTCTGCAACAATAGAACATGGCCAGTTGCCAGGAAATACATTGGGACCCAGCTCACTGTTTTTCATCATCACATGAAAATCCACAGAAAGTCTGTGAAGTAATTTATTCACTCTTTTCATCATTATGAATTCGTAGTTATTAGTGGTTCATATCTGATCTCCCTATGATGTCAGCCAGGCCCTGGTCTGATGTAGTCACAGTCATATCCCACACGTGTGGGTTCTTTGTGTTTGCTAAATGATTAAATGAACAAATGAATGAATGAGTGCTGAGGAGGGATGGTGCTGCTGAAAGTCTGCCTAGTATCCCTGTTAGAATCAGAGGTTTGGAGCCAGACACGGTGGTTCACGCCTGTAATCCCAGCACTTTGGGAGGCCAAAGCGGGCAGATTATGAGGTCAAGAGATCGAGACCATCCTGGCCAACATGGTGAAACCCCGTCTCTACTAAAAATACAAAAGTTAGCTGGACGTGGTGGCAGGTGGCTGTAATCCCAGCTACTTGGGAGGCTGAGGCAGGAGAATCACTTGAACCCAGGAGGCGGAGGTTGCAGTGAGCCGAGATCACGCGACTGCGCTCCAGCCTGCTCACAGAGCAAGACTCCATCTCAAAAACAAACAAACAAACAAACAAAAGAATCAGAGGTTTGGAGTCACAGAGACCTGAGGTCAAATTGATGTCTCACCACTTCCCAGTTGTAAAAGACCTTCCACCCTGCGTGTGTGTGCACACACACACAGCCTCAGATTTCTCATCTGGGAAATAGAGATAATAATGGGGCTGGCTTTACATGACTGTGGTGAAGATTAAATGAAGCAATATATTAAAGGCTATTCTAGCCAATGTCTGGCATAAGATCATCCCTTGGCATGGTGTGTGTGATGTTATAATTCCTCCTTTCCTTTCTTCCTCCATCTGTTCAATACAAGATTTACTGAGCACCATGTTATACTATCCTCTTTGTATTATAGAAATGTTATTCACATTTAACAATATATTATTGGAGCAACAGAAAGAGCTAAAATACCTTTAGGAATTGCATTGGGCTCTGTTCAAAAAAGTCAACAATTAGCCGGGTGCGGTGGCTCACGCCTGTAATCCCAGCACTTTGGGAGGCCAAGGCGGGCGGATCACAGGTCAGGAGATCGAGACCATCCTGGCTAACACAGTGAAACCCTGTCTCTACTAAAAATACAAAAAATTAGCCGGGTGTGGTGGCGGGCGCCTGTAGTTCCAGCTACTCAGGAGGCTGAGGCAGGAGAACGGCGTGAACCCAGGAGGCAGAGCTTATAGTGAGCCGAGATAGTGCCACTGCACTCCAGCCTGTGCAACAGAGCGAGACTGTCTAAAAAAAAAAAAAAAGTCAACAGTTGTGGTGGTAAAAGCACAAACAGCAATGAGAAAATGGGAAAACACTATGAACAGGATATTTAAAGAAGGGGATTTCCAAATAAACTAAAAAAGAGATGTGCAAACTCATTTGTAGTTGGAGAACAATGAGCTACCACCTTATGCCCATGAGATGGGCAAATCCTAGAAGCCTGGACAATCTCCAGAGGTGGGAGTGGGCACTGGGGGCACAGGAATCCTCATATGTGAGCAAATAGGGACATTCATTGCACTGAGTGACTTGTAGGACTTGGTAGAGTTAGGAATACGCAGACCCTAGTCAGGCGCAGTGGCCCATGCTGTAATCCGGCACTTTGAGAGGCTTAGGAAGGAGAATTGCTTGAGCCCAGGAGTTCGAGACCAGCCCAGACAACATAGTGAGACCCTATCTCTACAAAAATTTTTTTAAAATAAGCAAGACGTGGTGGTGCATACCTGTAGTCTCAGCTACCCAGGAGGCTAAGGCAAGAGGATCACCTGAGTGCAGGAAGTCAAGGCTGTTGTGAGCCATGATGGCTACTGTCACTCGGTGACAAAAATAAATAAATAAATAAAGGAATATGCAGACCCAAGCAATTCTGCTCCTGGGACCTATGCCAAGGGCAGTCTCAGTGTCTCATTCTCATTCAACATCATAAGAAAATGTGTACAAGAACATTTATGGTAGAGTATTTGTGCTGTGTGTATGTGGGAGCAGGAGATGGATCTGGGTGTGCACTGGTTACTTTCGCTGTGTAACAAACCAACCCTCACTTAGTGTCATAAAGCAGCAACATCTCATTATGCCCATAGATTCCATGGGTCCATAGTTATGAAAGGGGATGGCTTCTTTTGGCCCCATAATGTGTGGGGCCACAGCTGGGATGACCCCAATGGCTAGGGTCTGGAATCATCTGGAAGCTTCATCACTCATATGTCCGGTGCCTGGTTTGAGATGATTTGAAGACTGGACTTAGTTGGAGCTGTTGACTTGAGCACCTACATGCAGAGCTCTCCATGTGAGTTGGGCTTCCTCACGGCATGGCAGCTAAGTTCCAAGCAGTAATTATTCCAGAAGAACCAGGCAAAAGCCTTTTATAACTAACCTTGGAAGTCACCTAGCATCCAGCTAACCTTGAAAGACACAGAGCAAGTGGATGTACACTAGCAGTTGAGGTAGTCACAAACTCACCCAGATTCAGCTTCAAGGAAAGAGGAGGTAGATCTCACCTCTCAGCAGAGTTAAAGAACTTGCAGCAATGTTTAACAACCATGCAGCCCCATTCAGCAGGTGAAATTACCAGCAAGATACAGAACTGGGATCAATCTTAGACACGTTACTGCTGAGTGCTAAAAAAAAAAAAAAAGAAAGAAAACCGCACACACACACACACACACACACACACACACACACACACACACACAAAAACCATGAGAAACAAAAAGAGATAGATCATGGAAAACAAGTTATGCAAATTTAGCCTAGATGCCCCCAAACAGCAATGCACATTTTGCAGGAACACATGAAAATAAAAGGACAGCCATCACAAAATGAAAAGTGAAAAGGAATGGGAGAGGGGGATGAAGATAAAATGGCATTTCTAAGACGTGGAGGCAGGCGGAGTTGACAGCTCCTTGGATGTAAACGTGTTGAAAGGCAGACCTGCCATTCGTCACCCTCCAGACACACGGGAGGTAAATTGATTTTGTGTTGAGGATGTGCTGATCTGGTTTCCCTGGCAACACTGCTCTGAGGCGAAAAGAGAGGAGCAGAAAGACAACGGAGGGGAGATGGGAGATGAGTCTGCAGTGCACCTAACTCCCATGATTCAACTGTAACTTGCTGGAGAAACACGCACACACACACATGCACACACACACGCACACACACATGCACACACACACGCACACACACACATGCACACACACACGCACGCACACACACGCCCGGCTGAAAAATATGGTTTTTCTGTTTTGGGCCCTAGGGAACATTGTGTTATATTCTCGAGTATGTATATTCTCCAACGATTTGGTCTCAGGACCTCTCAAATTATTAAGAATTATCAAGGACCCTAAAGAGCGTTTGTTTATGTGGGTTATATGTGTCGATATTTACTCTATTAGGAATCTCTCCTGATAAATTAAAAGAATATGGTATTTGTTAACCCTTTCAAAAATAGTG
Organism: Homo sapiens; assembly: GCF_000001405.40. Lineage (NCBI taxonomy): Eukaryota > Metazoa > Chordata > Mammalia > Primates > Hominidae > Homo > Homo sapiens. The sequence continues at coordinate 46,503,753 of NC_000019.10, read as the reverse complement.
AGCCATGATTGAGCCATTGCACCCCACCTGGGTGACAGAGTAAGACCCTGTCTCAAAAAAAAAAAAAAAAAAAAAACGAGAGAGAGAGAAAAGAATAGACCCTGAGCCCCAGGCCCCGTGCACGTAAGATCTAACGGTGACCAGCCAAGTAGGGCCATCTGGAGCCTGAAAATCTCCTGCCTAGTAACAAACATGTTACACACTCATGTAGATAACATATATAAATAGGTTTTTTTTTTTTGAGACAGGGTCTCACTCTGTTTCCCAGGCTGAAGTGCGGTGGCACAATCATGGTTCACTGCAGCCTCAAACCTCCCAGGTTCAAGCAATTCTCCTACCTCAGCCTCCCCAGTAGCTGGTATTACAGGCATGGGCCACCACAACTGACTAATTTTTCTCGTATTTTTTGTAGAGATGGGGTCTCCTTATGTTGTCCAGGCTGGTCTCGAACTCCTGGGCTCAGGCAATCCTCCTGTCTTGGTCTCCCAAAGTACTGGGATAACAGGTATGAGCCACCTTGCCTAGCCCTAAAAATAGATATATTTCCCAAAACAAAACAAAGTTAGTGAGAAGAGTGGCACTGTAGTATTTTGGTGTTTTTCAACTCACTTTGATATCTGGCTCAACAATCCTTGACCTGCCTCCTGGTTCAGTCAGCTGCAATACGGCACGGCATGTAGCCTCTGGAAAATTCCACTGAACACTGGTAAGAGAGTAAGAGTGAAAAGACAAATAATGGTTTAGTATTATGAAAATGGTTTTTATCTGATGGATGCCCTGGAATGTCCTTGCAACCCGTAGAGGTCCCCAGACCACACTTTGAGAACCCTTGCTCTGGCCGGGGGCGGTGGCTCACACCTGTAATCCCAGCACTTTGGGAGGCTGAGGCGGGCGGATCACGAGGTCAGGAGATTGAGATCATCCTGGCTAACACGGTGAAACCCCGTCTCTACTAAAAAAATTAAAAAATTAGCCGGATGTGGTGGCAGGCACCTGTAGTCCCAGCTACTTGGGAGGCTGAGGGAGGAGAATGGCGTGAACCCGGGAGGCGGAGCTTGCAGTGAGCTGAGATTGCGCCACTGCACTCCAGCCTGGGCAACAGAGTGAGACTCCGTCTCGAAAAAAAAAAAACGAAAACAAAGAAAGAGAACCCTTGCTCCAATAGCGCCATTTCCAGTTAAGCAGATTCACTTGTATTTTTCTCGAACACAAAATGAGGGGGAGAAGAATTTCGAACAATTTTTTCAAGCGATCCTCCCACCTCAGTCTCCTGAGTTGCTGGGACTCCAAGTGCATGCCATCAGGCCCAGCTAATTTTTGTATTTTTAGTAGAGACGGGGTTTCACCATGTTGTCCAGGCTGGTCTTGAACTCCTGGCCTCATGTGATCCACCCGCCTCGGTCTCCCAAAGTGCTGGGATTACAGGCGTGAGCCACCACGCCCGGCCTTGAACGCTTTACGCCCTTTCTTCCAGCTGTTTCCATTGGAACCTTACAGGCAGTGGCTTGGTCAGTCATAGGCTCATCTCTGCCTAAGAAGAGATCATGATTCCAGGGGAAATGCCCAGGGCGGGACTGGGCAGGACATGTTGGGGATCCTGATGTCCCTGCCTGGCTGGTCCCTGTAAGATCTTCTGTGCACAGGGCTTGGGGTTCATAGTCTATCCTTTTTTTTTTTTTTCTTTTTTTTTGAGACAGGGTCTTACTCTGTCATCCAGGCTGGAGTGCAGTGGCTCAGTCATGGCTCACTGCAGCCTCGACCTGGCAGGCCCAAGCAATCCTCCCACCTCAGCCTCCTGAGTAGCTGGGATTACAGGCACCTGCCAACATGACCAGCTAATTTTTCTTTTCTTTTTTTTTTTTTCAGACGGGAGTCTCACTCTGTTGCCCAGGCTGGAGTGCAGTGGCGCAATCTCGGCTCACTGCAAGCTCTGCCTCCCGGGTTCACACCATTCTCCTGCCTCAGCCTCCCAAGTGGCTGGGACTACAGGTGCCCACCACCACACCTGGCTAATTTTGCGTATTTTTAGTAGAGACGGGGTTTCACTGTGTTAGCCAGGATGGTCTTGATCTCCTGACCTCATGATCCACCCACTTCAGCCTCCCAAAGTGCTGGGATTACAGGCATGAGCCACCATGCCTGGCCATGACCAGCTAATTTTGGTATTTTTGGTAGAGATGGGGTTTCACCATGTTGGGCAGGCTGGTCTTGAACTCCTGGCCTCAAGTGATCTGCCTGCCTTAACCTCCCAAAGTGCTGGGATTACAGGTGTGAGCCACCACACACAGCCCAACATATGAATTTTATTTTATTTTATTTTATTTTATTTTATTTTATTTTATTTTATTTATTTATTTAGAGACAGTCATGCCTGTCACCCAGGCTGGAGTTCAGTGGTACAATCTCAGCTCACTGCAACCTCCGCCTTCCAGGTTCAAGCGGTTCTCCTGCCTCAGCCTCCTGAATAGCTGGGATTCCAGCCACTCACCATCACACCTGGCTAATTTTTGTATTTTTAGTAGAGATGGGGTTTCGCCATGTTGGCCAGGCTGGTCTCGAACTCCTGACCACAAGCAATCCACCTGCCTCAGCCTCCCAGAATGATGGGATTACACGCGTGAGCCACCACACCCAGGCTCCAACATATGAATTTTAAAGAGACATAATTCAGCCTCTGTACCTTTGGGTCCTCTTATAAACCAGACGCTCTCCTGGGGAGTCCCCTCTGCATTCCAGCGTGCCACCTCATCCTGTCCCACGGTGAGAATGAAATCTTTGTCCCAGTAACACTCAGGGCCAGGCACTGTTCCAACACACACACACACACACACACACACACACACACACACACACACATCCCGCTTAAATCCTCACAACCTCACGATAAACTGGGGCCACAGAGCCATGAAGAGACAAAGTGACTTGCTTGGTTATTGGGCAAATGTAAAAGACTAACCCGGATGGCACTTTGATCTTGGACTTCCAGACTCTGGAACTGGGAGAAAATAGATTTCTGTTATCTAAGCCATCCAGCCTGTGACACTGTTGAAAAATCAGTCTACAATGATCTGGGTCCAGAACCTAACTCCATTTTAGCACTTACAGCGGCTTTGTGGGAAGTAGGAAAGACTCTTGCTCTGCGTTGACCATTGCTAAAAGCATCCCTTCAGCCCCTCAAATGACTCAACATAGAGTTACCATGTGCCCCGGGATTCCTCTCCTAAAAGTGTCTGCCCAAGAGAAATGAAAACATATGTCTACATAGAAATTTGCACACAGCATATCCATCATGCTCCTATGTTCCTAGCATATTCATGATAGCCCAAAAGTGCAAACAACCCAAATGTCCATCAACTGATGAATGGATAAAGAAAATTTGATTTATCCATTCCATGGAACATTGCTCAGCCATAAAAAGAATGGAGGCTGGGTGCAGTGGCTCACACCTGAAATCCCAGCACTTTAGGAGACCGAGATGGGCAGATGGGCAGGCAAACTCCTGAGGTCAGGAGTTTGAGACCAGCCTGGCCAACATGGTGAAACCCTGTCTGTACTAAAAATACAAAAATAACTGGGTGTGGCGGTGGGTGCCTGTAATCCCAGCTACTCGGGAGGCTGAGGCAGGTGAACTCGGAGAACTCCTTGAACTCGGGAGGCAGAGGTTGCAGTGAGCTGAGATTGTGCCACTGCACCCCAGCCTGGGTGACAGAGCGAGACTCTGTCTCTAAATAAATGGAACAGAGTATTGGATGACACTTGCCACACAACACTGAACAAATGATGCTGAGTGAAAGAAGCCAGACACAAAGGAACAACATATTGTATGACTCCATTCATATGAAATGTCCAGAATGGGGAAGTCCGTAGAGACAGAAAGCAGATTAGTGGTTGCCGGGGGCTGGGGGGAGATTAGAGGGTTGGAGGGTGATGGCTAAGCAGTGTGGGATTTCTTTTTGAGGTGATGAAAATGTTTTAAAATCAATCGTGGTGTTGGTCACACAACTCTGAATGAACTAACAGCCATTGAGTTGTGCACTTTAAATGGGTGGGTTATATGGTATATGAATCTTCATTTTTACAAGAATTTCACCTGTGGTTATCCACAACGACTTAGAAAAGTGTCAGCTTCATCGGGCATGATGGCTCACGCCTGCAATCCCTGCATTTTGGGAGGCCAAGGAAGGAGGATCACTTGAGCCCAGGAGTTTGAGACCAGCCTGGGCAACATAACAAGACCCCATCTCTACAAAAAATAAAATTAGCCAGGCGTGGTGGTGTGCTGCAGTTCCAGCTACTCTGGAGGCTGAGGTGGGAGAGGTGCTTGAAGCCAGGAGTTCAAGACTGCAGTGAGCCATGGTCATGCCACTGCACTCTAGCCTGGGAGACAGCAAGACTCTGACTCTAAAATACACACACACACACACACACACACACACACAAAGTGCAAGCTTCCTGTTTCTCTTTTTGTTGTGTTTTCCAATCTTGCAGTTATAAATAACAGTTGTGCTGAGTGTATTCACACACACACACACTCTCTCTCTCTCTCTCTCTCCCCCTAATTAATTCTTGCAAACAAATTCCCAATGGCCCTGTGTGGCTGCTGAGCCCTTGAAATACGGCTACTCCAAAGGGACTCATTATGAAAAGAGAGTGTCTGATAGCTCATAAATAATTGTTTTACATTGACAACTTGTGCAAATGACAACACTTTGTATATTTCGGGATAAATAATATATATTCTTTATTTTCTTTTTCTTTTTCCTTTTCCTTTTTTTTTTTTTTTTTTTTTTTTTTTTTTTTTTTTTTTTTGAGACAGGGTCATTCTCTTGCCCAAGCTGGAGTGCAGTGTAGCATGATCATCTCTCACTTCAGCCTTGATCTCCTGGGCTGAAGCAATCCTCCTACCTCAGCTTCCTGAGTATCAGGGACTACAGATGTGTGTCACTAAGCCTGGCTAACTTTTGTATTTTTTGTAGAGACGAGGTTTTGCCATGTTGGCCAGGCCGGTCTCAAACTCCTGGGCTCAAGTGATCTGCCTGCCTCGGCCTCCCAAAGTGCTGGGATTACAGGCGTGAGCCACTGCGCCTGGCCAAAATCTATTCTTAAAATTCATTTTTCTTCCCTCTTTTCTATTTATTGAAGGTGGCCCCCTAGGAAATTTTGTATTTTTTGTAGAGATAGGTTTTCACCATGTTGCCCGGGCTGGTCTCGAACTCCTAACCTCAAGTGATCTGCCCGCCTCAGCCTCTGAAAGTGCTGGGATTACAGGATTACATGGTGAGTCACCATATTTCTTCTTTTTTTAGATCAATAGATGCAGAAAAAGCAGCTCGTTTTTTGTTTTGTTTTGGTTTGGTTTGGTTTGGTTTGGTTTGGTTTTTTTGAGACAGCGTCTTGCTCTGTCTCCCAGGCTGGAGTGCAGTGGCGCAATCTCGGCTCAATGCAACAACCTCTGCCTCCCAGGTTCATGTGATTCTCCTGCCTCAGCCTCCAAGTAGCTGGGATTACAGGCGTGCGCTACCATGCCCAGCCTAGATTGGAGATTCAAATGTCAAAAATGACACTTTGTAATCCCAGCACTTTGGGAGGCTGAGGTGGGTGGACCACCTGAGGTCAGTGTTGGCTGGCTGCAACTAGGAGTTTTAACATTGCACGTGCGGTTCGAATTTGGGGCTGGCATTCTATTCCTGCTGGACAACGCTGCTCTGGAGAAAAGAGTCACATCACATCCATCTGTGGATCAGGAAGATCAGAGGAGGAAAAAGTGGGGGAAAATAGGAGTGAGTAAGCGGTTTGCCCAGTTGCTGTGGTAACCTTGCAGTTAAACTCTCCTTAAACATAAAAAAATCCAAACACAAAAGTAAGGGGTTGGGCCTGGTGGCAAAAACAAAAAACTCGAGGTGTTTTGGTTTCCTATTTATTTGTTTATTAACAGATGCTTTGGGCTGAGCACGGTGGCTCGTGCCTGTAATCCCAGCACTTTGGGAGGCCGACGCCGGCAGATCACCCGAGGTCAGGAGTTCCAGACCAGCCTGGCCAACATGGTGAAAATCCATCTACTAAAAATACAAAACTAGGCCGGGCACGGTGGCTCACACCTGTAATCCCAGCACTTTGGGAGGCCGAGGCGGGCGGATCACGAGGTTGGGAGTTTGAGACAAGGTTGCCCAACATAGTGAAACCCCGTCTCTACTAAAAATACAAAAAATTAGCTGGGCGTGGTGGCGGGCACCTGTAATCTCAGCTACTTGGGAGGCTGAGGCTGGAGAATGGTTTGAAGCCGGGAGGCGGAGGTTGCAGTGAACCAAGATCACGCCACTGCCCTCCAGCCTGAGTGACAGTGCGAGACTCTCTCTCAAACAAACAAACAAACAAAAAACTAGTCAGGCATGGTGGTGCATGCCTGTAGTCCCAGTTACTCGGGAGGCTGAGGCAGGAGAATGGCTTTAACCCGGGTGGTGGAGGTTGCAGTGAGCCGAGATTGCTCCATTGCACTCCAGCCTGGGCGACAGAGCAAGACTCCATCTCAAAAACAAACCAACAAAACAGATGCTTTTATAATGGTAAGTTCTCAACAAATACTTCTCTTAGCCATCTTTCATGGAGCACCAGCTGTGGGCCAGCTGCTCTTCTAAATGCTTTCCTGGATTATTCCCTTTAATCCTCATGAGAACCCTTTGAGGCCAGGCATGGTGGCTCACCATGTAATCCTGTAATCCCAGCACTTTCAGAGGCTGAGGCGGGCAGATCACTTGAGGTTAGGAGTTTGAGACCAGCCTGGGTAACATGGTAAAAACCCATCTCTACAAAAAATACAAAAACTTGCCAGACGTGATGGTGTATGCCTATAATCCCAGCTACTTGGGAGGCCTGTCATCCTTGCTACTCAGGAGGCTGAGGCAGGAGAACCGCTTGAACATGGGAGGCGGAAGTTGCAGTGAACCAAGATTGTGCCATTGCACTCCAGCCTGAGTGACAGAGCAAGACTCCATCTCCAAAACAAACAACAACAAAAAAACAAAACCCTTTGAGGTAGGGATGATGGTTGAGATATAAACCTACCAGCTGGTCTACAGAGCCAGATTCATATAGAGTAGGGGACAGCCTCATGGCCAACAAGGGACAGAGAAGCAAATGCATGTTTACAGTAGCTATGACTGACGTTCACACGCCCCAGTCTGCTGTCCCAGTCAAGGGAAATGCTTTCTTGCAAAATTCATGCCTGGTCTCACAATCATACATATGCTCAAAGCGTGTGCAAAACCACAGGATTTATTGTGCATGCATAGTTCAGAATACAGGAACGTGTATGGGAGTGAGGGCCGGTCCCATCGAGTGGGGCCTGTACCCTGCAAGTGAGGCCCATATACCCTGAATGGTGTCTTGCTCACAGGTGGTGCCTGGGCCCCCCTATTTGATACTGAGACCCATATACTGTGAATGAGGCCAGTATCCCGAGTAAGTCCTGGTCCTACGCTGCAAGGCCAGTGCCCTTTGATTTAGGCCTATATAATCCTGAATTCCACCTGGCCCCTGGAAGGGGGAATTGTAACCCCCAGTGATGCCGGTACCCTCTGGAAGGAGGCCTCTATCCCCTGAATGAGGTCGGGTATCCTTGAGTGATTTCTGGCCCTCTGTGGTTTCGGCCTTGTTTTTTGCTGGTTAATGAAAGTGGTGCTTCCAGGCCCCAAGTCCTTGTCATCGGGACCTTTAAGAAAAGCGTCTCAGGCCACAGCGACGCAGACCCCAGCTCAAGGCTGCACCGTTGCCATGGAGACGGTTGGGCGGGGGACAGGGGAGGGTGTGCGGCTCCCTCTGCGCAGGCGCACGCGCGAGCAGCCGCGTCGCAGCGGAACTGCTGAGATTCAGGCCCAGGGTGCGCGCTCAGACGCGGCGCGAGCGCCAGGCAAGCTGCGGCTGCTACCTCCCACGCCTCTCCAGGTGCACTCGGCGCCGCCCCCCTGCACCTGGCTGCGGTGCCGAGTCACTCAGGCCTGTGTCAGGGAGAGAGGGAGGGAGCTGTCCTGGAAAGCAGACACGTAAGCCCCCCGCGGATCCTCAGACAGCTCTGGAGAGGGGTCCCGGGGGAAGGTCACTGCGTCCAGCCGGCCAGCAGGCAGCTAGAGCCCCCGAGCCCCGAGCCCCACTCCAGCCTTGCCACATTCACCGGAACCGGGACTCTAAGCCCTGCAAGTGGCTTTCTAGGGTTGCATTGACACCGTGCGCTGCAGCCCACCCCTATCTCGGGCTCCCTGCTGCCCCAAGATCAGCGCCAAGGGGGCTGCACCATGGCCATGAGCCTTTTGCAGGACTGGTGCCGGAGCCTGGACGTGGACGCGCACAGGGCCCTGCTGGTCACCGGCATCCCGGAGGGCCTGGAGCAGGCAGACGTCGAAGCCGTCCTGCAGCCGACCCTCCTGCCCCTGGGCACGTTCAGGTTGCGACACATGAAGGCTTTGATGAACGAGAAGGCCCAGGCCGCCCTGGTGGAGTTTGTGGAGGACGTCAATCACGCTGCCATTCCCAGGGAGATCCCAGGCAAGGATGGGGTCTGGAGGGTTCTGTGGAAGGACCGTGCGCAGGACACGAGGGTCCTGAGGCAGATGAGACGCCTGCTGCTGGATGACGGGCCCACGCAGGCCGCGGAGGCTGGGACCCCCGGGGAGGCACCCACCCCTCCCGCTTCGGAGACGCAGGCCCAGGATTCTGGGGAGGTAACAGGGCAGGCTGGCTCGCTTCTTGGGGCAGCCAGGAACCCAAGGAGGGGCCGTCGGGGTCGCAGAAACAGAACCAGACGCAACAGGTTGACCCAGAAGGGCAAGAAGAGAAGCCGAGGAGGACGGCCGTCTGCTCCCGCGAGGAGTGAGGCCGAGGACTCTTCCGACGAGAGCCTGGGCATCGTGATCGAGGAGATCGACCAGGGCGACCTGAGCGGAGAAGAGGACCAGAGCGCGCTGTACGCCACGCTGCAGGCCGCTGCCAGGGAGCTGGTTAGGCAGTGGGCGCCCTGCAACTCCGAGGGGGAAGAAGACGGTCCCCGCGAGTTCTTGGCTCTGGTCACCGTCACCGACAAATCGAAGAAAGAAGAGGCAGAGAAGGAGCCAGCTGGGGCCGAATCCATCCGCTTGAACACCAAAGAAGACAAAAATGGTGTCCCCGACTTAGTGGCCCTGCTGGCTGTGAGAGACACCCCGGACGAGGAGCCGGTGGACAGCGACACTTCGGAGAGCGACTCGCAGGAAAGTGGGGACCAAGAAACAGAGGAGTTGGATAATCCTGAGTTCGTGGCCATTGTGGCCTATACCGACCCGTCGGACCCCTGGGCCCGGGAGGAGATGTTGAAAATCGCTTCTGTTATCGAGTCGCTGGGCTGGAGCGACGAGAAAGACAAGCGAGACCCCCTCCGACAGGTCTTGTCCGTCATGTCCAAGGACACTAACGGGACCCGCGTGAAGGTGGAAGAGGCGGGCCGCGAGGTGGACGCCGTGGTCCTGCGCAAGGCCGGGGATGACGGGGACCTCCGGGAGTGCATTTCCACCTTGGCGCAGCCGGATCTCCCTCCCCAGGCGAAGAAGGCTGGGCGTGGCCTCTTCGGGGGCTGGAGCGAGCACCGTGAGGACGAAGGGGGTCTTCTGGAGCTGGTGGCGCTCCTGGCTGCCCAGGACATGGCGGAGGTGATGAAGGAGGAAAAAGAAAACGCCTGGGAAGGCGGGAAGTACAAATACCCCAAAGGCAAACTGGGGGAGGTATTGGCGCTCCTGGCCGCCCGGGAGAACATGGGGTCCAACGAGGGGTCGGAGGAGGCTTCGGACGAACAGTCCGAGGAGGAGTCGGAGGACACCGAGAGCGAGGCGTCGGAGCCGGAGGACAGGGCATCCAGGAAGCCCCGGGCCAAGAGGGCGCGCACGGCCCCCAGGGGCCTGACTCCGGCCGGCGCGCCTCCCACCGCTTCCGGGGCCCGCAAAACCCGCGCGGGCGGCCGAGGCCGAGGCCGGGGCGTCACTCCCGAGAAGAAAGCCGGGAGCCGGGGCTCGGCCCAGGACGACGCCGCAGGAAGCAGGAAGAAGAAGGGGAGCGCGGGCGCCGGGGCCCATGCCAGGGCAGGCGAGGCCAAGGGCCAGGCGCCCACTGGATCCAAGGCCGCGCGCGGGAAGAAGGCCCGTCGGGGCCGGAGGCTGCCCCCTAAATGCCGCTAGTGGCCCCCCAAGAAGCCGCCCAGGCTGCGAGCAGGCCCCGCAGGGCACCCGCCCGCCTGTGGCCCCCGCCCTCCCCTCCCCTCTTCCTGTCCTCCGCAGACGCAATCTCCTCGCTTCACAGCGCGCCCGGGCCGCGTTTTGCCAGCGTCACGTTCCCCTCTCGGGCCCTCGCAGGCCGGGGGCGCCAGCGATCCCGACGGAGGAAGCCCGGATGGGAGGAGGAAAGAGAAGTGGGCGCCCGAGGCAGCAGCGCAGGGCCGAGATGGGGACGCGCCAAGTGGACCAGGATTGGGGGCCCGGGTTGCCCCCGGAGGGGGTGTGTGTGTGGACGCCGGGCACCTGCAGAGGCGAGCAGGGCTCTTCGTGGCGCTCTCGGGGCCTGCGCCTGGCAGGTGCTGTAGGCCGCTGTCGCCCCTACCCCAGTCTGACTGGGCCCTGGGTCTGTGGTGGAGGCTCAGTCACCAGCCGCGCAGCGCGTGTCAGGGCGCAACTCTCAGCCAGGGGAGGCCCCAGCTCCCAGCCAGGGGAAGAGATGATTCCAGAAAGGAAAGTCTGAGAGATAGAAGGCGGTTGGGAAGGGGAGGAGGAGGAAAGGGGAGAGGAACGGTGGGAGAAGGGAAAGAGGAGGAGGAGGGGGAGGGGGGAGCAGAGGGAAGACACATGCCAGCCCTGCCTACTGGGGCGCCCCTGATAACAAAGGAACCAGCCCCAGGCCAAGGCCACCTGCCCCTGACCACAAGTTGAATTTGTCACTCAGACTGCAGTGTTTCCCAACATTCTAATTATTTGCAGAGGTGTTCAATTTGGGGTAATTCACTTAAAATCCAGTTTTGGTTCTTCTGGGCTGAGTGGGCCCTGGCCCCTCCCATAGGCTGTGGCTCCCCTGGGTGCCCCCTCTCCAGTGGAGCTGACCCACCGCTCAGCGCTGGCCTTGCAGCCCTTACTAAAAGACTTGAAAGTCCCTGGGTTCACCCCCTGAGTGAATTAAAGGCCAGAGGGGCCCCGAAGGGCACTGTGAGGGACAGAGGCTCACCTGGGCAGTGCAGAAGCCGGCCGCGTGTCCCTCCTTACAGGGGATGAAATGACCTGGGGAGGAAACCCCAGCCCTGCCCTGGAGGTTCCAGAGTAGGCGGGCCGGTGCTGTGAGGCTTCACAACCTGCTGTCCCAAGCACGCTTGAGTTGTATGTGAGTCTGTGCCGTGCCGTGCCGTATGCTTCAGCTCCTGCAACCCCGGCTGAGCTCGATTTTTACCTAAATATCAGTCTCCACGGGACCCCACCTTCATTCATGCCTTCTTGTCCCTGGGGCAATGTGTGTGCTTCCTCGTCCCAATTTCCATTCCCTGGCAGTGAGGAGCCCATCGTGCCAGGGGGCCCTGCCCCACTTGTCCCTGGGAAGGAATAGGAGGGTTTGGGTGTGACCTCACAGTCCAGACCAGACTGTCCCAGTCCTATGTCAGGGACACCCAGATGTAGAAGCTGACTGAGACCTGCTGCAGGGCGTGGGTGCTCCCCTCTGCTTGGAGGCTGTCCCTGGACAGTGACCCACCCACTGAGGACCAGGCTGGGTGTACCTTGAGCTGGGCACAGCAGCCTGTGGTGTTGCCTGTGGGTGGGGAGGGCCCCAGGTGTGCTTCTCCCGTAGCAGTCCTAGGCTTCTCTCCCTGTGCCCTGTGTCACCTGGATCCTCCAGTAAAGTGAAATTCAGCACTGTACTCTCTCTGTGCTCTGGGCAGTGGGGCAGGCGGGGTGTGGGAGCGTGGGCCACAGATGTCCACGGTCTTGACTGTGGTTTGCCCAGAATACCTGGGAACTGTCCTGTCACTGGTTTACATACACTGTCCTTTGCTGCTTCGGGATCCCTGCCTGGCTCTCCCTACCCCCCAGCATCATCTCACCCCTTGCAGATCTGAGCCAGCTTCCACTCCCACCCCTGATGCCTCCCCACTTCCAGCCTCAGCTCCGAAGCCCCTGGACACCCATGGAGACCCCGCCCAGCCAATCCCCACCCTAGCTTCCACCCAGATACACTCTGCCAGGCCACAGCTGCAGGCACTCTCCCCCCAGCCTCCACCCCTCACCTGTGCCCTGGACCTCAGACTCAGCTTTCCATCCTACCTGAGTTTTCTGCCTCCCTCCATCCTGTGTCCCCCCACCATACATGGCTGCCAGAGACGTCCTCTTAGAAGTCACACCTGGGGTCTGATTGCGTCCCTCGCCTCCCCAGATCCCCCAAGGTCTCCTTCCTGTGCCGTCATATCTGCAGTTCTTAGGACTGTCTAGACATGCTTTGTTCAACTAGGTAATCACACGGGGTAAATTGGATTTAAATGTAATTAAGATTAAATAAAAATACACATGCATGTCCTCAGTCTTCCCAGCCACGTCACAAGTGCTCAAGAGCCACACGTGGCCAGTGGCTACCGCATTGCACGGTGCTGGTGCAGGACATGGCCATCGCATGCAGCTCTCCCTCGCAGCTCAGGTCTACACACTCCACCCCCATCTCACCCTCTGCCTTGTTTCCCACTGCCCTCTCTGTGTCTCCTGTGGCTTCAGCCACCCAGGTCTCTGGGACACACCAGGCATATTCCTGCCTCATGGCCTTTGCACTGCTCTTCCTGCAGCCTGGAGTGCCCTTCCTTGGGCTATAGGCGTGGCTCCAACCTTCATGTCACTCAGACCTTTCTTCAAATGCCACATTCCTAGGGAGGGCTTCCCTGACCACCTATAAAAATGTAACTCTTTGTGGCCGGCCAGGCACGGTGGCTCATGCCTGTAATCCCAGCACTTTGGGAGGCCGAGGAGGGTGGATCACGAGGGCAGGAGTTCAAGACCAGCCTGGCCAAGACGGTGAAACCCCGTCTCTACTAAAAATATAAAAATTAGTCTGGTGTGGTGGTGCACACCTGTAATCCCAGCTACTTGGGAGGCTGAGGCAGAAGAATCGCTTGAACCTGGGAGGCAGAGGTTGCAGTGAGCTGAGATCGTGCCACTGCACTCCAGCCTGGGTGACAGAGCAAGACTCCGTCTCAAAAAAAAAAAAAAAAAAGGAACCCTTTCTGCACTTCCTCCCTTTATTTTTCAGAGCTATGACTGCCCCCTGGCACACCGACTGTACTTGTCAGGGAGGTTAATAGAGGAAATTGGTGACTGGGGTATTGCAATCAGGAAGTGCAAAAACAGGGAGATCGTTTTGTCCCAATATTAGCAATGCAGGGAGCTGCTCCCTCCCGAGGGCTGGAGGAGCCACTTGGGAAAGGCTGGTGATCAGAGCCCTAGTGTAGGACTGCCAAGTTCCACGCACGGGGCCGGCTTGCTTGAGGAGAGACCCGGGAGCCCCTGGTTCACCGCAGTGACCGCCAGCTGCTGCTGCCACCACGGCCTGAGCATTCCCCCAAATGGCGTCCCTTTCCTCCTGCTTTCAAACTCCCCCCAGCGCCCCGTGGGCTTGCAGCAGCAGCAGCCCCTGCAGAGGGCCCTGAGCGGTGGCTGTGGGGACCTATGCGGCATGGGGGCAGGTGGGCGTGGCGGGGAGAGGCGCGGCAGAGCGGCTTAGGGCCAGCTCCGTAGGGAAAAAGTGTGGCTTGGCCTTTCCCCTTCGTGTCCCCAGCCCCAACACCGTGCCTGGCACGCGGCGGCGGCTGTTATTTGTTGAATGACTGACGGTCGGAATGAACCACGCGGACTGGGTGAGTCAGATCCCAGATAGGCCTGGTGGGGAATGTGCTGGAAAGAAACATTGTTTTCATTCCCTCATTCCTGGAGGGAGTGCTCCGGCGGGGATGGGGAGGAGTGTTTGGGGTCGAAGGAGCAGCCGCGTAAAGGCCTTGAGATCCTGCAGGGAAGGGTCCCGGTGCACAGAGACCAGCACAGGCTGCAGCAGCCGGGTCTGTCCCGCGCGTGGAGCCTCTGGCGACGGGTGGAGCGGAGCGCGGTTGCCCCCTCCTGGGAGAGAAGGCGACTGTCTGGGAGGAGCCCTCAGCGCCATCCGCGCAGTCCATGAGATTTATCCAGGGCTGGCGCGTCCCAGGCCCTGTTCTTGGTGCAGGAAACAGGACCCTCCCGCAGGGAGCATGCGGTGGGGAGGCTGGGGTTACGCTCCCTAGATGAGGACGAAATCCATGCATTAGGGGGTGAGACCTGCTGGGGGACAAAAGTCCGGCAAGCAGGGGGCCCGAGGAGGGCCGGGGCAGGAGAGGGTTTGCAGTCGTCATAAACGGGCCTGGGAAAGTGGCCTGGGAAGCCCTCACTGAGAAGGTGACAAGTGTAGTGGCGCGATCACGGCTCACTGCAGCCTCGAATTCCTGGGCTCAAGCGATCCTCCCACCACTTCAGCCTCCCTCTAGAGTAGCTGGGACCACAGGCACGCGCCACCAAGCCTAGCTACTTTTTGCATTTTTTGTAGAGACGGGGTCTCTGAATGTTGCAAAGACCCGAAGGACGTGCGGCCGGCGGTTGCCTGGGGGAAGTCCATGACCGGGGTGTAGGAAGAGCCAGGGCAAAAGCTTCCCAAGCCAAGGGTATGACTGTAGGGGGTTATTAGCGTGTAATTACTGCCCCTCCCATGCCAGGCTAAGTGCTGGTGGAGTGGAGGCAGTGACGCCAAAGAAGGCCGCCTGCCTCCATGGTGGTCGCTGTCTGGCTGGATTTTCACCTGAGGCAGCAAATGAGCATGAAGAGGTCCCTGGAGTAGGGCGTGCAGACTGGCAGGGCCTCAGGGCCTCGTTAAGCGCTGGGGAGCCATGGGAGGGATTTGAACAGGAGAGGGAGAGGTTTATGCTTTAGGTCTGTCGTGTGCAGGGTGCAAGGCTGGAGCAGGAGGAGGCTGGGGCGGGAACCTAGGGGACAGGCCTAAGGCTGGACCGGCGCAGGGTGGTGGGGATGGCAGGAAGTGGTTGAAGAGTTTTCAGGAGCCTGATTTCAGCTGACCAGGTGACTGGCGGGCTGAGGTTGTGTGTGTATGTGTTTGTGTCTCTGTGTGGATCTGGGGGTGGACACATTCGAATGTATATGTCTGTGCGTCTTTATTGGCTCTGTAGAGAGGAGGGCAGGATGAAGGAGGGAAGAGGATGAAGGCAGATTTTCACCCTCATTTCCCAGATAGAGAAACCGAGGCTCAGAGAGGCAAGGAAGGGAGCTGGAACCCACGTTTGTCTTACTCTACGGCTCCCTCGAATAATCGGCCCTCCCGGCCCCAGGGGAGGGACGGAATGGTCCTCCCCCAAGGATGAGGCCAAGGTATCCTGGGGTCCAGACCCCAGACCCTCCCTCACCTCTTCCCTCTCCCCCCTCCCCCGCCACCTCCCCACCGCGAAGAATCCCGGGGTCCAGACCCTTTCCCCTAGAGGCTGAACTTGTCTTGGCCCCTCGGCCTGCTTAAGCGGGAAATGAGCGATCCCCAAACTCTGGGAATGTGGCCACGTCCTAGAACTGCGCCGCAGACGACGACCCTTCCCTTTGCCCCCGCAACCTACGACTCCAGAGCAGGGGAAGAATCCGCGCGAGTTGCGATGCCCGCTGATTCCACCAGGAGGCACCCCAGTTCCGCCGTTTAAAATCGTGGGGCCACGGCGCTTTCCCCAGCGCTTTAAAGGGACAACCCTCCCTGGTCTTTGAACGCCAGGCTGGGGAAAGCGGACTTTCCTGCAGGACAGCGGTTCTCAAAATCAGGTCCTGGACCTGCGTCAACGTCTCCTGGGAACTAGATACACATTCTCGGGCCCACCCTAGACCTACAGAACCCCTTTGGGGGTGAGGTCCAGCAAGCTGCATTTTCAAAGGACCCCCAGGTGCCTGCGATGCGGGACTAGTTTGAGAACCACGGCTGTGGCGTCTGATGGTCTCTAGGACCCCTAGGGTCGCGGTTGTGAGCCCCGGCTGCCCATTGCTTGGAATCACCGGGGAGCTTTAGGGACTGTTGCTGCCCCAGCCGTGCCCTGCACCATTCAGAGATTCCGAGAGCGGCTGCCGAGATCTGCAGGCTGGACATGGGCTCTGGGTCATTCCAGGGGCAGCCGGGGTGGGCACCGCTGCCCTGGGGTCCCTGTCAGGGCTGAGGTGTGCAGTGAAGAGCTGGCCGCCGCTGATACGTAGCAGAAATAAGACGAGATGACCTCACAAACACATCACACCCTCTTCAGTCCCCTGGGCAGTGCTGGCAGGAAAGCTCTGCTGTGATCCCCATTTCCCATGAGGATGTGGAGGCACTGAGAGGTCAAGTAATCAGCCCAAGGTCACACAGCTTGCAAGGGGCAATGCTGGGGGAGTCAGGCAGCGGGGCTCCAAACCCCTCCTCCCATCTCTAACCATTTCCTCTTCTCTTGTCACACCCAGTGAGCCTGGGAGGGGGACCCAGAAAGCCCCCCTCCCCCAACCCCTATCTCAGGGTAGCATCTCTTCCCTTCATGTCTGTGTTCTGGAATCACCTGTGGCCTCTCATTTTTCTCTTTAGTGACAGTGAGGGGTGGCTGGACTGGTCCAGATGAAGGCTGATTTGGAGTCAAATCTCTGGTTTTCTGGGGCGTTTGAAACCATACCCCAGAGGCATCAACTGGCTACCTCAGGGGAACTGGCCCTGCAGGCTCCATTTGAAACCCCCTTGATTTGAAAATATTGACGCCTCTGTTCGCATCTCATCTCAAGTTACCCAAGGGCTCCTTGCACCCCTGGGGCCTCACTGGATGTCACACTGAAGATGCTGGGAATGGAACGCAGAAAATAGTATGTCCACTCAAGGGGGAAACAGAGACTCTAGTGGGAGACAGATTTGCCCAAAGTGTCAGGGATACTCAGAGGGGGTGGGAGGATCAAAACCTTGTGTGTGATTGACACGTGTGTCTCTTGAGTGTATGTGTGTGTGTACACTTAGGGGTGTGTATGTGAATCCATGTCTGAGTGTCCCAGTGTGCATACAGGTGTGTGCTCACCCCTCAGCCATTAGGGTGTGTATGGGTGTCCGTGTCTATGTGAGTGAATGTGTGAGTGTGTGCATGAGTAGGTGTATGTGTCTGCACATAGTGTGGGTGTCTGTATTGATCTGTGTTTGTGCATAGGCTTGTATGCATGTGTGTGTCTAGACTGATGAGTCTTGGAGCATGGTGTTTAAAATTGTGGGTTTAGGAGTTTGTGAATGCTTTTTTTTTGAGACGGAATTTTGCTCTTGTCTCCCAGGCTGGAGTGCAATGGTGCAATCTCAGCTCACTGCAACCTCCACCTCCCAGGTTCAAGAAATTCTCCTGCCTCAGCCTCCTGAGTAGCTGGGATTACAAGCACCCACCACCACGCCTGGCTAATTTTTTATTTTATTTTTTTTTTGAGACGGAGTCTCACTCTGTGGCCCAGGCCGGAGTGCAATGGCGCAATCTCGGCTCACTGCAAGCTCCGCCTCCCGGGTTTGTGCCATTCTTCTGCCTCAGCCTCCAGAGTAGCTGGGACTACAGGCGCCCGCCACCACACCTGGCTAATTTTTTTGTATTTTTAGTAGAGACGAGGTTTCACCATCTTAGCCAGGATAGTCTTGATCTCCTGACCTCATGATCCACCCACCTCGGCCTCCCAAAGTGCTGGGATTACAGGCGTGAGCCACCGCACCCGGCCCAGTCTGCTTTTTAGAAAAGTCTCCTGGTTCATTAGAAAATGAAGATGTGTCAAATCATTTCAGCCGCACCACTGAACGGTGGTATAGTTTAATCAGTGACATTTAGCAAATGATGGCTTTAATACACACAAAATGTAAAGCAACACAACCACCGTGGTGCACGAGATGATTGGGTTCATAAAGAGTGAGGATTTCTAGCACACCACAGGCTGGCATGGGCTCAAGTTTTAAGCATCAAGGTGGCTTCACTGTGTTGGCAAAACAGCCCGGGCCCTGCAAATGCCCACAGATAGGAGAGTGGCCAAGTGAACCATGGTCCAACCACACAAGGGTTCTTCTGCAGTCTTGAAAGGACGGACTGGAGAGTTTCCACTGGGACCTTTTGAGTGAACACAGTGAGATGCAAGAAAAGTTCATACACTATGACCCTTTCCCCTTTATTTGATAAAAAATGAAATACTCCCAACAACTTCTGTACGTATCTGCATAGGTGTCTGTATTAGGATTTATTGTTATTATTATTATTATTTTGAGACGGAGTCTCACTCTGTTGCCCAGGCTGCAGTGCAGTGGCACGATCTCGGCTCACTGCAACCTCCGCCTCCTGGGTTCAAGCGATTCTCCTGCCTCTGCCTCCCAAGTAGCTGGGATTACAGGTGTTCCCACCGCCACACCCAGCTAATTTTTGTGTTTTTAGTAGAGACGGAGTTTCACCATGTTGGCCAGGCTGGCCTCAAATTCCCGACCTCAGTTGATTTCGCCCGTCTGGGCCTCCCAAAGTGCTGGGATTACAGGTGTGAGCCACTGCACCTGGTTGTACCTTTCCTCTTACTAGGACCCAGTCATTGGATCTACAGCCCAACCCAATTCGGCATGATCTCATCTTCACTGAGATTCTGAGTGGACATGAACTTTGAGAGACACAATTCAACACAGCACAGCCCTGTTCTAGAAGCTGGGGGCACACCAGAGCAGAACAGATAGAAAGGCCCCACCCGCAGAGCTGATGGTCTGTTAAAAAGACAAGGACAATAAACGGGGTAAAGAAATAAGCTATCTATTGTGTCAACCTGAAAAAAAAGACATCAGAGAAAAATGTCTTCTGATAGCAGGAATGTATTCAGGAGTAAGCACAAAGGATTGTAATCCAGGATGCAGGGCTATGGCAAGCCACAGATGCGTCTGAGGAGGGGGGACAAAGAGAGGCTTTTCCTGGCCAAAAACAGAAGCTCACATAAGCTGTTTGAAAGCAGAGTTTCTTGATTTCAGAGGCTCAAAACCAGAGTTGGCGTGATTGGTGGAGATGCTGTTACCGGGTAGGTGTTCTTTTTTTTTTTTGAGATGGAGTCTCGCTCTGTCATCCAGGCTGGAGTGCAGTGGTGCGATCTTGGCTTACTGAAACCTCCGCCTCCCGGGTCCAAGCAATTTTCCTGCCTCAGCCTCCCGAAGAGCTAGGATTACCGTCACACAACACCATGCCCAGCTGAATTTTTTGTGTGCATTTTTTTTGGTTTTGTTTTGTTTTGTTGAGATGGAGTCTCGCCCTGTCCCCCAGGCTGGAATGCAATGGTGTAATATCGGCTCACTGCAACCTCCGCCTCCTGGGTTCTAGCGATTCTCCTGCCTCAGCCTCCCACGTAGCTGGGATTACAGGTGCACGCCACCATGCCTGGCTAATTTTTGTATTTGTAGTAGAGACGGTGTTTCACCATGTTGGTCAGGTTGGTCTTGAACTCCTGACCTCAGGTGATCCACCCACCTCAGCCTCCCAAAGTGCTGGGATTATAGGCGTGAGCCACCGTGCCTGGTCCTTTCGTGTGTATTTTTAGTAGAGACGGGGTTTTGCCATGTTGGCCAGGCTGGTCTTGAACTCCTGACCTCAAGTGATCCGCCTGCCTTGGCCTCCTTTGCAAAGTGCTGGGATAACAGGCATGAGCCACTGCACCCAGCCACTTCCAAGTATTTTTAATGCATATAAAGTATATATGAATAGGTGCATTTTTTCCTTACTTTCGACATAAATAGTAGCATCCTATGCATAATGATCCTTACTTTGCTTTTTTCACTTAACATTGTAGCTTGGACATCTTTATCAGCACATTGAGATCTTCCTCATGCCTTTTTTTTTCTTTTTAACAATTGTGTAGTATTACACTGTGTGAATGAACCATATTTGAAAATCAGTCCCATTATTGGACATTCAGGTTGTTCTCCATCTTTTCTCTTATTTTCTTTCTTTTTTTTTTTTTTTTTTTTTTTGAGACGGAGTCTTTCTCTGTTGCCAGGCTAGGGTGCATTGGTGCGATCTCAGCTCACTGCAACCTCTGCCTCCCAGGTTCTAGCAATTCTCCTGCCTCAGCCTCCTGAATAGCTGGAATTAACAGGCGCATGCCACCATGCCCAGCTAAGTTTTGTATTTTTAGTAGAGATGGTGTTTCATCATGTTGGCCAGGCTGGTCTTGAACTCCTGACCTCAAGTGATCCTGCCTCAGCCTCCCAAAGTGCTGGGATTACAGGCATGAGCCACCGCGTCTGGCCTGAGTTGCTGTGTATAAAAGAAAGCAAGGAGGCTGGCAACTCATCATGGTTTTAATAATATCTCTGATGATGAATGATATTGAGCATCTTTTTATGTGCTTTGAATGAACAGACATATTTTTAGAATCTAGCCTTAGTTTAAGTTTGTAGCTATATGAAATAAAGATATGAAACTCTTGCATCCCCCAATTAAAACATTTTCCTTAATTTTAATAGTGAATCTTTACATAGAGCCAACAAGGTGTCCTATTTTGGCCCCAAGGGGGCTGTTCCAAACACTTTGTATGAATGAACTCATTTCATCCTTACAGCATCCTCACATGGATGATAATTATAGCTTACATTTATTGGGTACTTGTGATGCACCATTCTAAGACCATTACTTGAATTGACTTCTTTAAGCCTCACCTCTTTATGAGTTTGGTACTAGTCTAATAGTTACCATTTTATAGATGAGGAAACTGAGGCACAGAGAAGTTAATTAATTACTTGTCCAAAGCCACACCACCAGGAAGTGTTGACACCCAGGGAGTCTGACTGCTGATATGACATTCCTTTGTGTGTGTGTGTGTGTGAGTCAGGGTCTTGCTCTGTCGTGCAAGCTGGAGTGCAGTGGTGCAATCACAGCTCACTGCAGCCTCGAACTCCTTAAAACCAATATTCTAACTTTAATAAGCAAAACGTTCTACAGTGAAATGGTAATGATATATGTGCAGCAGAATGATGGGTGATTTTCTCCCCATATTTATCAAGTTTTTCTACAGTAATCATACATCACTTTTGTGGTCAGATAAAGAATGTCTATGGCTGGGCTCGGTGGCTCACGCCTGTAATCCCAACACTCTGGGAGGCTGAGGCAGGTGGATCACCTGAGGTCAGGAGTTCGAGACCAGCCTGGTTGACATGGTGAAACCGAGTCTCTACTAAAAATACAAAAATTAGCCAGGTGTGGTGGCACGTGCCTGTAATCCCAGCTACTGAGGAGGCTGAGGCAGGAGAATCATTTGAACCCGGGAGGTGGAGGTTGCAGTGAGCCGAGATCATGCCATTGCACTCCAGCCTGGGCAACAAAGCGAGGCTCTGTCTCAAAAAAAAAAAAGTCTATATAAATGGTGCTAGGGAAAAAAACAAAACAAAAGCAAGTAGACTAAGTAGGGTGGGATGGACGTGGAGCATTTTAATGGAAATACTGGGTTTAGCCAAGGGGAGGGAAAAAGAGGAAAGATGTCCAAATGATTCATTTTTCTCTTCAACCTCTAAGCTAAAAACTTTTCCCCGGGGTGAGTGGGTGGCCCTGAAAGATGGCCTCATTCCTGCAGAAATCTTGTTTCAGTTGGCAAAAAATCTCTCTACTCTTGGATCATACGTTTCTGTTCCTAATTAGGGTGACCCCTCGGTCCTAATGTCCTACCTAACCTATTTCCTTGCATTTAGGGCTTAAATTTATGTAATTCTTTTTTTCTTTTTGTTCTGTTTTTGTTTTTTTGAGACAGAGTCTCACTCTGTCGCTCAGGCTGGAGTGCAGTGGTGCAATCTCGGCTCACTGCAACCTCCGCCTTCTGGGTTCAAGTGTTTCTCCTGCCTCAGTCTCCCGAGTAGCTGGGATTACAAGCGCCCACCACCACGCCCGGCTAATTTTGTATTTTCAGTAGCGATGGGGTTTCATCATGTTGGCCAGGCCTGTCTGTAAATGTATGTGATTCTTATTTCCTTTGTGTGACATCTTCCAAGCCCACAAGACGATAAGATTCCGCCCATAACAAGAGAATATGATCTCTCTCCACATAACACAATGTAAACTCTTCATTACGTTTATTAAATTTGGCTTGCCAGTTTTTCTCCTGTGTTACCTCTTCAAGTAGATATTTATAACTTTTGTCAAACATAAATATACATTTAGAATTCGAGAAATATGATACAAACCTTCTTTAAAAAAAAATAAAGAGACTCATTTGTTCTCTTTCTTTTCTTTGGCCAAGGATTTCAGACAAAAATCAGGAATCATCACCAGCCAAGACTGTGTTCAGACCACGTGACGTCTTCCAGGCACCAGGAAGAAATACGACCAACCTCCGTAACAAATGAGAGAAACTTCACCTGACTGTGTTTTGTGCATTTGGTTTATGAGTCGTTTTAAAAACGTGTACTTTTACTGCTGCGTTCAGGTTTTCAGCCATAGAATATTCTAGAAAAAAATAGTGATAACATTTATTTCACCGCTATAACCCTGAATGTGTAGCTGTGTTTTTTAAAAAAACATTTTTTTACAATTGTAGAATATGTAACATGCCTCCAGAAACGTGCCCTAAACACAAATATATAATTTGGCAAATAATTACATAGCAAGTCCTATGTTACTGTCATCTGATCTAGAAATCATCGTCCTCCCAGAAGCCCCTCATGTGCTCTGGCCATCTCAAATCCCTCCCTGCCCCAGGGATAAATAACATCCTGTTTTGTGATAAACGCTGCCTTTTCTATACACGTGTATGCTTATTAACAAACTATGAATTTCTCCACACGGTAGATTTGATTATGTTTGAATCTTACATGAATGTAATCCTATTGGTGGATTGTTTTTAATGTATGTGTGTGTGTGTTTCAGAAAAAATACATTAAGAAAAGAAAAGGACATGGGGCCTCTCGGTTTCCTGGCCACAATTCCTCACTTGGAATGTTGTTCCCTCACTGTAGAGAGTGGAGACAGCTGCTGGCGTTTTTTCTGTCAGAAGGAAATTCAGGGCCTGCAGCTGTGGCTGTAACCCGACCACCACCCCCGCCTCCCGCCCCAGCTCAAAGGAGAACACATCTCTTCTCCCGCCGCATAATCCTAAGGTTTTATTGGTTATTTCCAGAGAGAGAGAGAGAGCTAACTCAGAACGGCCCAGGATAGAGTTGCTAGGATTGTGGCATAAAACTACTGGACTTTATGTTCTTAATGTTTTGTTTGTTTTTTGAGACGGAGTCTCGCTCTGTCACCAGGCTGGAGTGCAGTGGCGCGATCTCGGCTCATTGCAACCTCCACATCCCAGGTTCAAGCAATTCTCCTGCCTCAGCCTCCCGAGTAGCTGGGACTACAGGTGCCTGCCACCACGCCTGGCTAATTTTTGGATTTTTAGTAGAGACGGGGTTTCACCATGTTGGCCAGGATGGTCTTGATCTCTTGACCTCATGATCCACCCGCCTCGGCCCCCCAAAGTGCTGGGATCACAGGCATGAGCCACTGCACCCGGCCGTTTTTAATTTTTTATCTTACAAATAGACACAGGGTTGGTGGGAGGGCAGGTGTCTCCCTATGTTGCCTAGCCTTGAACTCTTGGCCTCAAGCAATCCTCCCATCTCGGGCTATTTTATTTTATTTCATTTATTTTATTTTATTTTTTGAGACAGAGTCTTGCTCTGTCACCCACGCTGGAGTACAGTGGTGTGATCTTGGCTCACTGCAACCTCCACCTCCCGGGTTCAAACGATTCTCCTGAGTCTCCTGAGTAGTTGGGATTACATGCATGGGCCACCATGCCTAGCTAATTTTTGCATTTTTAGTAGAGACGGGGTTTCACCATGTTGGGCAGGCTAATCTCGAACTCCTGACCTCAAGTGATCTGCCCGCCTCAGCCTCCCAAAGTGCTGGGATTACAGGCGTGAGCCACTGCAACCAGCTGACACTGTAACTTTTGAAAAGCATCATATTTTATTTATTTTTTGTTTTTTGAGACGGAGTCTCACTCCGTTGCCCAAGCTGGAGTGCAGTGGCACAATCTTGGCTCACTGCAAGCTTCGCCTCCCGGGTTCACGCCATTCTCCTGCCTCAGCCTCCCGAAGAGCTGGGACTACAGGCGCCTGCCACCACATCCGGCTACATTTTTGTATTTTTTTTTTAGTAGAGACAGGGTTTCACCATGTTAGCCAGGATGGTTTCGATCTCCTGACCTCGTGATCCACCCGCCTCAGCCTCCCAAAGTGCTGGGATTACAGGGGTGAGCCACCGCGCCCGGCCATATTTTCAAACAAGTTAAGAAGTCACACCTGAATCCAAGCAACATAGATGTCTGTAGGGCATCAGCCACCAGCCCTTCTCAGCTCTTCATTTGAAAGACCGGAAAATAGAGAACGACCTGCATAGCCATCCATAGGGGACTCGGTAATTAACCTATGGCAGTGGCTGTCACATGTGTTTGATCATGATCCGTGATAAGAAATACATTTTGCTGTGACCTAGGAGACACACACACACGTAGATATAATAGAAAATAAAGCCAGGCATGGTAGCTCACACCTGTAATCCCAGCACTTTGGGAGGCCGAGGCGGGCAGATCACCTGAGGTCAGGAGTTTGAGACCAGCCTGGTCAACATGGTGAAACCCTGCCTCTGCTAAAAATACAAAAATTAGCCGGGCATGGTGGCATGCACCTGTAATCCTCGCTGAGATCGCACCACTGCACTCCAGCCTGAGTGACAGAGCAAGATTCTGCCTCAATTAAAAAGAAAAGAAAAGAAAAGAAAAAAAATAATTTAAAAAAGGAAACTCTGCAGCAAGAAGGGGCTCTCACAGAACAAATTGGACAGAGCCAGCCAGGTTGAGTCACAGAACCACCATGATGGGTTGTTGCAACTGACTCAGGAGGAAACATCTAGGCGGGATCCCAGAGCCCCCTGGACTTTCTTTGGGTTCAGTGTTTATGGAAACTCTGTGGGTTCTCACTGAACATACACAGCAGGGCAAAATAAAAACTCAAAGGTGAAACACAGCGGAAGAGGATGGAAGGAGAACCCTAAACTGGAAGTGCAGAGATGGAGGGGAGGGTTGGGGCTGCAGGGATGCTTTGTCATGGAAACCACAGTGCCAGTTGTTGCCTTGGAAACCACAGCACATCGTGTTGTCATGGAAACCACTGTAATGATTCCTGTTAAGGGTGCTTGAACTATTTTTAAATCAGCTAGCAATCACTGTGGCTCTTTAATGGGAGAGCAGGCAGGCAGCTGACTCCACTTCACACACACACGCACACACACATATACACACATAGTTGTACCTTTATAATATTTAGGCTGAGGCAAAATTAATTGCAGTTTTTGCCATTGAAAGTAATGGCAAAAACATGGCCAGATGCAATGAAATGGCTCATGCCTGTAATCCCAGCACTTTGGGAGGCTGAGGCGGGAGGATCACTTGAGCTCAGGAGTTTGAGAGCCTGGCCAACATGATGAAACCCTATCTCTACTAAAAGTACAAAAATTAGCCAGGTGTGGTGGTGCACGCCTGTAGTCCCAGCTACTTGAGAGGCTGAGGCAGGAGAATTGCTTGAACCTGGGAGGCAGAGGTTGCAGTGCGCCACTGTACTCCAGCCTAGGAGACAGAGCAAGACTCTGTCTCAAAAAAAAAAAAAAAAAAAAAAAAAAAAAAAAAAAAACCAGGTGTAGTGGCTCATGCCTGTCATCCCAGCACTTTGGGAGGCTGAGGCGGGTGAATCACCTGAGGTCGGGAGTTCGAGACCAGCCTGACTAACATGGAGAAACCCTGTCTCTACTAAAGATGCAAAATTAGCCAGGTGTGGTGGCACATGCCTGTAGTCCCAGCTACCTGGGAGGCTGAGTCAAGAGGACTGCCTGAGCCCAGGAGATGAAGGCTGCGGTGAGCTGTGATTAAGCCACTGCACTCCAGCCTGGGTGACAGAGTGAGACCCCATCTCATAAAATAAAATAAAATAAAATAAAATAAAATAAAATAAAATAAAATAAAAATTGTGGAATATTCCAAACTCAAAGTCAAGAATAGAGAATTGACTGGGCACGGTGGCTCATGCCTATAATTCCAGAACTTTGGGAGGCTGAGACAGGAGTTGGAGACCATCTTACCCAACATAGTGATACCCTGGCCCTACAAAAAAATTTTAAAAATTAGCTGGGCGTGGTGGTGCATGCCTGTGGTCCCAGCTACTCAGGAGGCTGAGGCAGGAGGCTCGCTTGTGCCCAGGAGGTTGAGTCTGTAGTGAGTTGTGATCCTGCCACTGCACTGTAGCCTGGGAGATAGAGCAAGATCCTGTCTCAAGAAGAAAAAAAGCTGGGTGTGGTGGCTCATGCCTGTAATCCTAGCACTTTGGGAGGCCGAGGCGGGCGGATCACGGGGTCAGAAGATCGAGACCATCCTGGCTAACATGGTGAAACCTCATCTCTACTAAAAATACAAAAAATTAGCCGGGCGTGGTGGCGGGCACCTGTAGTCTCAGCTATTTGGGAGGCTGAGGCAGGAGAATGGCGTGAACCCGGGAGGTGGAGCTTACAGTGAGCCGAGATCGCGCCACTGCAAGCCAGCCTGGGTGACAGAGCGAGACTCCGTCTTAAAACAAAACAAAACAAAACAAAGTACAAAAATTTGCCAGGCATAGTGGCGGGTCCCTGTAATCCCAGCTACTTGAGAGGTTGAGGCAGGAGAACTGCTTGAACCCAGGAGGCAGAGGCTGCAGTGAGCCGAGGTCGCGCCACTGCACTCCAGCCTGGGTGACAAAGTGAGACTCAGTCTCGAAAAAAAAAGAATTGATATTTATATAACTAATCCTCATGCATCCCGTGCCATTCTTCATCAAATCTTAATACTATGCTAAATTTATTTACACCTTTTTTTTTTTTTTTTTTTTTTTTTTAGCATTATTGGCTGGACTCAGCAGCTCATGTCTGTAATCCCAGCACTTTGGGAGGCCGAGGCAGGCGGATCACTTGAGGTCAGCAGTTTGAGACCAGCCTGGGCAACATGGGGAAACCCCTTCTCTACTAAAAATACAAAAATTAGCTCAGCATGGTGGCACGTGCCTGTAATCACGGCTACTCAGGAGGCTAAGGTAGGAGAATCGTTTGAACCCTGCAGGTGGAGGCTGAGTGCGCCACTGCACTCCAGCCTGGGGGACAGAGTAAGACTCTGTCTCAGAAAAAAAAAAAAAAAGAGATTTATATAATTAACCCTTATGTATCCCTTGCCATTCTTTATTAAATCTTAATACTATGCTAAATTTATTTACACATCTTTAAACAAAATTATTGTTTAAATAGGCTGTGTCCTACCTCCCATATGACTTGCCCTCTTCTTCTCCCCAGAGATAGTCACTTGGAGGATTATTGCATTTAAAAATCCAGTATTTATCAAAACTCAGTGTCTGTCATTCCCTTGCATGCCAAAATAAATAACTGAAAAAGAGAGAAGAAAAAACAGACAGTGTCTAATTCTAACTGAGTCACTGTGTGACTCAGTTTCCACTGCAGCAACTTTGTCTGCAGCCTGGATCACAAACAAGCTCCCGCATTTGTAAAACTACTTGGCAAACATAGCAAAAGCCTCTGAGATTCAGCAAACATCCATTCCATTTCATTTTAGTTATGATGTTTTACAATCCACTGCTGGTATAAATTTACTTTTTATCCTGTCTAGATTGACGATTTTCTTCTTCTTCTTTTATTTTTTTATTATTATTTTTTTTTGGTCTGACAAATCCTTAGCAGAATTTTCAAACACACTGAGATGTTTTGTTTTCTCTTTGAAGAGAAAGTTCCAGAACTTTGATTCTGTGCTCATGCACTGGGGTTGGGTGGCATTCCTGAAGGGGCAGCCAGGACTGTTAGGAATATTGGCTCTGCAGAAAGCTGAAACCTGGCTTTTGAGGCAAAGCTGAAGGCATCTCTCTCCCTCCCTTGCCCCCCATCTCTCCATTCTGTAACGCATTATTTGTTCACTTTTGTAGTAAAATACACATAACATAAAATTCACTATTTTAACCTATATTTATTTTTCAAAAAATAATTTACTTTTTTTTTTTGTTTGTGAGACGGAGTTTCACTCTTGTTGCCCAGGCTGGAGTGCAATGGCACAATCTCAGCTCACCGCAACCTCCGCCTCCTGGGTTCAAGCGATTCTCCTGCCTTAGCCTCCCAAGTACCTGGGATTACAGGCATGCACCACTATGCCCGGCTAATTTTTGTATTAGTAGTAGACACAGGGTTTCTCCATGTTGGTCAGGCTGGTCTTGAACCCCTGATCTCAGGTGAGCTGCCTGCCTTGGCCTCCCACAGTGCTGGGATTACAGGCGTGAGCCATCGTGCCCAGCCCGTCTTCATTTTTCTACCTTCACTCCTACTAGCGTTCCTGGACCCAGATGTCCTGGATGCAGAGGTCCCTCCTGTTACGGTGGTAGACGCATCTCATTCCCATGGGGGTCCCAAATACTTCTCTAGAGTAACTTTTTTTTTTTTTTTTTTTTTTGAGACGGAGTCTTGCTCTGTCGCCCAGGCTAGAGTGCAGTGGCGTGATCTCGGCTCACTGCAAGCTCTGCCTCCCGAGTTCACGCCATTCTCCTGCCTCAGCCTCCTGAGTAGCTGGGACTACAGGCGCCCGCCACCACGCCCGGCTAATTTTTGTTGTTGTTGTTGTATTTTTAGTAGAGACAGGGTTTCACCATGTTAGCCAGGGTGGTCTCGATCTCCTGACCCACGATCCGCCCGCCTTGGCCTCCCAAAGTGCTGGGATTACAGGCGTGAGCCCGCGCCGGCCTCTCTTTCTTTTTTTGAGACGAAGTCTCGCTCTTGTCCCCCAGGCTGGAATGCCATGGTGCAGCCTCGGCTCACCATGTTGGCCAGGCCATTCTCCTGCCTCAGCCTCCCGAGTAGCTGCGATTACAGGAGCTTGCCACCAGGCCCGGCTAATTTTTTTGGATTTTTAGTAGAGACGGGGTTTCACCATGTTAGCCAGGATGGTCTCGATCTCCTGACGTCCAGATCCACCCGCCTCAACCTCCCAAAGGGTGGGATTACAGACGTGAGCCACCGCGCCCAGCCTCACAGGAACACTCTTGTTCTTGCATCCTTGAGCTTCCAAATAAGAAGTTCAACGATCTACCCTCTGGTTTTCATGCTGTGAGGAAGCCCAAGCCACATCAGTGCTTCCATCAACATTTCCCAGCTGAGCCCAGCTTTCAAAGGATTTCAGCCCAGGCACCAGACATGTGAGTGAAGAAACTCCCAGATGATTCTAGCTCTCAGTCATTTGAGTCACCCCCAACTGTCACGGGTACGACTAGGTGCGGCGGGTGTTGTGGGCAGTAAAGGTATTTACCAAGACAGTTGTAGGTAAAGAAAGGCAGATTTATTAGAGAAGATATGAAAATACATTGCACGGTTGCAATGGGCAGCACAGCAGAGAAGGGGGCTGTCTGCAAAAAGGCAGGGACTGGAAGTTTCATAGGGGTATGCTGGAGGGGGCTACATGCAGAAAGAGGTCATTGTGCCCATGGGGGATTGTGATTAGCCATCTCTCAGAAAAATTGTTCATTGTTCTTCCCAACCTGGAATGCTGTGAACCCGGGAGGTGGGGCTTGCAGTGAGCCGAGATTGCGCCACTGCACTCCAGCCTGGGCGACAGAGCGAGACTCTGTCTCAAAAAAGAAAAAAAAAAAGTGTTCCAGTGAATGAGGAAGAAGCTGCGTGCCCTTCTGTAACATAGTCTGAGAAGCCACATAGCTTCCTTTCCACTAAACTCCATTGGTTAAAGTAGTCACAAGTCTGCTCAGATTCACGAGGAGGGGACACAGATCGTCACTTCTCAATAGAAGTGTCGGAGAATTTATGGCTATGTTTTTAAACCACTGCCTAAAAATATACACTCATTCTTCCACTGATATGTAGAATTTCAACATATAAAGCACATGAGATTTAAAGACTTTAATCATAGCTAGAGTGTTTATTGGAATATTCGGTGTGAATTATGTGAATAATCAGAGGTTAACGATTTGAATGACACAACTTTTTAGCACAAAATATGATGGAAACTTGGGCAATCACACAAGTATTGATGATGCCCAAATTTAGGAATGCCAGAGATGACAGTGAAATGAACATTTGGCTATTTGGCCTTGCAAATGTCAGTTTCAAAAATGAACCCAAAGAACAGATTTTGGTTGAATACCAAGGCCCAAATTGTACTTCCATGCATCTTTCAGATGAGATCCCCCCGAATCTTCAAAACTTCCAAATCAGGAAGATTTTTTATTAGAATTCCTATTACAGAGAAAAGAAATAAGCTCAGCGGGGTCAAATTATTTCTCTAAGATCACACAGCCAGGAAGGGACATTGGTAGGTGGATCAGTGAGGGACTGGCAAAAAAAAAAAAAAAAAAACAGATGGCCAGTCCAACCGAGTCTCATAGGAGTGCTTAATTAATTAGTTTATTTTTTTTGAGACAGGGTCTCCTGGGTTCAAGCAATCCTCCCACCTCAGCCTCCCGAATAGCTGAGACCACAGGTGACCCCTATCACACCTGGCTAATTTTTTGCGTTTTTGGTAGGGACGGGGTTTTGCCATGTTGCCCAGGATGGTCTCGAACTCCCCAGCTCAAGTGATCCGCCCTCCTCAGCCTCCCAAAGTGTTGGGATTACATGCGTGAGCCACAGCACTGGGCATTAATAAACTATTAACAAAGTTCTTGCTCATGGGCAGCAAGGTTGAGGTAGGAGGCCCAGGGGACTCCACTGAGGATCACATTGAAGACTGGCCAAAACCTGGAAAAGGCACCGAAAGCCTCTCTCCATAAGACATGCCTGCCAGCACCATGACAGTTTACCATTGCCATGGCAACACCCATAAGTTACTGCCAATTTGCTAATTCTGAAAACCCACCCCTTAATTAGCACGTCATTAAAAGTGGGTATAAATGTGACTGCAGCCTTGCCCCGAGGTGCTATTCTCAGCACACTGCCTAGAGGGTAGCCCTCCTTGTTAGGTTTTGGAGGGAAGGTGAGGGTTAAAGACACACAGACAGAAGGCGGCTCAACAGCAACTCAGGTATACTGCAGACACCTGTGGAAGTGGGTAACCAGCCTAATGCCAGAGCCCACTGCTGCTTATAGGCTGGGGGTACTTATAGTTATGGGTGGGAGGGGTCTGAGCAGTATGGTTTGCTGCCCAGCAGGATGTTGATAAGATGGTTCCATGATGAGGCGGTTCTGGCCCTTGTTCTGGTGGAATGTGGTGTTCTCTGCACTTTCTCCCAGCAGAATATGATAGGGATGTTTCTTCAGTTGGGCCTTTGCACGATAGGGTATGATAATGTTTCTTTAGCTGGGCCTTTGTCCGCCTTGTGGTCAGGTGATTAGGCAGGATGTTTCTCATTGGCCCGAACCCCCGTGGAATATTTCACTTTGACCAAGATCTGCAAAATAGTCAGGGCTTACAAAATGGTTGCAGTTTGGACTAACACTTCTCTGTAGGGGCAGTCACTGAGCTGTAACATTGTCCCCTGCCTGGAGGATGCCAAGAACCTGCCCTGAATCACGTTGAGGAAACAAGAAAAGGCGAGGCATTATCCTCATGCTAGAAGGGGTCGGGGAGGAGACTAAGAAATTTCTAGAAGTTTCTGGAAATTCCTGGAAGAACCCAGCAGCTTGTAAGAGAGAAGGCTACAAGCCCAACAGGAACTGCACCTGCTGTTGGAGGAACCCAAGAAGATTAAAGCCTCGTTTTCCTCCTTTCTTGATTTCTAGTGTCTCCCAAGAGTTGCGTTGGGTGAATCCAACAGGTGGGGCAGAGGATAATACAGTCAGTGGGTGCAGCCATAGGTGTTGGCGCTTCTCATCGACCTAACCCCCGTTCGCGAGGCCCACTTGGGTTGAAAGAGGGCCTCCGTGGAGGCGCCACCGGAGTGTATCCAGACCCGCTTGCTCTGCGACCTGAACAGGCCACTCTTGCACCCGGCTCCCTAGGTCCAATTGCAGCGCCGGCGCGCCGGCCGGGCTCAGCCCTAGCAACCCACGCCCGGTTGCCATGGAGACGTCGGCACCTGCGCAGCCCAAGACCCCCGAGCGGCGGTGCGGGAGCCAGTGCGCAGGCGCGCGCTGCGACGCCAACCTCGGCTTCTCGCCGCTAACGGCATCGAGTCTGGACGCCCCGTGACCCGCCTGGGCCGGAGCGGGGGCGGACGGCGCCTTCTTGGCCCTTTCTGCCTCTAGCAGCGGCGCCGGGGTAGCCGGAGCCAGCGACTGGGAAACGGCTGCATTCCACTGCGTCTCCTTGGCCTGGCTGGGCGGTCGGAGGCTGATCTGCCAAGTAAGTCCCGGCTGGGCAGGCGGAGCGTCAGGCCCGGGGGAGGGTCCTAGGGCCTTTTGCTGCAGATTCAGGGACACGTGTGAGCACCGGGGCCTGGGTTGGGGAGGAGGGTGTTGGGAAAGCGCCAGGCCTCCTGCAGGCCAGCCGCGGAGGGGGCAGCTAGGATCTGTGAGCTTGGTCATCTTCCTGGGAACGTGACCTCGCTCCCTTGTCACCTTGCAGGATTACTGTTTGGAGACCGCTGCAGCCCACGTCCACCTGATAGACTATTTACTACACATAGTAGGTTCAGAGCCGCTAAATGTCCAAGACCATGGCGATGAACCTTCTGGAGGATTGGTGCAGGGGAATGGAAGTGGACATCCACAGGTCCTTGTTGGTCACAGGCATCCCAGAGGACTGTGGGCAGGCAGAAATTGAGGAGACCTTGAATGGGGTCCTCTCCCCACTGGGCCCGTACCGCGTGCTCAACAAGATTTTTGTGAGGGAAGAGAATGTTAAAGCTGCCCTCATTGAGGTTGGTGAAGGTGTGAATCTGAGCACCATCCCCCGTGAATTCCCAGGAAGGGGTGGTGTCTGGAGAGTGGTCTGTAGAGACCCTACCCAGGATGCCGAGTTTTTAAAAAATCTGAATGAATTCCTGGATGCCGAGGGGCGCACCTGGGAGGATGTGGTCCGCCTGCTCCAGCTCAACCACCCCACCCTGTCCCAGAACCAGCATCAGCCCCCAGAGAACTGGGCAGAAGCTCTGGGGGTGCTTCTGGGAGCAGTGGTGCAGATCATCTTCTGCATGGATGCCGAGATCCGCAGCCGGGAGGAAGCCAGGGCCCAGGAGGCCGCTGAATTCGAGGAGATGGCAGCCTGGGCTTTAGCAGCAGGGAGGAAGGTGAAGAAAGAACCGGGGCTTGCAGCAGAGGTGGGTTCTGCCTTAAAGGCAGAGACCCCCAACAACTGGAATGCCACGGAAGACCAGCATGAGCCTACCAAACCTTTGGTTCGCAGGGCTGGAGCTAAGTCTCGCTCCAGGAGAAAGAAGCAGAAGAAGAACTCCAGGCAGGAAGCAGTGCCCTGGAAAAAACCCAAAGGCATCAATTCCAACAGCACAGCTAACTTGGAGGATCCTGAGGTGGGTGATGCTGAAAGCATGGCGATCTCAGAGCCGATCAAGGGCAGCAGAAAGCCCTGTGTGAATAAGGAGGAGTTGGCTTTGAAGAAGCCCATGGCGAAATGTGCCTGGAAGGGTCCCAGAGAGCCACCTCAGGATGCCCGGGCAGAAGCCGAGAGCCCAGGAGGCGCCTCTGAGTCAGACCAAGATGGTGGCCATGAAAGCCCACCAAAGAAGAAGGCCGTGGCCTGGGTGTCTGCCAAGAACCCCGCTCCCATGAGGAAGAAGAAGAAGGTGAGCTTGGGCCCTGTCTCCTACGTCTTGGTTGACTCAGAAGATGGCAGGAAGAAGCCGGTGATGCCAAAGAAAGGGCCAGGCTCAAGAAGGGAGGCATCAGATCAGAAGGCCCCTCGGGGCCAGCAGCCTGCCGAGGCAACAGCCTCAACCTCTAGGGGTCCGAAGGCCAAGCCAGAAGGCTCTCCTCGGCGTGCCACCAATGGTGAGAATGATAGCAGAAGTGACTGGGCTCGTGCCAGCAAGTGGATGAGGCAGGAGGAGCAGGAGTGGCAGGTGGGGCAGAGGAGCCCGAGGAGGTGGTGGGTCAAGCGGGTGATGAGGAGGACCCTGGTGCATGGCAGGAGGTGGATGACACACCAGTTGAGGAGGGTAAGAGCCCAGACCGCCCTTCCAGGAGCCCCTGAAGGCCGATGCTGGAGACATCTGGTGGGCAGGAGGTGGCAGAGGAAACCCACAATGAGTGTCACTGTGGTCATTTGCCACTCCATCTGACCCATCTTCCTTGATGAGAATTTAATGGTTTGGGCCCAGGCTTGGTGGCTCATGCCTGTAATCCCAGCACTTTGGGAAGCCAAGGTGGGCAGATCGCCTGAGGTCAGGAGTTCAAGACCAGCCTGGCCAACATGGTGAAACCCCGTCTCTACTAAAAATACAAAAAATTAGCCGGGTGTGGTGCCACATACCTGTAATCCCAGCTACTCGGGAGGCTGAGGCAGGAGAATCTCTTGAACCCGGGAGGTGGAGGTTGCAGTGAGCCTAGATTGTGCCACTGCCCTCCAGCCTGGGTGACGAGAGTGAGACTCTTGTCTCCAAAAAAAAAAAAAAGAATTTAATGATTTGGGAGGCCAAGGCAGACAGATCACCTGAGGTCAGGAGTTCGAGACCAGCCTGGCCAACATGGTGAAACCCCATCTCTACTAAAAATACAAAAATTAGCTGGGCATGGTGGTTTGTGCCTGTAATCCCAGCTACTGGGGAGGCCAAGGCCTGGGATTGGCCTCCAGACATCTGCCCACCAGATGTCT
Organism: Homo sapiens; assembly: GCF_000001405.40. NCBI lineage: Eukaryota > Metazoa > Chordata > Mammalia > Primates > Hominidae > Homo > Homo sapiens. The sequence goes on along the minus strand of NC_000019.10, from coordinate 46,468,909 downwards.
CCAGCATCGGCCTTCAGGGGCTCCTGGAAGGGCGGTCTGGGCTCTTACCCTCCCTGAACCTGGGAGGTGGAGGTTGCAGGGAGCCAAGATCACACTGCTGCACTCCAGCCTGGGCGATAGAGTGAAACCCTGTTCCCCCCTCCCCCCAAAAAAAATATTAATACTTTGGAGTTATGGTGTTTGCAGGGTATGTGGCTTTAAGGGTGAAGTTTTCTAGAGACCTGGCTGGGGAATAGAAATGTTCAGGGACCCAGAAATTTCTTGGAAGTAATGCATTTCCTAATGACACCTCTCTGCTTCCCTTCTTGATCTGTTCTCTCATTTATTTGCAGAATCCAGAAAGGTTTGATCTGGGGGACCACCCATACTGAGGAGTTGAAAGAACAAGGAAGAAGTACCAAGTCAACCAAGTTCTCTCTTGTCACTGAATAAGACTTTGGACTCTCTTAGGGCCCCTGTTGATAGAGATCTGGCCCTGAGGTAAACGATAGGTGAGGTCTTGGGTGGGAGGGAGTTGGGGAAGGGAGGTGGATCTCTATGCCCTTTTCTCTACCAGGCCTGCCGTTTCACCGCCTTCTCTACTCACCTTCTCTTCGGAGGCAGGAGAGTTGGTAAGAGGATTGGGAAAATTCTAGAACATTCATTCCCCTTTATGCATGAGCAGGGTCACTGTTACACTCATCCATGTTCAGCTTTTCTCCCCCACGCCTTGCTCCCTCCTCGGAATGGTCAGCGACCTCTGCAGGCCCTGGCATTTGGAAGAGCTGGGTGGCCCTGCCATATTCTTCCTCCCGCCTTCCTCTCGTGTAACCAGCGGGGTAAGTTAAGCCAGGACCTTCGCTGCAAACCTGGTTTTATTGCTCCTTCAGTCTCCAGCTTCCATCCTCCAGTTATCTAGCCAGGAGGTCCCAAGAGTTAGTTTTAGGGAAAAAGAATGTCTGCCTAGACCTCAAAGTCTTTGAGTTTTAGAGTCTGTTAGTAAAAATGGCACTTTGATTCCCATTTGGGATGAGCCCTCTCAGGAATCCTGTGGGGAAGGGGGGTGATTATAGGGAAGGACGCAGGCATTCCTAGGTCCCCAGCTCTAATTCCATCCATCTACCCAACTGTCACCATCTTTGCACCAAACTGTCACCATCTTTGCAGCAGAAGGTCACTACTCACATTATAGTAAGAGGGGAAAAAAATCTTTTAAAACTTGGCTGTTGGCCGGGCACGGTGGCTCACGCCTGTAATCCCAGCACTTTGGGAGGCTGAGGCAGGTCGATCACGAGGTCAGGCGTTTAAGACCAGCTTGACCAACATGGTGAAACCCCATCTCTACAAAAATTAGCTGGGCGTGGTGGCGCGCGCCTGTAATCCCAGCTACTCAGGAGGCTGAGGCAGATGAATTGCTTGAATCCAGGAGGCAGAGGTTGCAATGAGCCGAGATTGTGCCACGGCACTCCAGCCTGGGCAGCAGAGTGAGACTCTCTCTCAAAAAAACAAAACTTGGCTGTTAATGTCTGCCCTCTGAATTCAGACACACTATATTAGACCAGACCACCATGTGTCATTGTGTGTGTGTGTGTGTGTGTTTGCGTGCGCATGTGTAGAGGAGAGAGCAGGGTCCCTGAGATAATGGTTTCCAAACTGTATCGTAGCCGTCCACAAAGATGTAATCCAAATCTATTTTTCTCACGTGTTTAAAAAACTGAAAAGTGACTACTCAGATATGTTGGAAGTCACATCGAAGACTATCAGAATATTACCTTGTGTTCATAGGTTAACTTGTTTTTGTACACGTCTTAGTTATTTCAGGCATCTCTTTGCTTAAAATTGAGTTTCTTGTAAATGTGACTGATGAGCGAGGTTAGAAGTGGAAGAAATTCCTGTGCATGTTCTATAATCTGACACCCTGAAAGCAAGTTTCCTTTCGTCATTCACATGCTCTTGTTCTGCCGTGACTGTTCAGGTGTATGGTAGTAAGTAAATGTATTAACATGGTGAACAGTAGTAATATTCTATCATAGAGTATTAGCCCTTGCAAGTTTTCAGGGCGTCTTTTCCGACTTCAGTTTTTGTGATAAAGAATGTGAACAGTTGTTAGATGTTCTCAGTGATTCAACTTTAAAACAAATTTCTCGTGATGATTCATTTCAAAATCCTGAGTGAGTCTGACTGAAAAATACGAGAGAAAAGAGAGTGGTTTCCGTTTGCAGCTACACAGCTGTGTGCATCGACGTTCTCCTGGGGTGTGTGCCAAGCGAAACCCAGGGGTGAATTGGATTCTTGAAGAGACCAAAGCCTGTAACTGTCCAGCTTCTAATTTCAAAACGGGTCCATTAGGGCTTCGTTGTGTTAACAAGTTGACACCATGACTAGTAAATGTAAACGTGTATGTATAAAATAAAGTTTAGCAAATTAAGTGTCCTGTTAAGTCTCTTGTAGGTGAGGATTGCATGGACTATTAAATTTGAGGAAAGGGTTCCCCTTTCCTCAAACAGTGCCCCCAGCCAGATGTGACTGGTTATCAGATACGGGTTCAAGCTTTGAGAATTGTTAATGATCCATGAGAGAAGAAGCCGTTTGTCCTCTTTGCGAATGGCTTTCCACTGATGTGGAAGGATGTCCCACAGATCTTGGGGTTTCTAGAATAGGTATCTGGTGACGCAAATTACCTCAAAGTACCAGTTTATTTTTTTATAAACAGCTGGAAAATGAAAACCTTTCCCTCCCTTCCTATTCCCTCACACAGAAGCCAAGGTCTTTTTTTTTTTTTTTTTTTGAGATGGAGTTTCGCTCTGTCACCCAGGTGGGAGTGCAGTGGCACAGTCTCAGCCCACTGCAGCCTCTACCTCCTGGGCTCAAGTGATCTGCCCACCTCGGCCTCCCAAAGCGTTGGGATTACAGGTGTAAGCCACCATGCCAAGCCAGAAGCTGAGGTCTTTTAGCTAAAAATATAGTTTTCTTCTGGCCCTCCCCTGCCCCTCCCCAGGAACTCCTGAACCAGGGTGGCCACTACATCAGTCACTTGGAATCTGTTCAAGGTACCATTTCGTGGCTCTACCTGCTGATTCAGGATCTCTTCGGGGTTGTACATAGTTATCTGCGTCTTAAACAGTTTCTCCTGAGAATTTTTTTTTTTTTTTTTTGAGACGGAGTCTCGCTCTGTCTCCTAGGCTGGAGTGCAGTATCATGATCTCAGCTCACTGCAACCTCTGCCTCCCGGGTTCAAGCGATTCTCCTGCCTCAGCCTCCCAAGTAGCTGGGACTACAGGGGTGCGCCACCACGCCCAGCTAATATTTTTGTATTTTTTTTAGTAGAGATGGAGTTTCACCATGTTGGCCAGGATGGCCTCGATCTCTGATCTCTTGACCTCGTGATCCGCCCACCTCAGCCTCCCAAAGTGCTGGGATGACAGGCGTGAGCCACCACGCCCAGCCAAGAATTCTATTAATAATACAGGTTGGAGAGCTTCAGGTGGAATAATTCAGACTTGGGGAAACGGAAGTGTCCTTAGGGGTCCAGGTTGAGGTTTTGTGAAAGTGAATGGAGATTATGAGGAAAGATGCGAAAGAGACCAAAAGGGAAGCTGGGATTTGAGGACGCGGAGCTCGTTAGGAACTGCCGTGTACTCATAGAAGCATCTGGATGAAGCTCTATTTATTGGGTGCCCCCACACCCCCACAATGGGAAAAGCCCTATTTGACCAAGATGTTTAAGTACCTCCCACAATAATAGTCACTCCTACTGGTTACACCCAGGCTGTCAGTAAAGTATGAAAGGCCTACGTGCCCTAAAAATGGGGGGAATCCAAGGTTGGGGCACATGAAAGCTCTCTTCAAAGAAACCTCATCGCCCCGGGTGGAGGTGTTCTGTTCAGGGGTGCGTCTGGGGAGGCGCTGGCCCGGAGTGTTTGCAGGAAGATGGAGAGCTGTGGATGCCACCAGCAGGGCTCGAGGGCAAAGTGTCCTGGTTGCCCATGCTGCCATTCAAGCAAGGTTCGTTGAGAATCTGCTGTACGACAGCCAGGAGCAAGACAGAGTCCTGGCTTCCTGGAGCCTGACGTTTGAGTGAGGACAGACCTTATATAGACACAGGTGGAGGGGTGGGGAGCTCTGCCGTGAAAAATATAACAGGAAGATAGGCAGGCAAGGTGAGTGTGCAGAAACGGCTGGCTGTCGCTTACAATGGTTGGGGGAGCCTCTCTGGGAACTGGATGTCTGAACAGACCTGAAGGGGGTGAGGGGTGAGACAAGCAGTTGGCCAAGAACGGCCTCCTGGGCAGAGGGAACAGTCATCGTGGAGGGAGGCTCTAATCTGTTTCAGAAAGTGAGTAAGGCTGGGCGCAGTGGCTCACACCTGTAATCCCAGCACTTTGGGAGGCCAAGGCGGGCAGATCACCTGAGGTCAGGAGTTCAAGACCAGCCTGGCCAACATGGTGAAACCCCATCTCTACTAAAAATACAAAAAAATTAGCCAGGTGTGATGGCGCGTGCCTGTGGTCCCAGCTACTTGGGAGGCTGAGGCAGGAGAATTGCTTGAACCCAGGAGGTTGAGACTGCAGTGAGCTGAGATCGCACCACTGCACTCCAGCCTGGGCGACAGAGCAAGACTCTGTCTCAAAAAAATAAAAATAAAAAAGCAAGGAGGAGGTGAGGAGCAAGAGGGCAGGGGGCTTTGGAGGCTGGTGTGCAAAGCCCCACAGGTGCGGCCAGGATGGATTCCAGCTTTAATCTGAGAGATGGGAGCCATGGGAGGGTGCTGAACACAGCGTCAGGATCCTACATAGGTTGTTTCCAGGCTCCCCCTGGAAGCCTGGTGGGGAACAGACTGCAGAGGGTGAGGTGGCAGCTGGGAGCCTAGTGGGGAGGTGACAGTAGCTGGACCCAGGAGGCCCAAGAAAAAGCTGCCCATTTGGGGATCTGGTTAGCAGAGCTGCCAAGGAGAAAGAAGTGGGTTGTGTTGATTTACTTATTCATTTATTCCTTTTTTTTACATTTTCATTTTTTAGTTAAAATAAAACATTTATATACAGTGAAATGGACAGATCTTAAGTGAACGGTCTGATAAGGATAAGTTTGGACATAGGCAGGCACCTGTGTAACCCACCCCTGCGACAAGTTACAGAACAATATCATCATCCTAGAAAGCCTCCCTGTGCCCCTTCCCAGTCGGTCCCCGCCGCAGCTCTCAGAGGTGAGCACTGTAATGATTTTTCCAGCCAAAGCTCAGTGTGTCTGTCCCAGGAGTGCTGTAAGTGGAGTCATACAGCATATGGTTTTTTTGGTGTCTGGCTTCTTTTCCTCAGCATAGTGTTTTTGTTTGTTTTGTTTTTGTTTTTGTTTTTTAGGGAGTTTCACTCTTTTTGCCCAGGCTGGAGTGCAATGGCGCCATCTCGGCTCACTGCAACCTCCGCCTCCCGGGTTCAAGTGATTCTCCTGCCTCAGCCTCCCGAGTAGCTGGGATTACAGGTGCCCACCACCACGCCTGGCTAATTTTGTAGTTTTAGTAGAGACAGAGTTTCTCCATGTTGGCCAGGCTGGTCTCAAACTCCTGACCTCAGGTGACCCGCCCACCTCAGCCTCCCAAAGTGCTGGGATTACAGGCGTGAGCCACCACGCCCCGGCCTTTTTTTTTTTTTTTTTTTTTGAGACAGCATCTCACTCTGTTGCTCAGGCTGGAGTGCAGTGGCACAGTCTTGGCTCACTGCAACCTCCGCCTGCCAGGTTCAAGCGATTCTCCTGCCTCAGCCTCCCAAGTAGCTGGGACTACAGGTGTGCACCACCACGCCCGGCTAATTTTTGTATCTTTCATAGAGACGGGGTTTCATCATGTTGCCCAGGCTGTTCTCGAACTCCTGGCCTCACGTGATCCACCCGCCTCAGCCTCCCAAAGTGCTGTGATTACAGGTGTGAGCCACCGTGCCCGGCCAGCATCGTGTTTTTGAGATTCATGTGTGTTTGAGTAGTATTTTCAATTATTTAAAAACAAAATTTTTTTAAGAGTCAGGCTCTTGCTCCATCATGTAGGCTGGAGTGCAATTGTGTGGTCACAGCTCACTGCAGCCTCAAACTCCTGGGCTTAAATGATCTTCCTGAGTAGCTAGGACTGCAGATGCGCACCACCATGCCCAGCTAACTTTTTTTTTTTGGTAGAGATGAGGTCTCACTATGTTGCCCAGGCTGGTCTTGAATGCCTGGCCTCAAACAATCCTCCTGCCTCAGTCTTTTGAAGTGCTGGGATTACAGGCATGAGACACTGTGCCCCACCACGACCTACATATTTTTAAATTACTTTTTTTGTTTGTTTGTTTTTTGAGATGGAGTCTCGCTCTGTTGCCCAGGCTGGACTGCAGTGGTGCGATCTCAGCTCACTGCAAGCTCTGCCTCCTGGGTTCACACCATTCTCCTGTCTCAGCCTCCCGAGTAGCTGGGACTACAGGCACCCGTCACCATGCCCGGCTAATTTTTTTTTTTTTTTTGTATTTTTAGTAGAGATGGGGTTTCACTGTGTTAGCCAGGATGGTCTTGATCTCCTGACCTCGTGATCTGCCCGCCTCAGCCTCCCAAAGTGCTAAGATTACAGGCATGAGCCACCGCACCCGGCCAATTTACTTTTTAATATTTTCCCCACATTAAAAAATAAAACATCACAGACTTTTTAAATTTTATTTATTTAATTTTTTTTTGAGACAGGGTCTTGCTCTTCACCCAGGCTCAAGTGCAGTGGCGTGATCTTGGCTCATGGCAGCCTTGACTTTCCAGGCTCAAGCCATCCTCTTATATCAGCCCCTCTGCAAGTAGCTGGGACTACAGGTGCAAACCACCATGCCCAGCTATTTTTGTATTTTTTGGTAGAAACAGGGTTTTGCCATGTTGCCCAGGCTGACTGCAGACTTTTAAAAGCACCCAAATGCATTATTCAAGCAACATTAGCCACTGTGGTCAGATTAACGATAATGCAATAATTTTTTTCTGTTCATCTCTGTTTTAGATTTGCACTTTTTGTAATGGTATGAACAATTAAGAGGATTAGGGAACTGTGCTGGTCTGTGCTAAAGTTCATCACAGGCAGGGCACATCCAAGCCTTTAAACTTGCTCCCAGGTGTCCTGGTTCTAAATAGCACATCTGTCCCACTTAATTAAACTCAGGCATGACTCTTGCAAACCCCTTGGGTCCTGGCTCTTGTTCAGGCCTGAATGGCCACATAATAGCAAGAGAATGCGTGGCAGGTCTCAGCTTGGCAACATGACATGAGGCATCATCCCAGTGCCCAGGGTAAGATTTGGTGTTTCTTCTGTGACTCTCCTTTTTTTTTTTTTTTTTTTTTTGAGACTGTGTCTCGCTCTGTTGTCCAGGCTGGAGTACAGTGGTGCAATTTCAGCTCACTACAACCTCTGCCTCCTGGGCTCAAGCCATCCTCCTGCCTCAGCCTCCTGAGTAGCTGGGATTACAGACATGCAAAGTGCTGGGATTACAGGCGTGAGCCACTACGCCCGGCCAATTTTAATTTTTAAAAGACAGGATTTCACTCTGTTGCCCAGGCTTGAGTACAGTGGCATGATCACGGCTCACTGCAGCCTCCACCTCCTGGGTTTAAGCAATCCTCCTGCCTCAGCCTCCTGAGTAGCTGTGACCCCAAGAGCACACCACCTTGCCCAGCTAATTGTTTTACTTTTTTTTTTTTTAATAGAGACAGCTCCCTATGTTGCCCAGGCTTGTCCTGGCCTCAAGCTGTCCTGCTGCCTCAGCCTTCCAAAGTGCTGAGATAACAGGCATGCACCACCACACCCAGCAGAGTCCCACTTTTCATCTTGTGTCTTTGAATATTTCAACCACAAACAATAAATACTTATATTCATTTATTTTAAAGTAACCAGAGATAGTACAACCACTTTGGAGAACTGTTTGGAAATTTATTAAAAAGTTAGACATACCCTGGCTGGGCTCAGTGGCTCACACCTGTAATCCCAGCACTTTGGGAGGCTGAGGCGGGAGGATCACTTGAGGACAGGAGTTCGAGAGCAGCCTGGCCAACATGGTGAAACCCCGTCTCTACTAAAAATACGAAAATTAGCTGGGCATGGTGGCGGGCTCCTGTAATCCCCGTTACTTGGCAGGCTGAGGCTGGAGAATCGCTGGAACCTGGGAGGTGGAGGTTGTGGTGAGCTGCGATCACGCCACTGCACTTGAGCCTGAGTGACAAAGCGAGACTCTGTCTCAAAAAAAAAAAAAGTTAGACATACCCTTATGATATGACCCAGACATTCCACTCCTAAGTATTTACCTAAGATAAATGAAAATATATATCCACCAAAGATGTGTACACAAATGTGCATAATAGCATACTTATTCATAATAGCCTAAATCTGGAAACAGCCCAAATGTTGTACCACATTTTATTTATCCATTCATTGGTTGATGGACGTTTGGGTTGCCTCCACTTTTTGACTATTTTGAATAATACCACCATGAACATTGGTGTACCAGTTTTTGTGTGGGCATAGATTTCTCTTGTATATAGCTAGGAGTGGTACTGCGGTAGGAGGTGGAGCTCAACTCTAGAGGTAGGGCTTAGACACTGGACCAAATTGAGACCTAGCTAAAACAGGTCTGGGGTGGAAGCAGCTTTCTAGAAGACATGGCCACCACTGTACCATGCCAGTTTACCGTTGCCATGGTAACACCTGGAAGTTACTGCCCCTTTCCATGGCAATGCCCTTGACAACCCTGAAGTTGCCAGCTTTTTCCTGGAAATTTCTGCATAAACCACCCCTTAATTTGCATATAATTAAAAGTGGGTATAAATATGACAGCAGCACTGCTTCTGAGCTGCTCCTCTAGGCACACTGCCTATGGGGTAGCCCCGCTTTGCAAGGAGCAGTCTCTCTGCTGCGGCTGTGCACTGCGGCCTCAAGAAAAGTTGCTATCACCACCAGCTTGACCTTGAATTATTTCAAGGGTGAAGCCAAGAACCCTCCTAGACTAAGCCTCAATTTGGGGGCTTGCCTATCCTGCATCAGTACAACCCTTCAGTGGAACCTTACCCAACAATAAACAGGACTGCAGGACTGATAGAATAATATCGATGGGGCTGCGCACCGTGGCTCATGCCTGTAATCCCAGCACTTTGGGAGGTCAAGGTGGGTGGATCATCTGAGGTCAGGAGTTTGAGACCAGCCTGGCCAACATGGTGAAACCCCATCTCTACAAAAAATACAAAAATTATCCGGGCATGATGGTGGGTGCATGTAATCCCAGCTACTGGGGAGGCTGAGGCAGGAGAATCGCTTGAACCCAGGAGGCGGAGGTTGCAGTGAGCTGGGATCGCGCCATTGTACTGGGTGATAGAGGGAGACTCCATCTCAAAAAAACGTAGGCAGCAAAAGAGTTCCAGACTAATAGAGTCCAGTCCAAATATACAACTCTAGATTCCTTACATAAGCTCCAGACAGAAGCTAATTCTCTGGTTTTAGCAGTGCTCACCACCACATAATTCTAGATGTACTAACCATACAACAAGGAGGCCTCTGTGTGCAATTAACACCTCTTGTTTAATCTAGGTAAGTTTACCAAGCCAAATAGGACAGAGCCTACACTATATAAAGGCATAATTCAGAGACCACATGAAATAGCCACCACTGAATCTGTATACTAATATAATGATATACAAACATTATTGATCATTGGGATTAGGAATATATGCCACAAATTAAGCTCCAAAAAAAAAAAATATCGATGGATCTCAAAGGCTTTATGCTAAGGGGAAGCCAGAAGTAAAAGATGCCCACGTACTATATGATTTCATTTTTAAGAAGTTCTAGAATAGGAAAAACTAATCTATGATGGCAAAAATTACAACAGTGGGTGTCTCAGTAAGGAGAAGGACTTTGAGAAGGAACTTTTTGGAGTGGTGGAAGGTTCTGTGTCTGGGTTGGTGGTTGCACAGGTGTTAAAATGAATTTCTGTCAAAAATCATCAAATTGTACATATACTTTAAATGTGTGCATTTCACCACATGCAAATTATACTTGAATGGAAACTATTTTTAAAAAGTAACTGGGCCAGGTGTAGTGGTTCATGCCTGTAATCCCAGCACTTATGGAGGTCTAGGTGGGAGGATCGCTTGAGCCCAGGAGTTCAGGACCAGCCTGGTCAACACGGCGAGACCCCCATCTCTATTTAAAAAAAAATAATAAAATGGCCGGACATGGTGGCTCACGCCTGTAGTCCCAGCACTTTGGGAGACCAAGGCGGGCAGATCACCTGAGGTCAGGAGTTCAAGACCAGCCTGGCCAACATGGTGAAACCCTGTCTCTACTAAAAATAGAAAATTAGCCAGGCGTGGTGGCACACACCTGTAATGCTAGCTACTCAGGAGGCTGAGGCAGGAAAATTGTTTAAACCTGGGAGGCGGAGGTTGCAGTGAGCCGAGATAGCGCCATTGCACTCCAGCCTGGGTGCCAAGAGTGAAACTCCGTCTCAAAATAATTAATTAGTTAAAAATAATAATAAATAAAAAGCAATGGAGTGGCTATTTTATTTTCATCTTTACAATCCTGTGCACTGAATAAACAGCCAAAGCTATAGCAATGCTGCACACCAAAGCCAGCCACTGATGGGCCCAGTTTAACGCATCTTGTGTGTGATTATAGATCTTGTAATAAACTTGCCCCTGCCCTCCCTGTGTGTCTCATTCACATTTCTGATCAGCATGCTGTGGTTTAAGACTGTTTGCAGCCTAACATGGCTCCGTGTTTAAAATTCAGGCCCTACACATTCGTTCTCATAAAATTGAACCTTTGATTCATGTCTCTAGCATGAATCTAGATATTACACTGAGCTCAAGGTCTGGGACTGACCTTTAGGGGCTGCGTGGTCCGGAGGGAGGGCGCAACAAGCCACCCCAGAGGAGTCATTGGAGAAGGTTTTCCTGTTGCTTCCCGTGACCCTGACATTTATGAGGGGAAAGCGTTCAGCTCTTAGGGAATGTTAGTGATGCCGGGTGACCCAAGTTTTTCATCCTTGACTTACAAGCATCTGGGTTGGTTTCACCAAACCACGTCCTGACATTATAAAGCAAATTACTGCATTTAAAATCATGGTGGCATGCACCTGTAATCCCAGCTACTAGGGAGTCTAAGTTGGGAGGCTCCCTTGAGGCCAGGAGTTCAAGGTTACAGTCAGCTATGATCCTGCCACGACACTCTAGGCGACAGAATGAGACCCTGTCTCAAACAAACAAACAAACAAAATAAAAAATAAAAACCGACTACCCTCTGTTAATGGCCAGAATATCCCGGAAAATGAAAATTCATGTCGTCGGATTAGTCCCACTGATATATCAAGGAATGGATTGTGAGGATACGATGTCACTGTAGTTTACTTGTGTTGAGGAACTAGGCCAACAAAATGGTGGGACAGAATCATGAACCCAGAAATAGAGCTTCATACATCTGAGAACTTAGACTATGACCAGCCATGGTGCTATTTATTCTAAATCGGCAGGAGAGAAAAGAGATTTTCTAAACTTAGCTAATGCTCTGAAAACTGGCTAGCTATTTGGACAAAACAAAAAGAATAAAGTTGGTTTCCCTAGCTCCTTCTTTGAGTCCTCAGATACCTTCCAGATGAATCAAAGATGTAAATGTGAAAAATGAAATTAATAAACATTTAGGTAAAAATAGGAATGAGTTTACTTATAATTTTGGAAGCAGAAGAATTTTTGTATTTTGGAGACGGGGTCTTGCTGTGTTGCCCAGGCTGGAGTGCAGTGGCGTGATCGTGGCTCACTGCAGCCTCTACCTCCTGGACTCAAGTGATCCTCCTACCTCAGCCTCCCTAGTAGCTGGGAGTACAGGCACACACAACCATACTGAGTTAACTTTTTTTTTTTGTTGGAGTGGGGGATGGAGTTTCACTCTTGTTGCCCAGGCTGGAGTGCAATGGCCCGATCTCGGCTCACTACAACCTCTGTCTCCTGGGTTCAAGCAATTCTCCTGCCTCAGCCTCCCAAGTAGCTGGGATTACAGGCATGTACCACCATGCCCAGCTAATTTTTGTATTTTTAGTACAGACGGGGTTTCTCCATGTTGATCAGGCTGGTCTCAAATTCCCGACCTCAGGTGATCTGCCCGCCTCGGCCTCCCAAAGTGCTGGGATTACAGGCGTGAGCCACTGTGCCCGGCTGACTTTTTGATCTTGTGTAGAGATGGGGTCTCCCTATGTTGTCCAGGCTGGTCTCGAACTCCTGGGCTCAAGCGATTCTCCCACGTCAGCTTTCCAAGTAGCTGGGACTACAGGCATGTGCCACCACGCATGGCTGTTTTGTGTCTTTTATAGAGACGAGGGCTTGCCGTGTTGCCCAGGCTGATCTCGAACTGCTGGGCTCAGGCAGTCCGCCCACCTCAGCCTCCTAAAGCGCTTGGATTACAGGCGTGAGCCACTGCACCCAGCCAAGCCCAGAAGTCATAAAGGAAAAGATTAATCAACCTGACTATATAAACATTTAAATCCTCAGACAGAAAAAAAAAATCCACAAGTCAAAAGACAAACAACAAACCCGGGGACACATTTACCACAAGGATGGACTCAAGATAATTTCCTTGAATCACAAAGAGCTTGCACGTATCAAAAAAAGAAATACAGAATAACCTGGCAATGAATCTCAATAGGGAATCCACAGGAAAAAAAAAAGATAAAAAACTGAAAAATTGCTTACTTATTTAATCTCACAAAGGTTTATATAATACAGTGTGCCAAGCACTTTTCTTTCCTTTTCTTTTTTTTTTTTTTTTTTTTGAGATGGAGTCTCGCTCTGTCGCCCAGGCTGGAGTGCAGTGGTGCGATCTTAGCTCACTGCCAGCCCCGCCTCCCGGGTTCACGCCATTCTCCTGCCTCAGCCTCCCGAGTAGCTGGGACTACAGGTGCCCACCACCATGCCAGGCTAATTTTTTGTATTTTTAGTAGAGATGGGGTTTCACCATGTTAGCCAGGATGGTCTCAATATGCTGACCTCGTGATCCTCCCGCCTCAGCCTCCCAAGGTGCTGGGATTACAGGCATGAGCCACCGCGCCTGGCCTGGAACGGGATTTTAGACAAAGCTTAGAGCTTTTGCCAGCCATGCGGAAAATAGTATCACATGATGGTTTTCTAGACTGTCAACTCTATTGCATTCATCTATATGTACATCCTTATTTCATGCTTGGTGGGGTGTTTGGTTGGTTTTCGTTTTGTTTGAGAGACAGGGTCTCACTCTGTCACCCACACCTGTAATTCCAGCTCTTTGGGACGCTGAGGCAGGTGGATCACTTGAGCCCAGGCGCTCAAGACCAGCCTGAGCAACATACTGAGATCCTGTCTCTACAAAAAATAAAAATTAGCTGGGTGTGGTGGTGCACACCTGTAGTCCCAGCTACTCGGGAGGCTGAGGTGGGAGGATTGCTTGAGCCCAGGGAGGTTGAGGCTGTAGTGAGCCATGTTCACACCACTGCCTTGGGAACAGAATGAGACTCTGTCAAAAAAAAAAAAAAAAAAAAAAAAAAAGGAAAGAAACAAGGAAGGAAGGAGGGAGGCGGGGAGGAAGGGAAGGGAGGACAGAGAGAGAAAGAGAGAGGGAAGAGGCCGGGCACGGTGGCTCATGCCTGTAATCCCAGCACTTTGGGAGGCCGAGGCGGGTGGATCACGAGGTCAGGAGATCAAGACCATCCTGGCTAACACGGTGAAATCCCGTCTCCACTAAAAATACAAAAAAAATTAGCCGGGCGTGGTGGCAGGCGCCTGTAGTCCCAGCTACTCGGGAGGCTGAGGCAGGAGAATGGTGTGAACCCGGGAGGCGGAGCTTACAGTGAGCCGAGATAGCGCCACTACAGTCCAGCCTGGGCAAAAGAGCAAGACTCCGTCTCAAAAAAAAAAAAAAAGGCAAGAAAGAGAGAGGGAAGAATAAAAGAAGAAAGAAGGAGAAACAGAGAAAGGGAGAAAGAAAAAAAGGGCCGGGCGCGGTGGTTCACGCCTGTAATCCCAGCACTTTGGGAGGCCGAGGCGGGTGGATCACGAGGTGAGGAGATCGAGACCATCCTGGCTAACACGGTGAAACCCTGTCTGTACTAAAATACAAAAAACTAGCTGGGCGCGGTGGCGGGCGCCTGTAGTCCCAGCTACTCGGGAGGCTGAGGCAGGAGAATGGCGTGAACCCGGGAGGCGGAGCTTGCAGTGAGCCGAGATCGCGCCACTGCACTCCAGCCTGGGCGACACAGCAACACTCCGTCTCAAAAAAGAAAAAAAAAAAAAAAAGAAAGAAAGGAAGGAAAGAAGGGGAAGGGGAAGGGATAGGGATTTAGGCCAAGCACATACCTGTATTTCCAGCTGCTTAGGGGGCTGAAATGGGAGAATTGCTTGAGCCCAGGAGTTTGAAGCTGCAGTAAGATATGATCAGTCCACTGCCCTCCAGACAGGGTAACAGAGGGAGACCGTGTCGAGAGAGGGAGAGGGAGAGGGAGAGGGAGAGGGATTTTATGAAGTGATAAGTAACAAGCACATATGATGACCCTTTTATAAATGAAAAACATTATATTATTATATATGGTAGTATATGTATCAATCTTTTTCCTTTTTTCTGGAAGGAAAAACAACAAATGGAAAACGGGTTGCTTCTGAGGTGGGGAACTGAGGGGAATGGAGGGAAGGACTTCATTATGTCCCCATCTGTAACTCTCACGCTTGGTAACACATTATATTTTAGAATGCTGATGTGGACAGGACAGATAGTGGGTCATTTATTTTCTTTATACTTCCTTACATTAAAACAACATTATACTTAAACAAAAAATTTAAAAAGTTACATTACCCCAAACTACATTCACCTATATTGCTAAATTAACTGGATTTTTCTGCAGTTCTTAGAAGCATTTCTTGCCATTTCTGGACAAATATTTGCACGTTATACAAAGCATCCTTGTTTTGGAAGGTGGGTCGCTGCCTGTCCTGGTTCGTTTGAAATTTTTTCTGGCATGGGCATGCCTGCCACTGAAAAACTCTACCTTCGATGTCTGCAAAGTGCATGCCTTGTCATGCTCAAGTCCAATGACAAGTAAACCTCAGGCATGGCTGCTTTGGAAAAGCTCCAATCCCTGCATAATAGTTCTAGAAAAACAAGTGAATGTGGCCGGGCACAGTGGCTCACACCTATAATCCCAGCACTTTTGGAGGCTGAAGCGGGTGGACCACCTGAGGTCAGGAGTTGGAGACCAGCCTGGCCAACATGGTGAAACCCCATCTCTACAAAAAATACAAAAATTAGCTGGGTGTGGTGGCGTGTGCCTGTAATCCCAGCTACTCGGGAGGCTGAGGCAGGAGAATCACTTGAACCCAGGAGGCGGAGGTTGCAGTGAGCAGAGACACACCACTGCATTCCAGCCTGGGTGACAGAATGAGACCCAGTCTCAAAAAAACCAAACAAACAAACAAAAAAACACAACAAAAAATAAGCGAATGTGTAAGAAGTAAGGCTGTGGTCTTGTGCTATGGCGGATGAGTGCTGGGTGAATGTGAACAATTATTGATAGTGTTAGTTATTTTATTTTATTTTATTATTTTTTGAGACAGAGTCTCACTGTCACTTAGGCTAGAGTGCAGAGGCACGATCTCGGCTCACTGCAACCTCCGCCTCCTGGGTTCAAGTGATTCTCGTGCCTCAGCCTCCCGAGTAGCTGGGATTACAGGCATGTGCTACCATGCCCAGCTAATTTTTTTTTTTTTTTTTTTTTTTTTTTTTTTTTTTTTTTTTTTTTTTTTTTGAGACGGAGTCTCGCTCTGTCGCCCAGGCTGGAGTGCAGTGGCGGGATCTCGGCTCACTGCAAGCTCCGCCTCCCGGGTTCACGCCATTCTCCTGCCTCAGCCTCCCAAGTAGCTGGGACTACAGGCGCCCGCCACTACGCCCGGCTAATTTTTTTGTATTTTTAGTAGAGACGGGGTTTCACCGTTTTAGCCGGGATGGCCTCGATCTCCCGACCTCGTGATCCGCCCGCCTCGGCCTCCCAAAGTGCTGGGATTACAGGCGTGAGCCACCGCGCCTTTTTTGTATTTTTAGTGGAGACGGGGTTTCTGTGTTGTCCAGGTTGGTCTCGAACTCCTGACCTCAGGTGATCTGCCCTCCTCGGCCTCCCAAAGTGCTGGGATTACAGGTGTGAGCCGCCGCACCTAGCCCAGTCATTTAACTGTAAAAGTAAAGCATCCCGCCTCGTCTTTGTCCAGCTTCTGGAGTTTAACATATAAATGCAAGATGAGCTGCTGAAAAATTGTTACCATATGAAAGCAACCCAGAAACTCTGAAATGCACAGTGGGGCAGGAGTATGCCCTATCAGGCGCTAAAATGCATTATGAATCTATAATATTTCTGACAGTTTGGCGTCCCTAAATGTGAGATTTTCAGTTTTGATGAAGGCAGCATTACAGGCCAGCAGATGAGACAAGGATCAAGTGGCCAAACATTTCTTTGGAGCGTGATGGACTATTCCAATGTTACTTTCACTGAGAAAAATTCCAGCTGGATGAAAGATGTAAATGCAAAGCATGAAGACATCAAATGCCTCCCTGCAAATGGTGAAGTAATCTATACTCTTAGAAGCAGGGAGAGTACTTTTCTAAGCAGAAAGACATATCTCAGAAGCTATGAAGGACGAGTTTCATGCATTTGAAGTTTGTTTGTTTGTTTTGTTTTTGAGACAAGGTCTCACATTGTAACCCAGGTTGGAGTGCTGTGGCATGATCTCGGCTCACTGCAACCTCCACCTCCCAGGCTCAAGCAATCTTCCCACCTCAGCCTCCCAAGTAACTGGGACCACAAGCGTGTGACACCATGCCCAGCCAATTTTTTTTTTTGGGGGGGATTTTTTCAGTAGAGACAGGGGTCTCACCATTTTGCCCAGCCTGGTCTGAAACTCCTGAGCTCAGGCAATCCACTCATCTCAGCCTTCTAAAGTGTTAGGATTACAGGCGTGAGCTACTTTGTCCAGTCTCAATTATTGTATTTCTTTTTTGGATTTGGTAGGTTGTTCAATCAGTTAGTCTCCCTTTCTTTCCAGCAGTGTCATAGCTTGAGGGACCTAGTAATGGCGGTTAGACAGCTGCCTGTTCTAATCCTGGTTACATAGATCCAGAAGGATTCAAAGTGTCCTGGTGGAGGAATTTTTTTATATTTCTGAGCGGAATTGCACAACTCTTATTTCTTATCACAATTAAGAAAATCACATGGGAAATACCCTGAACGTAGCACTGTGAAGCCACCTAGAACAGCAAACCCTTGTGTTCAAATTCATTAGACAATCACTTGTTGTTATAAAGCTCTCAGGTCACCATGGCCGGATGAACCCTTGGCAGATGCTCCTGTCATTTCTTGAAGCCTGAGGAATGGGAACCGTGGCAGCTGCTGGCTTGGACAATCTGACATACCAGGACATGCCCAGGCCTGGATCGGCAGGGCTATGAATGGCTTATTCAGCGACAGATTGGCAAGAGTAAATCAGGTTAAATGAAAGCTTTATACCAGACCCAGAGAAAAAGAAAAATAAAGAAAAAAAAGAATGACTGTGACTGTAACCTATAACGTGGTCTTGGCTCCTAAAGCATTTTATTTTTAGGTGGCAGTGGTTTTGTTTTTATTGAATAAAGAGCCATATAAAGATGAAAACAAGAACTGACCTATCATCCTGTTGCTAAAACAGCCCACATAGACATTTTAAAATAAGATATGCAGAGTGTTAGACATTCCAGCTGTACAAAATTAGAAACGGAGAGTGCCCCGTCTGCTTCTCCCCAACCTCCCACAAAAGCCATAGCAGGTTCTCGTTTTCCTTCAAAAGAGAAAAAATGTTTTTGTATATTCCAGCATAGAGCTCTCTATACGGACATATACATGCGTGTATATATGTATATGTGTGTCTATGGGTGTGGGCATGAATTTGTGTGTATGTCTATAATTCTGTGTCTAAGTGTATGTTTGTGTATATATGTGTGTAAATTTATGTATATGTTTGCTTTTCTGTGTCTATGTATATTTATGTACATATGTATATGTGCATATATAAGTGCATTTATGTGTATATATGGGTGGATATATACATATGTATATGAGTATGTTGTATGTATTTGTGCATGTGTGATATATGAATGTATATATGTTTGTGTATATGTGTGTATATATGTATGAGTGTATGTATACACATATATATAAGTTTAAACAAAAGCAATTATAACTATTAAGACTTTGGGCCAGGCACGGTGGCTAATGCCTATAATCCCAGCACTTTGGGAGGCCAAGGCAGGTGGATCACTTAAGGTCAGGAGTTCAAGACCAGCCTGGTCAACATGGTGAAACCCCATCTCTACTAAAAATACAAAAAATTAGTTGGGTGTGGTGGCAGGTGCCTGTAATCTCAGCTACTTGGGAGACTGAGGCAGGAGAATCGCTTGAACTGGGAGGCAGAGGTTGCAGTGAGCCGAGATTGTGCCACTGTACATCAGCCTGGGCGACAGAGTGAGACTCAGTCTCAAAAAAAAAAAAAAAAAAGACCTTGATGTGCTTCACATTTGCTTTTCTTGGAGAGAAGAAGGTCTTGTAAGACGAGTACCAAAACTAGAACAGAAAAGAAAATATAGCTACATATGACTTCATAAGAATTAATACCTTTTGTATGGCAAAAAATAACCACAAAAAACTAAAAGGACACATTTCTTTTTCTTTTCTTTTTTTTTTTTCAGACAGAGTCTCGCTCTGTTGCCCAGGCTGGAGTGCAGTGGCGCGATCTCGGCTCACTGCAAATTCCGTCTGCCGGGTTCACGCCATTCTCCCATTTCTTTTGTTTATTGTCTTTCTCCCTCCCTAGATTGAAAGTTTCCTGAGGGCTCAGGGCCGAGGCAGGAAGTGTTTATCTGTCTGGTTCATGCTGAATCTCCAGCAGTAATAGTGCCTGGAACATAATAAATGCTCGATAAATATTTGTTGGACAAATGAATACTTTGCCTACACTTTTGAAACTGACCCAATAGTCCCATAGATAGTTTTTTGGATAAACATAGGAAACTGACCCTTCTGGTCTTTAAGCTTGAGACTTAATTTGTTTTATCTGAGTTCCTTTCACTTTCAGGCATCTCAAAAACAAAAAGTATCAAATAACTGAAACTTACCAGATCATCACATCCAGACAATGAGATAATGGACCTCTCATTCATCATGACTGCTTCCTTGCCCCTCCCTAGTTCCTGTTTTCTTACACATTGTTACATTTCTTCCCTGTTATTTAAACCCCTGATTTTAGCTGGTCAAGGAGATGGATTTGAGATTGAACCATCTCCTCAGCGGCAGCGCCCAATTAAAGCCTTCTTCCCTTATTGGCTTTCTGTGCTGTGAGCAGCATGACCTAGACCAAACCCCTGGTGTTTTGGTAACACTTTGAAGATAATGATAGCTAATATTGTCAAGCACTTGCTGAGTGCCAGCAACCATCCTAAACACTTGATGTATCTGTGTCCAATAGCCTCAGTACAACGCTGCAGGGATTCAGTTATCACTGATTCACAGTTTCAGAAACAGAGTCCCCAGGAGATAAAGAAACTTGCTGTCTCGGGCCGGGCTTGGTGGCTCGTGCCTGTAATCCCAGCACTTTGAGAGGCTGAGGTGGGCGGATCACCTGAGATCAGGAGTTTGAGACCAGCCTGACCAACATGGTGAAACCCCATCTCTACTAAAATATAAAAAATTAGCCGGGCATGGTGGTGGGTGCCTGTAGTCCCAGCTACTTGGGAGGCTGAGGCAGGAGAATCGCTTGAACCCAGGAGGCAGAGGTTCCAGTGAGCCGACATCACCCCACTGCACTCCAGCCTGGTGACAGAGCAAGACTCTGTCTCAAAAAAAAAAAAAAAAGAAAAAAAGAAACTTGCTGTCTCAAGCTTCTGTCACTGTAACAAATTACCATAAATGGATTAACTTAAGGCAACACAAAATTTATTGGCTGCCAGTTCGGAAGGTTACAAGTCTGAATGGATGAGCAGGGCCGTGTTCCTTTGGAGGCTCCAGGGAAGAGTACGTGTCCTCACCTTTCCCAGAGTACAGGGGCCACCTGCATTCCTTGGCTTGGGGCCGTTTCTTGCATGACTCCAAACCCTGCTTCCATTGGCACGTTCCCTTTTCCGATTCTGACCCTCTCGTCTCCCTCTTTTCTTTTTAAATTTTATTTATTTATTTATTTATTTATTTATTTATTTAGACAGAGTCTTGCTCTGTCGCCCAGGGCAATCTTGGCATACTGCAATCTCCGCCTCCCGGGTTCAGGCGATTCTCCTGCCTCAGCCTCCTGAGTAGCTGGTACTGTAGGCACTTGCCACCACACCTGGCTAATTTTTGTATTTTTAGTAGAGATGGGGTTTCACTATGTTGCCCAGGCTGGTCTTGAACTCCTGAGCTCAAGCCATCCTCCTGCCTTGGCCTCCCAAAATGTTGGCATTATAGGTGTGAGCCACTGAGCTTGGCCTTCTTTATAAAGACCTTTGTAATGACATTGGTCCCACCCAGATAATTCAGGATCATCTTCCAAGTCCCTTTTGCTACATGAAGTCACCTATTTACAGGTTCCAGGACTTAGGAGGTGGTTGTATTTGAGGACCATTATTCAGCCCTCAAATCATGGGGTGGAGACTGTGCCCATGACAGGCCCTGTTGGCTCTCGTGCCCAGAGCCAAACTCCAGCCCAGCTTCAGAGGCCCTGCAAGTTCTGGGCACTGCTTTCCCTCCAGGCCCCCAGCTCCCCAGCTCCTCACCCCTGCCTCTGGGCTCCAGTTCCTGGAAGGTAACTCGTTTCCTTTGGCCATGGCCTGGGAACAGGCTTCCAGGCCCTTCCCTCCCCTGCAGCCTGGCCTGGCCATGCTGGGTTCCTGGAGTTCAGCTCACAGGGACCAGGTGGCCAGTTGGAAGGGCAGACAGGCCACCCAGCACCAGATTCCAGGACCCCGAGAGAACCGGGGAACCAGAGTGCCTGGGGATTTGCAGACAGACTGTGAACTGGGCCATACTTATCTTTCCCCCTCCCATGCGAAAGCCATTTCCTCCCACGAAGCAGGAAAAATCTCAGCCAGCCTCTGGGATTTCACTGAAAACCCAGCACCACAAACCTCAAACATGGAGTCCTCCTGTTTTTCTAGTAAGTTTTTTTCTCCAAGACGGCAGCTTCTGAGTCTCCTCTCTCCTCAAGACTCCCAGTGCCCTGAACCAGCCTGAATCTTCACCCACTGATCTTCCATCTAAAAATAAAACACATCTGTACAATAAAATGTCATTTATCAAGAACAGAGCACAGAGGACTGGGTACTGTGGCTTACGCCTGTAATCCCAGCACTTCGGGAGGCTGAGGCTGGAGGATCTCTGGAGGCCAGGAGTTTGAGACCAGCCTGGACAACATGGTGAAAGCCCATCTCTACTAAAAATACAAAAAAATTAGCCAGGCATGGTAGTGCAAGCCTGTGATCCCAGCTGCTTGGGAGGCTGGGGCAGGAGGATCGCTTGAGCCCAGGAGGATTGCTTGAGCCCCAGGAGGTCAAGCACAGAGAAGTATTATGGAGTACTGTTTAAGAGTGTGAATTCTGCTGCCCGATTGCCCACCTTTAAGCAGCCCTGCTTCTTACCAGCTGTGTGACTTTGGGGAAGGTGATTGCCCTCTGTGCCTGCTTCCTCATTTGTAAGATGAGGATGACAGAATATAACAGTAGCTACCTCAAAGGCTTTTCATGCAAATGAAGTATTTGCAAAGTGCTTGGAACAGGGTCAGGCATATAGTAAGCATCATCTACATTTTTGTTAAATAATAAAATTTGTTTCTTCAGCTTCTTACCAGGAAATCTGCATTTGCTGGACGTGTGTGCCCTTGTCCTTCTCTCCTGCCCCTTGGAGGACGTTTCTGTGCTTCATATTGAAAGCCAGTCCTGTGGCCAGGCACGGTGGCTGACGCCTGTAATCCCAGCACTTTGGGAGGCCGAGGCGGGTGGATCACTTGAGGCCAGGAGTTCGAGATCCAGCCTGGCTAATATGGTGAAAACCTGTCTCTACTAAAAATACAAAAATTAACCGGGCGTGGTGGCGGGTGCCTGTAATTCCAGCTACTTGGGAGGCTGAGGCAGGAGGATCGCTGGAGCCTGGGAGGCTGCAGTGAGCCATGATTGCACCACTGCACTCCAGCCTGGGTGACAGAGTGAGACCCTGTCTCGAAAAGGAAAAAAAAAAAAGGAATTTTTCTCTCTCTCTTTATTTTTTTTTACAGTGTTATACACCTTGCTTTATTAAACAGTGTTTTGTGAGGATGTCAGCAAATCATTTCATACAAAGGAAATCTTCCCATCTCAGCACATAGAGAACTTCCTCCTTATTTCGTGTAACCATGCATAGTATTCTACTACACGGATGCGCCACAATTTATGTTTGTGTACCACTAAGCATAGTCCTCTATAAATGGATACACTCCAATTCCAACCGATTGCTGTTACTCTCTTTAGTTTTCCAAACACTCACTCTTGGGCTTCCCCCCAGCCCTCTTCTGCTGTCTCCTGGATTCTTTGTCTGCTGTCTGACACTGACACGCTGGGACTGCCAGAGGCATGGGCTTGGGCCATCTCTTCGTCTTTCCCCACACCCTTTCCCTAGATCAAGCTTCTCCAACTTGCGGCCCGTGGGCTGCATGCGGCCCAGGATGGCTCTGAAGGTGGCCCAACACAAATTCGTAAACTTTCTTAGAACATTATGAGATTTTGGCCGGGTGCGGTGGCAACGCCTATAATCCCAGCACTTTCGGAGGCTGAGGCGAGCGGATCACCTGAGGTCGGGAGTTCGAGACCAGCCTGACCAACATGGAGAAACCCTGTTTCTACTAAAAATACAAAATTAGCCGGGTGTGGTGGTGCATGCCTATAATCCCAGCTACTTGGGAGGCTGAGGAAGGAGAATCACTTGAACCCAGAGGTGGAGGTTGCAGTGAGCCGAGACTGGGCCATTGCACTCCAGCCTGGGCAACAAGAGCGAAACTCCGTCTCGAAAACAAAAAACAACAACAACAACAAAAAATGAGATTTTTTTTTTTTGCGATTTTTTTTTTTTTTTAGCTCATCAGCTATTGTTAGTGTTAGCGTATTTTATGTGTTGCCCAAGACAATTCTTCTTCCAGTGTGGCCCAGGGAAGCCAAAAGATTGGACACCTCTGGCCTAAATGAGCTCATCTAGCTCCATGGCTTAAGATATTTCCCGTGTGCCAATGGCTTCTAAATTTTTATCTCCACCCCATCTCTGAACTCCAGGCTCATATATCTAACTCGGCTTGGAAGCCTACAAGGCATATCAAATTTAAGACATTCAAAATGGGATTCCCCACTCCCAAGTTCATTTTCCCTAGAGCTTCCTCATCTCACTGAATGGACGCACCATCATTCTAACAGTTCAAGCCCAAAGCTGAGTCAATTAAAAAAAACAAAAAACAACAACAACAAAAAAGCCGGGCGCGGTGGCTCACGCCTGTAATCCCAGCACTTTGGGAGGCTGAGACAGGTGGATCACCTGGGGTCGGGAGTTTGAGACCAGCATGACCAACATGGTGAAACCCCATCTCTACTAAAAACACAAAATTAGCCGGGCATGGTGGTGCGTGCCTGTAATCCCAGCTACTCGGGAGGCTGAGGCAGGAGAATCGCTTGAACCTGGGGTGGCGTAGGTTGCAGTGAGCCGAGATCGTGCCATTGCACCCCAGCCTGGGCAACAAGAGGGAAACTCCGTCTGAAAAAAAAAAAAGTTTTGTATTGAGGTGAAATTCACATAATATAAAATGAACCATTTAGAAATAATATAAAATGAACCATTTAGAGTGTACACAGCTGGGCAAGGTGGTTCACGTCACCAGCACTTTGTAATTCCAGCACTTTGGGAGGCCAAGGCAGGAGGATCACTTGAGCCCAGGAGTTCAAGACCAGCTGGGGCAACATGGTGGGACCCCGTCTCTACAAAAACTTTAAAAATTAAGGACCAGGAGAGGTGGCTCACGCCTGTAATCCCAGCACTTTGGGAGGCCGAGGTGGGCAGATCATGAGGTCAGGAGATTGAGACCATCCCCGCTAACACGGTGAAACTCCGTCTCTACTAAAACTACAAAAAAAAAATTAGCCGGGCGTGGTGGCGGGCACCTGTAGTCCCAGCTACTCGGGAGGCTGAGGCAGGAGAATGGTGTGAACCCGGGAGGTGGAGCTTGCAGTGAGCCGGAGATGGCGCCACTGCACTCCAGCCTGGGTGACAGAGCGAGACTCCATCTCAAACAAACAAACAAACAAAAAAAACACCAAAGGGCTGAGTGTGGTGGTTCATGCCTGTAATCCCAACACTTTGGAAGGCTGAGGCAGGAAGATCGCTTGAGCCAAGGAGTTTGAGATCAGCCTGGGCGACATGGCAAAACCCTGTCTCTACTAAAAATACAAATATACAAAAAAAAAAATTAGCTGGGTGAGGTGGTGTGTCTCTGTAGTCCCAGCCACTCACAAGGCTGAGGTGGCCACGAGAATCACCCAAGCCTAGGAGGTCGAGGCTGCACTGAGCCATGATCATGCCACAGCACTCCAGCCTGGGTGACAGGAGTGAGACCCTGTCTCTAAATAAATACATAAACCACCAAAGGTTTGAACGTGGCTGCATAGTCTTTGGGTAACCTACCCTCACCTGAATTTTCCCAAAAGGCTCATTTAATTCTAACATGCTACTGACCAGGCACAGTGGCTCACGCCTGTAATCCCAGTATTTTGGGAGGCCGAAGTGGGCAGATTACTTGAGGTCAAGAGTTTTGAGACCAGCCTGGCCAGCATGGTGAAACCCCGTGTCTACTACAAATACAAAAATTAGCCAGGTGTGGTGGCACACACCTGTAATCCCAGCTACTGGGGAGGCTGAGGCAGAAGAATCGCTTGAACCTGGGAGGCAGAGGTTGCAGTGAGCTGAGATCACGCCGCTGCACTCCAGCCTGTGCAATAGAGCGAGGCTCCGTCTCAAAAACAAAAAACAGGCTGGGCGCGGTGGCTCTCACCTGTAATCCCAGCACTTTGGGAGGCCGAGGTGGGCAGATCACGAGGTCAGGAGATTGAGACCATCCTGGCTAACACAGTGAAACCCTGTCTCTACTAAAAATACAAAAAATTAGCTGGGCATGGTGGTGGGTGCCTGTAGTCTCAGCTATTTGGGAGGCTGAGGCAGGAGAATGGCCAGAACCCAGGAGGCGGAGCTTGCAGTGAGCCGAGATCTTGCCACTGCATTCCAGCCTGGGCGACAGAGCGAGACTTCGTCTCAAAAAAAAAAAAAAAAAACAAAAGAACAACAAAAAACAAACATGCTATTGAGCAAAATATAAGGTTCTTCAGAATGCATGTCAATGCCTATAATATGATTGTTGTTTTTATGTTTATTGGAATGAGGACTTGGGACAGTCAGAGAAGCTTCCTGCCGAAATGGCTCCCAATGGAGTGATGCCTCCGTGCCTGAGAAGTCATGGTAAAGCACCTTTGGGTATAACCGTTTTGGAGCAGAAAATGATAGGCAAAGAATTTCAAGGATGGACAGAGGCCCCAGGCCCTGTGCCAGGAAGCAAAAACCTTGAGTGCTGGGCTCAGATTCAAGGAACATGACTCATGTAATTATATAGGGAAAAGGAAGAAGAGTATGAACCTTAGAAAGAAGGAAGCATGTCTATTCTTCAGAGATGATGTTGTTACCGATAGAGGGTCTTGACTGCAAGTTGTCTAGGTTCTTGGTGTTTTGAACAAAGAATTGGACAAAACGCACAGCAAAGCAAGGAAAGCAGAGATTTATCAAAAGTGAAAGTACACACCACAGTGTGGGAGCAGGCCCCAGCAGCTGCTCAAGGGCCCCGGATACAGGATCTTCTTAGGTCCAAATACCTCCTATAGGTTTCCCATTGGTCACTTATTTTTATTTATTTATTTATTTTGAGATGGAGTCTCACTCTTGTCACCCAGGCTGGAGTGCAATGGTGCGATCTTGGCTCACTGCAACCTCCGCATCCTGGGTTCAAGAGATTCTCCTGCCTCAGCCTCCTGAGTAGCTGGGATTACAGGTGTCTGTCACCATGCCTGGCTAATTTTTGTATATTTTTTAGTAGAGACGGGGTTTCACCATGTTGGCCAGACTGGTCTCAAACTCCTGACCTCAGGTGATCTGCTGGCCTTGGCCTCCTAAAGTGCTGGGATTACAGGTGTGAGCCACTGCACCTGGCCCTCCCATTGGCCACTTGGTGTTCACCCCATGTAAATGAAGTGGTGGTCTGCAAGCAAAAAGCGACCAATCAGAGGCTAAAGTGAAGTTACAAAGTTGCACTTCTATGCAAACAAAGACCTCGCCTGCAATCAGTCTGATTGGTTGTGGACAGTGGTTGTGGACAGCAACCAATCAGAGGCTGAAGTGAAGTTAGGAAGTTACACTTCTATGCTTTCTGCAACCAATCAGGGGTACCTTCGATTTCCCATCTGCCCCACAGAAAAGGTTGGGGTTTGCAGGAGTCTCCCCTGGTCCTTTCGTTACTTAAGCGTGGAAGGTTGAGGTTTTTCTTTCGATGTAGTTCTAGAAGTCAGGGTGAATCAGCCTTAGGTTCCCTGCCTCCAGGCCCTATTCTCCTGCCTCAATGTGACTGTATATCTTGAAAGAGAACCCATAAACTATTGGAAGAAATGAGAATTGAGCAAGGGGGCTCTAGGGTTGCAAAATTAATATCTTCAACCTAAACAAGTGCCAGTATACAGAAAACTGGCTTAGAAAACAAGCAGAAGAAAAGAACATTGCATTTACTCAAGCAAGAATTAAAAGATAATAAAAATATCTTGGAATGAGCTTATCAAAAATGGCACAGGATCTAGTTCAAAAAACTTGAAACTGCTGCTAGGGCTGAGCATACAAGATTTGAATATTTGGGAAGATCCAGTATTAAAAAGTTGAACCTGGTTTCCCCCCGAGTCTATGAATTTAATCTAGCCTTATTTAAAACACTAAAAGGCTCTTTTAAAGTTAGGCAGGTTGATTCTGAGGTTCAAAAGAAAAAAATGTGAAAAGATGCAGAACATTTCTGAAAATGTAAGAGGAAATCAGCCCTTCTGCATTTGAAAACTGATCATAAAAGTATAGTTTTCAAACAGTTTGGGACTGGCCCATAAAAGGACAGACAACTGGTTAAAAGGGACAGATTAGAGGGGCCAGAAATACATATGGGAATTTACATCTTTTTTTTTTTTTTTTATCTGAGATGGAGTCTCGGTTTGTCACCCAGGCTGGAGTGCAGTGGCGCGATCTTGGGTCACTGAAACCTCTGCCTCCCGGATTCAAGCTATTCTCCTGCCTCAGCCTCCCGAGTAGCTGGGATTACAGGCACACGCCACCACACCTGGCTAATTTTATGTATTTTTAGTAGAGATGGGGTTTCACTGTGTTAGCCAGGGTGGTCTCGATCTCCTGACCTCGTGATCCGCCCACCTTGGCCTCCCAAAGTGCTGGGATTACAGGCATGAGCCACCATACCCAGCTGGGAATTTACATCTTAACAGTGGAATTTCATATCATTGAAAACGAGATGGACTTTTCTCCATAAAACTAAGACACTCAATAGCCATCTGGAAAGGTATAAAGTTAGAGGTAGATTGGAGATTTATTATTTATTTATTTATTTATTTTTTAATTTTTTTTGAGAGAGAGTCTTACTCTGTCACTTAGGCTGGAGTGCAGTGGCATCATCTCGGCTCACTGCAACCTCCACCTCCTGGGTGGAGGCGATTCTCCTGCCTCAGCCTCCCAAGTAGCTGGGATTACAGGCGTGCGCCACCATCCCCAGCCTAGATTGCAGATTTAAATGTCAAAAACGACACCTCAGGCAGGGCGTGGTGGCTCACGCCTGTAATCCCAGCACTTTGAGAGGCCGAGGCAAGTGTATCACCTGAGGTCAGGAGTTCGTGACCAGCCTGGGCAACATGTTGAGACCCCCATCTCTACTAAAAATACAAAAATTAGCTGGGTGTGGTGGTGTGCTCCTGTAATCCCAGCTACTTGGGAGGCTGAGGCAGGAGAATGGCTTGAACCCGGGAGGCAGAGATTGCAGTGAGCCAGGATGACGCCACTGCACTCCAGCCTGGGTGACAGAGAGAGACCCTGTCTCAAAAAGAAAAAAAAGTTCATAACTCATGTAAGTTATGAGTGGCTAAATTCCTGGCATTACATTCTATTTGTATTAATAGCTATTGGGCTCACTGTTAACACAAGGTTTGGAACAGAGCCAGAGTTAAATGTATAAATATATACATTTGCTGTGTGAAGGATTAATTGTTCCTTTTCAACTCTCAGAAACCTACATCCTCCTACTCCAACATCATTCCTGACTGGCAAACTCCTATAACGCCCTCAGTTACCTCATCAAACCTCCCCACCTTGGGTGTTCCATCTCACCCAGAGAAAAGTCCCAAGTCCCCACCAGGAGCTTTGAGGTCTTGTAAGATCTGGCTGTCACCTCCTCTCTTGCGCGGCCTGCTTTTTCTTGGGCTTTCTTCTCAACACTCCCTTGCTCCCTCTGCTGCCAGGCACCACGGGTTTCTGCTGTTCTTCAAGTACACCAGGCAGGCTCCAGCCTCAGGGCCTTTGCACTGACTTTTTTTTTTTCTTTTTTTTTTGAGAAGAAGTCTCGCTCTGTCACCCAGGCTGGAGTGCAGTGGCGGGATCTCGGCTCACTGCAAGCTCCGCCTCCCAGGTTCAAGCCATTCTCCTGCCTCAGCCTCCCGAGTAGCTGGGACTACAAGCGCCCGCCACCACGCCCGGCTAATTTTTTGTATTTTAGTAGAGACAGGATTTCACCATGTTGCCCAGCTAGTCTTGAACTCCTGAGCTCAGGCAATCCACCCGCCTTGGCCTCCCAAAGTGCTGGGATTACAGGCATGAGCCACCATACCCAGCTGGGAATTTACATTTTAACAGTGGAATTTCATATCATTG
Organism: Homo sapiens; assembly: GCF_000001405.40. Taxonomy (NCBI): domain Eukaryota; kingdom Metazoa; phylum Chordata; class Mammalia; order Primates; family Hominidae; genus Homo; species Homo sapiens. Next base: position 46,439,873 of record NC_000019.10, on the reverse strand, counting down.
AAAACGAGATGGACTTTTCTCCATAAAACTAAGACACTCAATAGCCATCTGGAAAGGTATAAAGTTAGAGGTAGATTGGAGATTTATTATTTATTTATTTTTTTTTTTTTTAATTTTTTTTGAGAGAGAGTCTTACTCTGTCACTTAGGCTGGAGTGCAGTGGCATCATCTCGGCTCACTGCAACCTCCACCTCCTGGGTGGAGGCGATTCTCCTGCCTCAGCCTCCCAAGTAGCTGGGATTACAGGCGTGCGCCACCATCCTCAGCCTAGATTGCAGATTTAAATGTCAAAAACGACACCTCAGGCAGGGCGTGGTGGCTCACGCCTGTAATCCCAGCACTTTGAGAGGCCGAGGCAAGTGTATCACCTGAGGTCAGGAGTTCGTGACCAGCCTGGGCAACATGTTGAGACCCCCATCTCTACTAAAAATACAAAAATTAGCTGGGTGTGGTGGTGTGCTCCTGTAATCCCAGCTACTTGGGAGGCTGAGGCAGGAGAATGGCTTGAACCCGGGAGGCAGAGATTGCAGTGAGCCAGGATGACGCCACTGCACTCCAGCCTGGGTGACAGAGAGAGACCCTGTCTCAAAAAGAAAAAAAAGTTCATAACTCATGTAAGTTATGAGTGGCTAAATTCCTGGCATTACATTCTATTTGTATTAATAGCTATTGGGCTCACTGTTAACACAAGGTTTGGAACAGAGCCAGAGTTAAATGTATAAATATATACATTTGCTGTGTGAAGGATTAATTGTTCCTTTTCAACTCTCAGAAACCTACATCCTCCTACTCCAACATCATTCCTGACTGGCAAACTCCTATAACGCCCTCAGTTACCTCATCAAACCTCCCCACCTTGGGTGTTCCATCTCACCCAGAGAAAAGTCCCAAGTCCCCACCAGGAGCTTTGAGGTCTTGTAAGATCTGGCTGTCACCTCCTCTCTTGCGCGGCCTGCTTTTTCTTGGGCTTTCTTCTCAACACTCCCTTGCTCCCTCTGCTGCCAGGCACCACGGGTTTCTGCTGTTCTTCAAGTACACCAGGCAGGCTCCAGCCTCAGGGCCTTTGCACTGACTTTTTTTTTTTCTTTTTTTTTTGAGAAGAAGTCTCGCTCTGTCACCCAGGCTGGAGTGCAGTGGCGGGATCTCGGCTCACTGCAAGCTCCGCCTCCCAGGTTCAAGCCATTCTCCTGCCTCAGCCTCCCGAGTAGCTGGGACTACAAGCGCCCGCCACCACGCCCGGCTAATTTTTTGTATTTTAGTAGAGACAGGATTTCACCATGTTGCCCAGCTAGTCTTGAACTCCTGAGCTCAGGCAATCCACCCGCCTTGGCCTCCCAAAGTGCTGGGATTACAGGCGTGAGCCGCCGTGCCCGGCCGCACTGACTGTTCCTTCTGCTTGGAACACAGTTCCCTCACATGTTCACAAGGTGGCTCTCTCACCTCCTTCAGGTCTTTGCTCCAAATGTCACCTCCATGAAACCTTTACTTGGCACACTGTAAATTATAACATCCTCTCCCAATACACACTCTCTATGCCTGTCTCTCTCGCTCTGTCTCTCTCTTTTTTTTTTTTTTTTTTTGAGACAGAGTCTCGCTCTGTTGCCCAGGCTGGAGTGCAGTGGCGCGATCTCGGCTCACTGCAAGCTCCGCCTCCCGGGTTCACGCCATTCTCCTGCCTCAGCCTCCCGAGTAGCTGGGACTTCAGGCGCCCGCCACCATGCCCGGCTAATTTTTTGTATTTTTAGTGGAGACGGGGTTTCACTGTGTTAGCCAGGATGGTCTCCATCTCTTGATCTCGTGATCCGCCCACCTCGGCCTCTCAAAGTGCTGGGATTACAGGCGTGAGCCACCATGCCCGGCCCTCTGTCTGTCTTTTTAATTTAATTTTTTCTTTTGAGATGGGATCTCACTCTGTCTCCCAGGCTGGAGTGCAGTGGTATCATCATAGCTCACTGCAGCCTGGGGTCTCACTTTGTTGCCCAGGCTGGTCTCAAACTCCTGGGCTCAAGTAGTCCTCCTGCCTTGGCCTCCTAAAGTGGCGGGATTACAGGCGTGAGTCCTGGCCCTTCTCTGTCTTTCCTGCTTTATTTTTCCCCGTAACCAATCCTGATCACCACATGACATATTATATATCTTATTTATTTGTCCCTGCTCTGTCGGCCCAATACAGTGTCAGCTTTTGGAAATCAGGGGATTTTGTCCATCTCATTCATTGCTCTATCCCCAGAACCTAGACTCTAACCAACAAGTAACTTAGCCAAGGCCGGGCGCGGTGGGTCACGCCTGCAATCCCAGCACTTTGGGAGGCTGAGGCAAGTGGATCACTTGAGGTCAGGAGTTCAAGACCAGCCTGGCCAACATAGTGAAACCTTGACTCTACTAAAAATACGAAGAAAATAGCCAGGCGTGGTGGCTCACGCCTGTAATACCATCTACTCAGGAGACTGAGGCAGGAGAATCGCTTGAACCTGGGAAGCGGAGGTTGCATTGAGCCGAGATCACACCACTGCCCTCCAGCCTGGGCAATAAAGTGAGATTCCATCTCAAAAATAAAATAATAATAATAAATATATATATATAGATTATTTAAAAAAAAAAAAAAACTCCATCGTCCAGGCGCGGTGGCTCACGCCTGTGATCCCAGCACTTTGGGAGGCTGAGGCAGGCAGATCAAGAGGTCAGGAGATCGAGACCACCTTGGCTAACATGGTGAAACCCCGTCTCTACTAAAAATACAAAAAATTAGCCAGGCGTGGTGGCAGGCGCCTGTAGTCCCAGCTACTTGGGAGGCTGAGGCAGGAGAATGGCATGAACCTGAGAGGCGGAGCTTGCAGTGAGCTGAGATCGGCCACTGCACTGTAGCCTGGGTGACAGAATGAGACTGCATCTCAAAAAAAAAAAAAGCCACCAACAAAAAACAAGTAACTAAGCTATTACATGTGGTGTGATAATATGCTAATTTCCTTTATCTGTAAAGCTTTTTTACTCTTCAGCAAAAAAGGAAACCCCATTTTTTAATAAAAATGGGTAAAAGATACAAACAGAAAATTCATGGAAAAAAATTAAGCTAAATCAAATTGTAAAAATCTCGGCCAGGCGTGGTAGCTCATGCCTGTAATCCCAGCACTTTGGGAGGTCGAGGTGGGCAGATCACCTAAGCTCAGGAGTTCGAGATCAGCCTGGCCAACATGGAGAAACCCCCCTCTCTACCAAAAATACAAAAATTAGCTGGGCGTAATGGTGGGGACCTGTAATTCCAGCTACTCGGGAGGCTGAGGCAGGAGAATCACTTGAACCTGGGAGGCGGATGTTGCAGTGAGCTGAGATCCCGCCATTGCACTCCAGCCTGGGTGACAGAGCGAGGCTCCGTCTCAAAAAAAAAAAAAAAAAAAAAAAAAAAAAAAAGGCCAGGCGCGGTGGCTCACGCCTGTAATCCCAGCACTTTGGGAGGCTGAGGCGGGCGGATCACGAGGTTAGGAGATCGAGACCGTCCTGGCTAACGTGGTGAAACCCCGTCTCTACTAAAAAAAATACAAAAAATTAGCCAGGCGTGGTGGCGGGCACCTGTAGTCCCCGCTACTCGGGAGGCTGAGGCAGGAGAATGGAGTGAACCCGGGAGGCGGAAGTTGCAGTGAGCCAAGATCGCGCCACTGCACTCCAGGCTGGGCCACAGAGCGAGAGTTCGTCCCCCCAAAAAAAAAAAACAAAACTCATTTGGCCAGGCATAATGGCTCATACCTGTAATCCCAGCACTTTGGGAGACTGAGCCAGGAGGATTGCTTGAGCTCAGGAGTTTGAGACCAGCCTGGGCAACATAGTGAGACTCTGTCTCTACAAAAAAAAAAAAAAAAAAAAATTAAGTTAGCTAGGTGTGGTGGCATGCGCCTATAGTCTCGGTTACTCAGGAGGCTGAGGTGGGAAGATTGCTTGAGCCTGGGAGGTTGAGGCTGCAGTGAGCCATGATTGCGCCACTGCATTCCGGCCTGGGCAACAGAGCAAGACCCTATCTCAAAAAAAAAAAATCTCACTAGCTGTGTGGCCCCAGGTAAGTGATTTAACCTCTCTGGTCCTCAGTTTTCCTGACTATAAGATACAGGAACTATTCAATAAATACTTGTTGAATGAATAAATGATTGAATCAATAAAACATCTAACTCATGGACTGTTGTAAAAATTAGATGACTTAGTACACATAGAAGGCTTAGAATATTTTAGTATGCCCTATGCAAAAGTTAGCAGTTATTACTTTTTAAAATAGTATTATTTGTGGTTATTATATGCATCCATCAAGATTTCTCTCAAATGTCACCTCCTGCGGGAAGCCTTCCCAGATGAGACCAGACAGATGAATTCCTTTATGGAGAATTAATCAGAGACGTTGAAGAGTGAATTAATAAAAAGGTTACTGATACAGTAATTATGTCAGTCAGGTATCTCAGGGCCGCCAAAGGACTTTATGCGGTTCTCTCTTTAAACTCTAGCAAAACATGTTCCAGGAAAACTAAGCCCACTTGATATATTCTGTATTCTACACCCCACACCAGGATCGGAACACATCGTAGTAATTATAGGGCTTCTCTCCCTGCCTGTAAACAGACTGAGCCAGCCTGTCGTAACCACTGGACTGAGCTCCTCAAAGCAGAGCCTGTCTCCCTCACTCAAGTATGCCCAGCACGTTACCCAAGCCTAGAACAAGGACACTTCTCAGTAAATCCTGGTGGATCAAATAAATGAACCATTCTCTTCCCTTGCTTCTCAATTGGGAACATGCATAAGCCCAGGGATATGCAATGGCGTGTCAAGGATTCATAAACTCGTGGCAAATATTTTGGATCAACAATTTTACTTCATCTTTGGAAGGAAAACTCATCTTTGTATTAAAATGGTCATGTCATGGAGTCGAATGTGAATTTTTTTTTTTTTTTTTTTTTTGAGACAGAGTCTCACTCTGTCACCCAGGCTGGAGTGCAGTGGCGCAATCTTGGCTCACTGCAATCTCCACCTGCCAGGTTCAAGTGATTCTCCTGCCTCAGTCTCCCAAGTAGCTGGGATTACTGGTGTGTGCCAACACACCCGGCTAATTTTTGTATTTTTACCAGAGATGGGGTTTTGTCATGTTGGCCAGGCTGGTCTCGAACTCCTGACCTCAGGTAATCCACCCGCCTCAGCCTCCCAAAGTGCTGGGATTACAGGTGTGAGTCACCACGCCCGGCTCGAATGCAAAATTTTTTATGACAAAATTAGACTTAAAAGAAATCTCTGTGGAAGAGCTGGTTCCTAAAACCCCTAAATGAGAGGGCACACTTCCCTTGTTTTCTCTCTACTGGAAAACCTGAAAAGTAGTATGTTAGTGCAACTGATGTTTATAAAGGAAGAGTCATGGTTGTTCAGGATTGGTCCGTGTTAAGCAGAAGGAGGTCTGCTATGAGCCACGTGGGATAAGAAACATTATGTGATTGGATCTTAGACAATTGGGGGTGAATCTGGGGAGGTGAGGACCCAGAAAGGGATGGTGGTCAAAACTAAAATAAGATAAAGATATCCATCTCACCCCAGTTAAAATAGCTTATATCTGGCCAGATGCAATTGCTCACGCCTGTAATCCCAGCACTTTGGGAGGCTGAGGCGGGCAGATCACCTGGGGTCGGGAGTTCACGACCAGCCTGACCAACATGGAGAAACGCTGTCTCTACCAAAAATACAAAAAATTAGCCAGGCGTGGTGGAGCATGCCTGTAATCCCAGCTACTCATGAGGCTGAGGCAGGAGAATTGCTTGAACCTGAGAGGCGGAGGTTGCAGTGAGCCGAGATTGCACCATTGCACTCCAGCCTGGGCAACAAGAGTGAAACTCCGTCTCAAAAAAAAAAAAAAAAGCTTATATCCAAAAGACAGCAAAGAACAAATGCTGGTGGAGAAAAGGGAACCCTCATACTCTGTTGGTGGGAATGTAAATTGGAGGTTCCTCAAAACTAAAAATTAAGCTAAAAATTGATCCTGCCATCCCACTGCTGGGTATATACCCAAAAGAAAGGAAATCAGTAGATTAAGGAGATCTCTGCACTCCCATATTTTTTGCAGCACTGTCCACGACAGTGAAGATTTGGAAACAACCTGAGTGTCCATCAACAGAAGAATGGATACAGAAAATGTGGTGCTTATACACAATGGAGTACTATTCAGCCATGAAAAAGAATGAGATCCTGCCATTTGCAAAAACGTGGATGGAACTGGAGGTCATTATGTTAAGTGAAATAAGCCAGGCACAGAAAGACAAACGGCATGTTCTCATTTATTTGTGGGAATTAAAATAATCAAAACAATTGAACGAGGACAGGCATGTTGGCTCACGCCTGTAATCCCAGCACTCTGGGAGGCCGAGGCGGGTGGATCACTTGAGGTCAGGAGTTCCAGACCAGCCTGGCTGACATGGTGAAACCCCATCTCTACTAATACAAAAATTAGCCAGGCGTGGTGGCGCGTGCCTGTAATCTCAGCTGCTAGGGAGGCTGAGGCATGAGAATCACTTGAACCTGGGAGGCAGAGGTTGCAGTGAGCCAAGATCGCACCATTACACTCCAGCCTGGGCGACAGAGTGAGACTCCATCTCGAAACAAAACAAAACAAAAAAAGCAGTTTTTTTTTTTTTTTTAACATATAGACAGAAGGTTACCAGAGGCTGGGAAGGGTCGTCGGCGGGATGGATGGGGGAGGTGGGGATGGTTAATGGGTACAATACTCAACACAAATAGAAAGAATGAATAAGACATACTATTTGATAGCACAACAGGATGACTATTGTTAATAATAATAGTACATTTCAAAATAGCTAAATGAATGTAATTGGATTGTTTGTCACACAAAGGATAAGTTCTTAAGGGGATGGCGACTTCATTCTCCACAATGTGATTATTTCTCATTGCATGCCTGTATCAAATATCTTGTGAACCCCATACATATATACAGCTACCATGTACCCGCACAATTAAAAATTAAAAATTTAAAAATAAACTATATTCGTGATGGCAAAATAATAATAATAATATAGGGATGGCGAGATCTTGTTTAAAAGTTACTGAGGCTGGGCGTGGTGGCTCAGGCCTGTAATCCCAACACTTTGGGAGGCCGAGGTGGGAGAATCACTTGAACTCAGGAGTTTGATACCAGCCTGGGCAACATAGAGAGACCCTTATCTCCAAAAAAAAAAAAAAAAAAAAAAAATTACTAACCAGGGAGCGCTAGGGTTGCTGGAGGAGGGGTGTATCAAAGTTTTTTTTTCTGTGACTAGTATTGGGTTTTAAGTCTCTGTAGGCCAGTCTGCTGGGCAATTTAGAAACTGAACCGGGACAGAGAGGACAAATTGGAACCTACAAGAACAATCTAGGCCAGGTGCGGTGGCTCACTCCTGCAATCCCAGCATTTTTGGAGATTGAGGCAGGCGGATCATTTGAAGTCAGGAGTTCGAGACCAGCCTGGCCAACATGGTGAAACCCCATCTCTATGAAAATACAAAAATTAGCTGGGCATGATGGCGGGTGCCTGTAATCCCAGCTACTCAGGAGGCTGAGGCCGGAGAATCGCTTGAACCCGGGAGGTGGAGGTTGCAGTGAGCAGAGATGGCACCATTGCATTCCAGCCTGAGCAACAGAGCGAGATTCCGTCTCAAAAAAAAAAAAAAAAAAAAAAAAAAATTAGAATCCTTGAAGACAAACTGGAACCCCCGCCCCCAACCAACGTCTCTTTTCCCACCTTCAACCTCAATTCCACGCTTGACCTGCAGGGGAAGCTGGTGCCTTTTGCCCCCACAGAGCTGCTCCGGTGCTGGCCCCAAGTTCACCGACGCTGAAAAGGAGACCGGCAGGAGCAGGTGGAGTCCCAGAGGCTGCCCCAAGCCAATAAGGTGAGCCCACAGACCAGTCATGAAATGCATGAGCCATGTGGCACCCTGTGCAGACCTTCTCACAGCACCAGCCGCTGTGTAAATCTAATGCACATTTCTCTTTTAGACGACTCTAACCAACAGCCACCTGCAGAAAGCTATTCTAGGACACACAAGCCCAGCTTAGCTAAACTGGCACTGAACAAAATCAACATACAGCCCAGAGAGGGAACTGTCATCCAGAAACTTCACGACAGAACAGGAACTAAGCCGCGTGACACAATATGGGACCCCTTTCTCAGGGAACTCCATGGTATTGTATAATGTTAAATCTGTGCGCCCAGGAGTCAGGGTGCTGAGGCGGGAAGTCTAGCTTTGCCATTCACTAGCTGTGTGACCTTAGGTAAGTGAATTAACCTCTCTGATCTTCGGTTTTCCTGACTATAAAACCGGAGGCATCAGGCCGGGCGCGGTGGCTCACGCCTGTAATCCCAGCACTTTGAGAGGCCAAGACGTGCAGATCACGAGGTCAGGAGATCGAGACCATCCTGGCTAACACGGTAAAACCCCGTCTCTACTAAAAATACAAAAAAATTAGCCGGGCCTAGTGGTGGGCGCCTGTAGTCCCAGCTACTCGGGAGGCTGAGGCAGAAGAATGGCGTGAACCCGGGAGGCGGAGCTTGCAGTGAGCCGAGATCGTGCCATTGTACTCTAGCCTGGGCAACAAGAGCAAAACTCCATCTCAGGAAAAAAAAAAATCTAGTATTGATGAGCATGTGGCGAAACTGGATTTTTTTTTTTTACACTGTTTGGTGGGAGAATAAAATGGTACGACCAGTTTGGGAAACTTGTAGAATCTGCTAAGGCATTTGTTCAGGCTTAAAACTAATGGATATGTACATATATGTTCACCAAGAAACATAGACCACGTAATATGTGATTCCATTTATGTAAAATACAAAAACAGGCAAAACTAACCTATGCTGTTGAAAGTCAAGATAGTGGCTTCCCTTAAGAGGATATAGTGATTTGGAGAAAGCACAGGATATCCTCTGGGAATGCTATGATGTTCATTTACTGATTTGGGTGCTGGTTACACCATGTGTTCAGTTAATGGATTTTCATTTATAATTCGTGCACTTCTGACTACGTGTAAAAACAAAGTTTCAGGGGATGTCGGTTTCAGGTGTTGTTTGATCCTGAGGCATATGATGTCTTCCTGACTATGGCCTGGTTTCTGGTTGTTCCCTCAACTCTGCCTTCCTCTAGATGCAAAGTTCATCCTCAAAGTGTTTATTGGCTGGACGCGGTGGTTCATGCCTGTAAGCCCAGCACTTTGGGAGGCCGGGGCAGGTGGATCACTTGAGGTCAGGAGTTTGAGACCAGCCTGGACAACATGGTGAAACCCTGTCTCTACTAAAAACACAAAAAGTTAGCCGGGCGTGGTGGCGGGCGCCTGTAATCTCAGCTGTTTTACAGGCTGGGGCAGGAGAATTGCTTGAACCTGAGAGGTTGAGGTTGCAGTGAGTCGAGATCGCGCCACTGCACTCCAGCCTGGGCGACAGAGCAAGACTCTGTCTGAAAGAAAGAAGGAAAGAAAGAAAAAAGAAGGAAGGAAGGAAGGAAGGAAGGAAGGAAGGAAGGAAGGAAGGAAGAGAGTTTGTCATGCTTCCAAGACAGCCTCCTGTAGCTCCTATACTTAGTCTTTCACGTCTAGGAGGAAAGAGAGAGTCTTCCTCCGCTTACCAGTTGCAGAAATCCTTACCTTCATTCTGACTGGACTTACTGAGTTCACGTGTCTAACCTTTAACCAATCTCAGAGAAGAGGGGCATATTAAGCACTAATTGCTTTTTGTCCAGGTTACCTGGGTGACCATTTCTGAACCAATCACTGTGGGAAGGAGGGTGAGATTATGCTAATTGGTTCAAGCCAATCAGGGCTTATCCCTGGAACTGGGGGTATAAAGGGTGTCGACCTAACCCAAATGTTTTGGCTTTATTAATGGGGACTGGGGAGGAGAGGAATAGACATTGTGGATGTCATCACATGGGGGAGACATTTCTTATTTATTTTTAAACATTTATTTGAAACAACCATAAACCTACAGAAGAGTTGCAAATATAGTATAAAGAATGTTTTCGCGGCCAGGTGCAATGGCTGTGGCCTGTAATCCTAGCATTTTGGGAGGCCGAAGTGGATGGATCACCTGAGGTTGGGAGTTCAAGACCAGCCTGGCCGACATGGTGAAACTACATCTCTACTAAAAATACAAAAATTAGCTGAGCTTGGTGGCACATGCCTGTAATCCCAGCTACTTGGGAAGCTGAGGCAGGAGAATCGCTTGAACTGGGGAGGCAGAGGTTGCAATGAGCCAAGATCGGGCCACTGCACTCTAGCCTGGGCAACAGAGGGAGACTTCATCTCAAAAAAAAAAAAAAAAAAAAAAGAATGTTTTATCCTCTGAAGCATTTTGAGTCTAAATTGTCATATCGCTCTGAATATTATAGTGTGTGTGTGTGTGTGTGTGTGTGTCCTACATGCAAGAACATTCCACTGTAAAGATACATTTGTTCCCTTTGATGAGTATTATATGGGCAGGTACTTTGATAGTTCACATTCTTCACCAAACTTTGCATTCACGTGCTTATATCTACATCAACTCATAGATTCTAATTTTATTCAAGGGGTTATAATCTGTTACTTTCATTTTTAACGTTGATGCTCAAATTGTCCCAGGGTTGGCCAGTGGGAGCATTTCAGGCTGGTTCCTCTGTCTTTCCAGGTGTTCTCATTTTTTTTTTTTAATCACTTCCTTACTTTCTGACCCCAAAAGATGCCCCGGGTGCCTCTTGTACATTCGCTGTCCCCTCACCCCTGGAATCGGCTATTATTCAAAGGAGAATCGCGGGCGCTTCTGAGGGCTGGTGGCCGACCCCTCACCTCCGAATGACCCCCTCAGACTCTTGATTTCAATGCGGCCAGTCGGCCAATGGCAGAGGAGATGGATGCTTCAGCGGTTGCCATGGAGACCGCCAGGCCGCAGAGCGGAAGGAGGCGGTGACGTCACCGCGGGAGCAAGTGCAGCGGCCACATCCTCGTCCTAGTCCGGCGACAGGGCACTGAGTGCAACCTCTGGGCCAGCGGTGAGGGACGCGCCTCCCTGCCTGCCAGGGCCGCGCCTACGACACTCTGTTGGCAGTTGTCCCAGGGAGATCAGCAGTCCCAGATCCGGAGAGACCGTTGGGGCCTGTGAGACCTTCGGAGGCCACGCCAAGAAAGGGGAAGCATCATCTTTAGACCCTCCTTGGTGCAGCCTTGCCCAGGACCCGGGAGCCACGAGTCAGGTGGCAAACACCGCCTTCTGCTTCTCCAGCACGCGTAAGTCCCTGGGAATCTTCGAGCCCACTCAGAGGGAGCCACAGAAGCCCCGACGTTGCACAGCCCTGCAGGCAGGGGCTGGGGGCATCCTTCACTGAGCTGGACGAAGGGGTCCTGGGAGCGGCCTCCGGCCCCTGAGGCCTCACTCTCTCGTAGCCTTTGGGAAGGAATCGCGGCATCCTGGATAATTTCGTGGATTCCCGAGGCAGCTCAGGTGTCCACCAGCGGGCATACTGCTGCCTCAAAGAGTTGGGCAAGATGCTGTTCGGGGTGAAGGACATTGCACTGTTGGAGCACGGGTGCAAGGCCCTGGAGGTGGACAGTTACAAGTCCCTGATGATCCTGGGGATCCCGGAGGACTGCAACCACGAGGAATTCGAAGAGATTATTCGGCTGCCCCTCAAACCTCTAGGCAAGTTCGAAGTGGCTGGGAAGGCCTATCTGGAAGAAGATAAATCCAAGGCGGCCATCATTCAGCTGACGGAGGACATCAATTACGCCGTGGTCCCCAGGGAGATCAAGGGCAAGGGCGGTGTGTGGAGAGTGGTCTACATGCCCCGGAAGCAGGACATTGAATTCCTGACCAAGCTGAACCTCTTTCTGCAGAGCGAGGGCAGGACGGTGGAGGATATGGCCCGGGTCCTGAGGCAGGAACTGTGTCCCCCAGCCACGGGCCCCAGAGAGCTGCCTGCAAGAAAGTGCTCTGTGCCTGGGCTGGGGGAGAAACCGGAGGCTGGGGCCACCGTCCAGATGGACGTGGTGCCACCTCTGGACTCCTCCGAGAAGGAGAGCAAGGCTGGAGTTGGCAAGAGGGGCAAAAGGAAGAACAAGAAAAACCGCCGGCGGCATCACGCCTCAGACAAGAAGCTGTGAGGTGGTGGCATCGGGTGGGCGTGGGGAGTGTCTGAGGGGGTGTGGGTGATGACTGTGGGAGGGTAGGTACCACCTCACTACGTTTAAGGAGTGCGAGTGAGTGTGGGTAATGCAAGGGAGGGTGGGAATGACTCTAGTGAGTGGGTAACTTTGGAGTAAGAATGGGTATCATTTGGATAGCACAGGTAACATCTGACTAGTGCGAAAGAGGTGGATATCTTTATCTGAGTTAACTAACTTGTGGGTTACATCTGAGTGGGTGTGGTTAACGTCTGGGTGCCCGTGGCTCATTTATTCATCTTACAGATATTTATTGCATACCTACTATGTTCCAGGAGCTGGGGATATGGAAGGGAGTAAACTCAATAAAAATCCCTGCCTTCATGGCACTCAGAGTAAGTGGGTAATATTTGAATTACTTGGAGACATCAGAGTGAGCGTAGGTAGCATTTGAGTACATGTGGGTAACAGCTGAATGATCATAAAATCTGGTTGAGTGTGGATTGCTCATTCATCCATGTATCCATGCAACCAACAAAATTTCCTGAGGACCTACAGTGTGCCAGGCACTGGGGATACAGAAGGGGAATAAACAGACCAAAACCTTGCCCGTGACTCTCATAGTAGCTATTTGAGTAGGTGCGGGTAACATTTGGGTTACTTGAATACACGTTAGTGAGTGTGGGTAGCATTAGAGTGTGTGGGTGGCATCCGCGTATAATTGAAAGTAGTTGTGGGTAATATTTGAGAGTGTGCGGGTAACACCTGAATATGTGTATGGGTATCATTTGAGTAGATGAGAGTAATTTCTAAGCGAGGAAGGGTCTCAAAGACCCACAAATATCTTCCGCTACTCGGGAGACCCCGCGGGACCAGCCGCGCAGGCGCAGTCAGAGCCAGAACCTAGCAGCGCGTCCGACCGTTGCTATGGAGACCACAGGCTGACCCCAGGCGCCTGCGCCCTTTGCAGAAAATGGAGGAGGTGGAAACGGTCCTGGATTCCAAGGTTTTGCAGATCTCTTACTGGAGTTGAAGAAAACTCACGCAGACCCAGGAGGAACGTGTCAGGGAGATCCCTACTCGGGAGAAGGGCCGCCATCCTCCTTCGGCTGTCACCCACGGCCTGATTCTGGGGACAGCCTCTCTTGCTGGGGGGAGGCGGGCGGCACGGACCCCTCTAGCTTTGCGCCCTCCTGGAAATCCTGTTATTGCAAAGTCTAGAGCCGTTTTCTGTGTTTCAAAAGCATGTACCTTGAATGTACCTCTGGCACAAACTTGTTCGGAGTGGGCCACCCTGTTTTGCGCATGTCAAGCAGAAACCATGGCTGAGAGTGAGTTGCCTGCTCCCCACCTCTGAGGAACTCACTGATCTGTAAGCGGCTCTTGAAAAGCTGTCGTCTTTCTCTACACGCTGAGTCTCTCTTACAGAAGTGGTCAGAAGCGGGACCCTTCTGCCCCGATTGGCGCCTGGGGTGAGGGTGTGAGTCTCCCCAAGTTAAATTCCAGAAGCTCTGGCTTGGTGAGGAGGAGTGAACTCCACTCTCTAAAGAAGAGGCAAGGCTTCTGGGCAATGGTCCAAAAGGAGGTAAATCATTAAGAGGCCATTTTCAAGAGTTACCAATGAACGACGTTAACACTGAGGTGAAGAAGAATTTTAAAAATCAGGTAAAATCCAAATACATGTGAGTAGGCAGATCTTTTGCTCAGAGACAACGGACCTGTCAATTTGCAAACTTGTTAGTTCAAGGATCTGCAAAGGTTTGACTGAATCTCTTTTCAAAAATGTAACTTACACACAACACAAAGACTCAGCCTACCAAATTGTAATGTCAGAGACTCCTAACGTCTTTTTTTTTTGAGACAGAGTCTCGCTCTGTCACCAGGCTGGAGTGCAGAGGTGCAATCTCAGCTCACTGCAACCTCTGACTCCCTGGTCCAAGCGATTCTCCTGCCTCAGCCTCCCTAGTAGCTAGGATTACAGGCATGAACCACCACGTCCAGCTAAATTTTGTATTTTTACTAGAGAAAGGGTTTCACCATGTTGGCCAGGATGGTCTCAATCTCCCGCCTTGGTCTCCCAAAGTGCTGGGATTGCAGGTGTAAGCCACTGCGCCCAGCTTCTCTGTTGATTCTTTTTTTTTTTTTTTTTTTTTTTTTGAGGTGGAGTCTCCTTCTGTAGCCCAGGCTGGAGTGCAGTGGCACGATCTTGGCTCACTGCAACCTCTGCTTCCTGGGTTCAAGTGATTCTCCTGCCTCAGCCTCCTGAGTATCTGGGACTACAGGTGCGCACCACCACGCCCAGCTAATTTTTGTATTTTTAGTAGAGACAGGGTTTCACCGTATTAGCCAGGATGGTCTCAATCTCCTGACCTTGTGATCCGCCCACTTCGGCCTCCCAAAGTGTTGGGATTACAGGCGTGAGCCACCACGCCCGGCCTGATTTTTCTATTCCTTGTAAATGCCCAGCCTGGGCATACCCACTCGCAGAATATTGTACTACTGTGTTCGTTATTGCATCCCAGAGTCTGAGCTTGAATAAATGCTACGAAAGCCTCCAGCGTGTTTGTTGCATGCTGCTCTCCCATCAAGGCATAATCGTTGTATAATAAGGGATAGTGTGACATTTCTTATCATATTGCAGCATGAAGACTGTATTTTGTGCTTATTGTGGATTTCAGGGGTATAACATTTATATTTGTGATACACAACATGCGTGGTTGTTCAATGTTGCCCATGAAATCAAAATCCTACCACTTCTCTTTCAAGATTTTCTGGACCAAAGTGTATCCTGGGACTCCAATGCAAGTTGTCATGCAAAACTGTCACCATTTGAAGCTACTTAGCTGAGTGAAAACATCACTGGTAGGGCAAATCCCAAGCAAAAATTCACAAGTAAATTGAATGTGCCAGCTGTTGGAGGGCTGCATCTGGCTTCTGTAAACCCCTGATTTCAAAAGGGGGTTCAGCTAAAACTCTTCATTGTTCTTTGTGATTGAGATGCTCTTTTGTACAAATATGAACTCATAAAATAAATGTATGCTAATGAAATCATAGTCTGCCCCTTGACATATGGGGGGAAATCCATGTAAGATTTAATTTGGAAAAATGATGTGGCTGCTAAAACAAGTACTGAAAACTGCTTCCATGGCCTGAAGTCTTCCAGGACTGCATTTATTTTTATTTTTATGTACTTATTTATTTTTGAGACAGAGTCTCTCTCTGTTGCCCATGCTGGAGTGCAGTGGCGTGATCTTGACTCACTGCAAGCTCCGCCTCCCGGGTTCACACTATTCTCCTGCCTCAGCCTCCCAAGTAGCTGGGACTACAGGCACCTGCCACCACACCTGGCTAATTTTTTTGTATTTTTAGTAGAGTCGGGGTTTCACCGTGTTAGCCAGGATAGTCTCGATCTCCTGACCTCGTAATCTGCCCGCCTCTGCCTCCCAAAGTGCTGGGATTACAGGTGTGAGCCACCGCGCCCGGCGGAAACACAGCTTTCTTTTATCCTACGGACTTCTCAGGATGTCAGGTCATTTTCCAGTGGCTGGTGTGAAAGGTGAAACAATTTAACTGAAACAAAAACAGTAACAGCTATCTTGTGTTCCAGGCACTATGCCACATTCCTTCATATCATTAACCCATCATATCCTGCCAACCCTGTGAGTTATGGCCCTATAGGTCCACAATCCCTTATAAAAACCCTCAGCCAGGTGTGGTTTCAGGGGTATATGTGGTTCAGAGTTTTGGATTTTAGAAAAATGATACAGTGACTATACCTTATATTGTAGAATTTACTTCCCAGGGGGATGCGGGAAGCCCTTATAATCCCATCAATACTTCTGTAGTGGGCTAGGTGCAGTGGGTCACGCCTGTAATCCCAGTACTTTGGGAGGCCAAGGTGGGAGAATTGCTTGAGGCCAGGAGTTCAAAACCAGCCTGGTCAACACAGCAAGACCCCTATCTCTACAAAAACTAAAAAAAAAAAAAAAAAAATTAGGCACGGTGGCATGCACCTGTAGTCCCAGCTACTCTGGAGGCTGAGGTGGAAGGATCGCTTGAGGCCAGCAGATCAAGGCTGCAGTGAACTGTGATTGCACCACTGCACTCCAGCCTGGATGACAGAGTGATACCCCCCTACATCTCAAAAAAAAAAAAAAGACCAGATAAGAGATTAGATTATCAAACTGTACTATTATTAAGATCATCATCTCATTCTATGGATGAAGAAAGTAAAGCTCAGAAAGGCTAAGTAACTTGTCTAAGGCTACAGAGCAAAGCACAACAGGAATTGAAAACAGGCCTCTGACCACATTCTGTGCTCCTCACACTGATTCGGGTCTCTCTCAGTCTGGGAGGCCCCAGCTGACATCGGAGTCATAGAGCATGATTTCTCTGGTAAACGGCTGGGCAGAAGAAATTCTTCAGGATTCCTTGAGAAACAAGCCAGAGGTGGGTGGCACTCTGAGGGCCTGTTTGAAACTGCAGTACACGCTCTGGTTCTAAGTGGGGGCTTAGAGCAGAGAATAATCTTCGTGCATATTGAATAATCATATCTACCAGGCACTATTCTAAGCATTTTACACAAACAATTTAATCCTCATAAGACTCAACACCATGAGACTGATACAATCTCATTCTCCAGATTTGGAAACTGAGGCACAGAGCCACACGATTTGTAAACAGAGCCAGGATGTGAACCGGAACTGAGTCTACAAACAGCTAGACCACACTGCTTTTTTTTTTTTTTTTTTTTTTGAGATGGAGTCTCGCTCTGTGGCCCAGGCTGGAGTGTTGTGGTGCGATCTTGGCTCACTGCAACCTCCGCCTCCTAGGTTCAAGTGATTCTCCTGCCTCAGCCTCCCAAGTAGCTGGGACTAAAGGCGCGTGCCACTACGCCCGGCTAATTTTTTGTATTTTTAGTAGAGTCAGGGTGTCACCATGTTAGCCAGGATGGTCTCGATCTCCTGACCTTGTGATCTGCCCGCCTTGGCCTCCCAAAGTGCTGGGATTACAGGCATGAGCCACCATGCCTGGCCCACTCTGCCTTTTCTAATAACTGTGAGCATTTACCATCCCTGGGTTCTGTGCCAATACCTATCATGGTCTCGTGAACTGCTCACAACCTCTCCATGAGGTTAAGTCTCATTACAACTGCCATTTTGCAGAGAAGGAAGCCAAGGCTCAGAGAGGTGAAGGAACTGACCCAAGATCACACAGCCACAGGGTGATAGAGCCAGAATTTGAACCCAGGCAGCCTAGCTCCAGAGCCCACGTGCTCCACCACATGGAGGGCTGGCACAGCACAAAGAGGAATGAGGTCTTGGTGGATCCAGGGAGACAGCACCCTGAGGCCTCCTCCCAACAGTCCTTGGTGAGAAACAGGGATTCTGAAGGCAGTCTCTGAGTCTCTGAGTGACCGACACATAACTTGTGATTCCGGCCAGGTGCAGTGGTTCACGCCTGTAATCCCAGCACTTTTGGAGGCTGAGGCAGGTGGATCACTTGAGGCTAGGAGTTTGAGACCAGCCTGGCCAACATGGTGAAACCCCGTCTCAACTAAAAATACAAAAATTAGCCGGGCGTGGTGTTGCGCACCTGTAATCCCAGCTACTCGGGAGGCTGAGGTGGGAGAATAGCATAAAGCTGGGAGGCAGAGGTTCCAGTGAGCCAAGATCATGCTACTGCACTCCAGCCTGGGCGACAGAGTAAGACTCCGTCTCAAAAAGGAAAAAAACATATATATACGTATATCCCAGCTGCATGTGCCCTCTGGTGCTGTGGGACCCCTGGCTGATGGGGCAGGAAGTTGGGGGGAACAGGGAAGGGGTGGGCATATGTGCCTAGGTGGGCACAGAGCACACAGCTCTTCACCTGCTGTTCCCTCTGACTTTCAGTCGCCCTTCAGGCTTTCTTTTTTTTTTTTTCTTTTTTATTTTTTGAGACGGAGTCTCACTCTGTTACCCAGGCTGGAGTGCAGTGGCGCGATCTCAGCTCACTGCAAGCTCCGCCTCCAGGGTTCACGCCATTCTCCTGCCTCAGTCTCCCTAGTAGCTGGGACTACAGGCGCCCGCCACCACGCCCAGCTAATTTTTTTTGTATTTTTAGTAGAGACGGGGTTTCACTGTGTTAGTCAGGATGGTCTCGATCTCCTGACCTCGTGATCCGCCTGTCTCGGCCTCCCAAAGTGCTGGGATTACAGGCGTGAGCCACGGCGCCCGGCAGCAGCTTTATTTCTAAGAACCAAAAACTAGAAACAACTCGATGGCCGACGACAGGTGAATGAATAAACAAACTGCAATGTATTCATGCAACAGAATATGACCTAGCAACAAAAAAGAATGTACTGGCCGGGCGCGGTCGCCCTCCCAGCACCTTGGGAGGCTGAGGCGGGCAGATCATGAGGTCAAGAGATCGAGACCATCCTGGCCAACATGGTGAAACCCTGTCTCTACTAAAAAGACAAAAACTAGCTGGGCGTGGTGGCGGGTGCCTGTAGTCCCAGCTACTCGGGAGGCTGAGGCAGAAGAATTGCTTGAACCGGGGAGGCGGAGGTTGTGGTGAGCCAAGATTGTGCCACAGCACTCCTCCTGTCACAGTTTGGTGACAGAGTAAGACTCCGTCTCAAAAAAAAAAAAAAAAAAAAGGAATGAACCTCAGATGCGTACAGCAACATCGGTGAACCTCAGAAGCGTTATGCGGAGTCAAAGAAGTCAGACCAAAAAGGACACACACTATATACTTCCTTTTACATAAAACTAAAAAAACACTATAGGGACAGAAATCAGAGCAGTGGTTGGGCACAGTGGCTCACGCCTGTATTCCCAGCACTTTGGGAGGCCACAGTGGGTGGATCACTTGAGGTCAGGAGTTTGAGACCAGCCTGGCCAACATGGTGAAAGCCCGTCTCTACTAAAAATACAAAAATTAACTGGGCATGGTAGCGCATGCCTATAATCCCACGTACTCCAGAGGCTGAGGCAGAATTGCTTGAACCCGGGAGGTGGAAGTTGTAGTGAGCCAAGATGGGGCCACTGCACTCTAGCCTGGGCAACACAGCGAGACTCAGTCTAAAAAAAAAAAAAACCAAAAACCCCACCACTTCCAAGGTGCCCGTCACCCATATGTAATTCCTAGGGCGCAGGACACTGTACAAGAATTCTTTCGCTTCAGGGATAATTATTCCTGAGAGACAAGGTCACAGAATAAAATTAGCATGTTTTAATTTGGAATTGCCCTCACTGGACTCAGGGGAATTCGTGGCCACACAACGGGCTCTGTATTCGTTTCCTGTGGCTGTTGTGACACATTACCATATACTAGATGGCTTAAAACATCACAAATGTATTCTCTCATGGTTCTGGAGGACAGAAATCCAAAATCAAGCTGTTGGCAAGGCTGAGCTCCTTCCAGAGGCTCCAGGCGGAGGAACTTGCTTGCCTCTTCAAGCTTCCGGTGGCTCCAGGAGTTCCTTGGCTGCTGACTGCATCTCTCCAGCCTCTGCCTACAGGGTTACATCCACATCGCCTCCTCCACTCTGTACGCCTTTGCCTCTGTGTTATCTTCCTTGGCCTCCTTTTTCTTTTTCTTTCTTTCTTTTCTTTTCTTTTTTTTTTTGAAACAGAGTCTCACTCTGTCTCCCAGGCTGGAGTGCCTTGGTGCGATCTCGGCTCACTGCAACCTCCGCCTCCCGGGTTCACGCCATTCTCCTGCCTCAGCCTCCCGAGTAGCTGGGACTACAGGCACCTGTCACCGCGGCCGGCTAATTTTTTGTATTTTTGGTAGAGATGGGGTTTCACTGTGTTAGCCAGGATGGTCTCGATCTCCTGACCTTGTGATCTGCCCGCCTCGGCCTCTCAAAGTGCTGGGATTACAGGCGCGAGCCACTGTGCCCAGCCCTTGGCCTCTTTTTTCTAAACTTTTTTGAGACAGCGTCTCACTCTGTCACCCAGGCTGGGGTGTAGTGGTGCGATAATGGCTCACTGCAGCCTGGACATCCTATGCTCAGATGCTCCTCCCACCTCAGCCTCCCGAGTAGATGGGACTACAGGCTTGCACCACCACGTCCAGCTAATTTTTTGTACTATTTTTGTAGAGATGGGGTTTTGCTATGTTGCCCAGGCTGGTCTTGAACTCCTGGGCTCAAGCGATCCACCCCACTGAGTGTGGAGATTGGGGCCAGGCATGGTGGCTTCCATCTGTAATGCCAGCACTTTGGAAGGCTGAGGTAGGAGGATCACTTGAGCCCAGGAGTTCGAGATTAGCCTGGAAAATATGGCGAAACTCCAACTTTACAAAAAATTAGCTGGGCATGGTGACATGGGCCTGTAGTCCCAGCTACTTGGGAAGCTGAGATGGGAGGATAGCTTGAGCCCAGGAGGTCGAGGCTGAAGTGAGCAGAAATCGTATCACTGGGCGACAGAGCAAGACCCTGTCTCAAAACAAACAAACAAACAACAAACAAACAAACAAAAAGTGTGTGGAGATTGGAATCTAATAAACCTGAGTGATTCAAAGCTTGGCTCTGCCACTACCTAGCTGTGTGACTTTCCTTGGACTCAGTTTTTTTTTTTAATCTGAAAAATGGGAATAACATTTGCTTAAGGAAGGGTTCTAAGGACTGAATGAGAAAATGCACAGGGCCAAGGATAAAGTAGGTGCTCAGTAAAAATGAATTATTATCAGTATCACGTTCCTGGCTTGAAGGAATAAAGATGGAAGCTGTCGTGACAAACAAAAACAGACTGGCAAGCACTGATACAGAAGGACATTAAGTGAAAACACATTTTATAGTAATAAATCTAGTGCAATTCTCAGCATTCATTCAGTTAATAAATATTTGTAGCTCCTACCTGAAGTGTTCTAGATGCTGAGACTTCAGCAGTGAACAAACCAGACTCATATCCCAGACCTCATGGGGATAGTATTCTAATAGGGTGAAACAATAAATAAGTACATACAAATAGGCCCAGCGTGGTGCCTCTCGCCTGTAATCCCAGCACTTTGAGACCCAGAGGCAGGAGCATCAGTTGAGGCCAGGAGTTCAAGACCGGTCTGGGCAACATAATGAGAATACCTCTCTACAAAAAATTTTTAAAAATAGCCAGGCATGGTGGCACACACCTGTAGCCCCAGACACTCAGAAGGCTGAGGTGGGAGGATTGCTTGAGCCCAGGATTTCGAGGTTACAGTGAGCCATGATCATGCCACTGCACTTCAGCCTGGGTGACAGAGTGAGACCCTGTCTCAAAGAAAAAAAAAAACAAAAACAGAAAGTGGTAAGTGCTGTGATGAAAATAATTTAGGATGATGGGGGAAAAAAATCTCTGTGAGATAAATTCTAAAATTAACATAAAAAAAAAAGCCAGGTGAAGTGGCTCACGCCTGTAATCCCAGCACTTTGGGAGGCCAAGGTGGGTGGATCACCTGAGGTTCGAGATCGAGACCACCCTGATCAACATGGAGACATCCCGTCTCTACTAAAAATACAAAATTAGCTGGGTGGGTTGGCCTGTAATCCCAGCTGCTCTGGAGGCTGAGGCGGGAGAATTGCTTGAACGCGGGAGGTGGAGGTTGTGGTGAGTCGGAGATCGCGCCATTGCACTCTAGCCTGGGCAATAAGAGCAAAACTCCGTCTCAAAAAAAAAAAAATAAATTAATAAAATAAAATAAAATTAACACATACACTAATGCAAGCATTTTTTCTCTGGAAAAATACAGAGATATTTAACTGGTTACTTTTTGGGGAGAGGCTGGAAGGTGGGGTTTGGGGAGAAGAATCCTTTTTTGAAAAAAATTTACCTTTCTGTAACTTTTGCTTTTTCTGACCGTGTATCCTTTTTTGAGACAGGGTGTTACTCTGTTGCCCAAGCTGGAGTACAGTGGCACCACCTCAGCTCACTGCAACCTGTGCCTCCCAGGTTCAAGCGATTCTCCTGCCTCAGCCTCCCTAGTAGCTGAGATTACGGGCGCCTGCCATCGTGCCCAGCTAATTTTTGTACTTTTAGTAGAGACGGTGGGGTTTCATCATATTGGCCAGGCTGGTCTCGAACTCCTGACTTCAGGCGATCGCCCGCGTAGGCCTCCCAAATTGCTTGGATTACAAGCTTGAGCCACTGCCCCTGGCCCGCGTGTCCCATTTTTTTTTTAAATGGCAACAAAATGTAGCTGGGTAGAGGGATTTCAGCCGTGTTTTGTTTCTCTTCCCCATTCTTTTCCAACTTTCCATTTATTTTAAACAAATGCAAAAGTGAGGCTACAGTTCTCGTTTTTATTATTTTATTCTGTGATGGCTGGAGAAGGGTCTCACCTGCCAGAGATCTGTGCAATTAAAAACACCCACAGCTGAACCGTTCAGGGGCTGGCAATTTTTTTTTTTTTTGAGATGGAGTCTCGCTCTGTTGCCCAGGCTGGCGTGCAGATGGGCGATCTCCGCTTCCTGCAGCCCTGACCTCCCGGGCTCAAGCGATAGGCCCACCTCAGTCTCCCGAGTAGCTCAGACCACAGGCGCACACCATAATATTCGGCTAATTTTTAAATTTTTTGTGGAGACCGGAGTCTCGCTATGTTGCCCAGGCTGGTCTCCAATTCCTGGGCTCAAGCGATCCTCCTGCCTTGGCTTCCCAAAGTGCTGGGATTACAGGCATGAGTCACCGCCCCCGGCCGGAGGTTGACGATTTTTGCAAAAATATGGAACATTTGGGATTTTCATTTCTTAGATTATCCTCCTTGCGCCGCTCCCTGCTCCCCCACCAAATAAAAAAAGAAAAACAAACAAAAAACAAAACAAACAAACAAAACGAAAGCCCTTTTATGACTACAAAACCCAAACGTCTCATCTGCGAGGTCACCACTTGGAAGGCACTGTCATGAGCCCTCAGACTTGCGATTCTTTAATCAGCATTCCTGAAACCTAGGTGTCCTTAGGATTTTTCATTTTTTGGTTTCTACAAACAGCTTTTCAGGGAAGCTGGCTTTGGGGATGAGGCCTAAGGGAGGCACCAGGGGCAGAAAAGAGGAGCTCCTGCCCTCGTCCTCCGTGGCGCCCCCACCCCCACCATCTCCCTGCAGCCTCGCCTCCGCCTCCGCCCCACCCGCTTAGTTTTGATCCGCGCGGAGGAGCGCGTCCCGTGGTTGCCATGGAGACCGCCGGACTGCGGAGGCCACAAACTGTGCGAAGGGGGAGGCGAGGGGCGGGGCCGCGGGAGGCCCGGGGGCTGAGCGCGGCGGCTGGGACTGAGCCAGGGAGAAAGAGGAGAAAAATCCAGCGAAGCCCAACGACCTGGCTCTGCAAGAGAAAAACAACCTGAATAAGCCGGTAATTGTGAACAGGCCGCTCGCTGAGACCTTAACGTCCCCTAAGCCCCCACATCTTTTCTTTCCCTCTGGCCCGTCTCTTTTTCCTCCGTTCCCTCTTTAAAAATTTGCCTGGTTCCTTTATGAGTTAAATAAGATCACATTTATTTATTTATTTGAGACGGAGTCTCGCTCTGTCGCCCAAGGTGGAGGGCAGTGGCGCGATCTTGGCTCACTGCAACCTCCGCCTCCCAGTTCAAGCGATTCTTCTGCCTCAGCCTCCCCAGTAGCTGGGATTACAGGCATGTGTCACCATGCCCGGCTAATTCTTATATTTTTGTTCGTTTCTTTTTTTTGTTTGTTTGTTTTTGAGACGGAGTTTCGCTCTTGTTGCCCAGGCTGGAGTGCAATGGCACGGTCTCAGCTCACTGCAACCTCTGAATCCCGGATTCAAACGATTCTCCTGCCTGAGCCTCCGGAGTAGCTGGGATTACAGGCATGCGCCACCAAGACAGGCTAGTTTTGTAGTTTTAGTAGAGGCGGGGTTTCACCATGTTGGCCAGGCTGGTCTCAAACTTCTGACCTCAGGTGATCCACCCGCTTCAGCCTCCCAAAATGCTGGGATTACAAGCGTGAGCCACCGCGCCCGGCAATTTTTGTATTTTTTAGTAGAGATGGGGTTTTGCCATGTTGACCAGGCTGGTCTCAAACTCCGGACCTCAGGTGATCCGCCCGCCTCAGCCTCCCAAAGTGCTGGATTAAAGGCGTGAGCCACGGCGCCCAGCCTGAGATGGAGAATTTTCAAAAGAGTAGAGACAGATCGGACCTAAGTTTTTAAAAGATGCCCCCAGCTTCTGGATGGGGCCTGGATTGCAAGCAGTGATGGGGAGGCGGGAAGCCCAGTGAGGGGGCTTTGTACACATCCAGGCAAGAGTGGCTGCAAGTATTGTGGCTGCTAAGTGGTTAAATGGTGCAACACATTTAGGAGAAGGGGATTAGCTGTGTCTTTAGCGTCAGCTAGTGTTTTAAATGCTAGTGCCCAAGATCTGGTTCTAATATTATATTAGATCCACCACTCAGAGCTGTGCAACTTCAGACCAGCCTCAGTTTCACCGTCTGTAAAAAGATGATTGATGGCACTGGCCTTACCATGTACCTCTGAGGGTTCCTAACAACGAGGCCTATTCAACATGTCTCTGGATGCCTGGTTCCAAAGATGTGGACCAATGCTAGTCGCATGTCCTGTAGCAGGAGGAGCCACGGACAAAACCCCTCAGACACTGGGTTAAGGAAGGATTTGGCTTTTTCGGCCGGGAGCTTCGGCAGACTCGCCTCTCAACTGGCGGGAGCTTCGGTAGACTCGCGTCTCAAGAACCGAGCTCCCGGCCGAATGCGACTAGCATTGGTTCACATCTTGATTCTTTTTTTTCTTTCTTTCTTTCTTTTTTTTTTTTTGAGACGGAGTCTTGCTCTGTCGTCCAGGCTGGAGTGCAGTGGTGCGATCGCGGCTCACTGCAACCTCCGCCTCCCGGGTTCAAGAGATTCTTCTGCCTCAGCCTCCCGAGTAGCTGGGACTACAGGCACGTACCACCACGCGCGGCTAATTTTTTTGCATTTTTAGTAGAGACAGGGTTTCACCGCGTTAGCCAGGATGGTCTTGTCTTGATCTCCTGACCTCGTGATCTGCCCGCCTCAGCCTCCCAAAGGGCTGGGATTACAGGCGTGAGCCACCGCGCCTGGCCATCTTGACTCTTTGGTCGACACAAAAGGCAGACTATTCTGGATTCAAATCCAAACTCAACCACTCCCCATGGCTGTGACCTTGAGAGTGTGGTTTTATGTCCTTGGGCCTCAGTTTCCTCAGCTGTCTAATGGGAATTGTACTCATGCTACCAGTCTCCTGTTATAGCAAGGATTTCCTGAGTTCATTCATAGAAAGCACTGGGAATGGTGCCTACTACATAGGAAGCGCCTCATAAACCGTGCCTATCCTTAGCCATCTCATTCTTTTTTCGAAGTTGCAAAATATTTCACTGTAAGATACTACCATAAAATAGAGGCAGTCTCTACTCGTGAACTTTTAGGGTTTTTTGTTGTTGTTTATTTGTAGGGGTTTTTTTGCACTTTTGTTTTTTTGAGACAGTCTCCCTCTGTTGCGCAGGCCGGAGTGCAGTGGCGCGATCTCTGCAACCTCCACCTCCCAGGTTCACGCCATTCTCCTGCCTCAGCCTCTCGCGTAGCTTGGGACTACGCACGCGCACCACCACACCCGGGGTAGAGACGAGGGTTTCACCATGTTGGGCAGGCTGGTCTCGAACTCCTGGCCTCAAGTGTTCCACCCACCTGGGCCTCCCAAAGTGCTGGCATTACAGGCATGAGCCACCGCGCCTGGCCATGAACATTTGGGTTTATTCATCCCCTCAAAAATATGTATTGAGCCCTGACCTGCCAAGCGCCACAGTGGGACTGTTGCAGTCAGGTACCCATTTCTCTACCCACGCATATAGGTGTACGGGTACCGATAGTCGCGTGAATTTAAAATGCTAATCTGTGGTGCCAGTGGCTCTCAAAAAGTAGAATCCACTAGCACACCCACCTCCCGGACTTGGCTGGAAACTTGCACATTTCGGATGGCAGGTTTGGGAACCGCTGCCTTTCAGGAAAGGTGCTGACGTGGGCCACTGCCGCTTCGCTGGGAAGCAATGGGCCCAGCTAGGCCCGGGGCGCGGCCACACCCCTGTGGGGGAGGGGAAGGAGGCCGCCCCGAAGGGAGTGGACAGCCCCCCTGTCAGTCTTCCAGAGTCTGGGAGTGTAAGATGAGACGGGGGAAGGTGGGCCTCATTCTGGCGGAGGGCGAGGAGGAACTTCCTGCCCGCGCGCTCCACGGTGCAGAGCTCTAAGCGCGCGGGCTGGCAGGCTGCGGCGCGTCAAGGTCAGCCTGGAGCTGGGTGGCGGCCTGCCTGGGGGCGGGGGACCCTACTGGAGGCCCGGGCTGGGGCCTCCCAGCGCCTCGGCCATATTGAATAGCTTCGACTGGACCGTCTTTGTCTGCGAAGTCCTGTCCCAAGTTCCAGCCGCGTCCCTGGGGCCTGGGGCAGGAAGAGTCGCTGGCAGCCCGCGCGCCCCAACTTGGAGCTGGGACACCACGTTTCCAGCTTGGAGTGGGCCTTGAGCCTTGGGACTGACCTCGCCCCCGGCTCACGTAGGCATCCTGGAAATTGATTCCCCCAAGTCCTTGGTGGGGGAGCCGGACTTGGTCAAGACTGTACTTGTTGCAGGCGAAGAGATTGGAGGCGTTTGGCTCGTCCCTGGCTAGGGAGGTGAGACTCTCCGGTCAGCGTTGCTGGAACTCCCCCCATCCAGTCCCTCCCTCAAGACTAAGGGCTACAGTAGTTTGTTGGGGCTCATTGCCCCCTCACCCCAGATATCACCCTGGAGATCTTAAAGACTCTCGAGAAAAGCCACGTGGGGGGCTGGTTCCCCTGGGGCTTCCTGCCGTCCCCCGACTGCCTCATTCTTTGGAGCGTCCCCGATGTCTGCAAAGATGTGGATTTGGACGTCCTCGTGGAAGCCCTAAAGCCCGTGGGGACATTTAAGAAGATCGGCAAGGTGTTCCGCAAGGAGGAGGACTCCACGGTGGGGATGCTGCAGATCGGGGAGGACGTCGACTATTTGCTCATCCCCCGGGAGGTCAGGCTGGCTGGGGGCGTCTGGAGAGTCATCTCTAAGCCCGCCACCAAGGAAGCAGAATTTCGGGAGCGGCTGACCCAGTTCCTGGAAGAAGAGGGCCGCACCCTGGAGGACGTGGCCCGCATCATGGAGAAGAGCACCCCGCACCCGCCCCAGCCCCCCAAAAAGCCCAAGGAGCCCCGAGTGAGGAGGAGAGTGCAGCAGATGGTGACTCCTCCGCCCCGGCTGGTCGTGGGCACGTACGACAGCAGCAACGCCAGCGACAGCGAGTTCAGCGACTTCGAGACCTCCAGAGACAAGAGCCGCCAGGGCCCGCGGCGGGGCAAGAAGGTGCGCAAAATGCCCGTCAGCTACCTGGGCAGCAAGTTCCTGGGAAGCGACCTGGAGAGTGAGGATGATGAGGAACTGGTCGAGGCCTTCCTCCGGCGACAGGAGAAGCAGCCCAGCGCGCCGCCTGCCCGCCGCCGCGTCAACCTGCCAGTGCCCATGTTTGAGGACAACCTGGGGCCTCAGCTGTCCAAAGCGGACAGGTGGCGGGAGTATGTCAGCCAGGTGTCCTGGGGGAAGCTGAAGCGGAGGGTGAAGGGTTGGGCGCCGAGGGCGGGCCCCGGGGTGGGCGAGGCCCGGCTGGCCTCCACCGCAGTGGAGAGCGCAGGGGTATCATCGGCGCCAGAGGGCACCAGCCCGGGGGATCGCTTGGGAAACGCGGGAGATGTTTGTGTGCCCCAGGCTTCCCCTAGGCGATGGAGGCCCAAGATCAACTGGGCCTCCTTTCGGCGCCGCAGGAAGGAGCAGACAGCACCCACAGGTCAGGGGGCAGACATCGAGGCTGATCAGGGGGGAGAGGCTGCAGATAGTCAAAGGGAAGAGGCCATAGCTGACCAGCGGGAAGGGGCTGCAGGTAATCAGAGGGCAGGGGCCCCAGCTGACCAGGGGGCAGAGGCTGCAGATAATCAGAGGGAAGAGGCTGCAGATAATCAGAGGGCAGGGGCCCCAGCTGAGGAGGGGGCAGAGGCTGCAGATAACCAGAGGGAAGAGGCTGCAGATAATCAGAGGGCAGAGGCCCCAGCTGACCAGAGGTCACAGGGCACAGATAACCACAGGGAAGAGGCTGCAGATAATCAGAGGGCGGAGGCCCCAGCTGACCAGGGGTCAGAGGTTACAGATAATCAAAGGGAAGAGGCCGTACATGACCAGAGGGAAAGGGCCCCAGCTGTCCAGGGTGCAGATAATCAGAGGGCACAGGCCCGGGCTGGCCAGAGGGCAGAGGCTGCACATAATCAGAGGGCAGGGGCCCCAGGTATCCAGGAAGCTGAAGTCTCAGCTGCCCAAGGGACCACAGGAACAGCTCCAGGAGCCAGGGCCCGGAAACAGGTCAAGACAGTGAGGTTCCAGACCCCTGGACGCTTTTCGTGGTTTTGCAAGCGCCGGAGAGCCTTCTGGCACACTCCCCGGTTGCCAACCCTGCCCAAGAGAGTCCCCAGGGCAGGAGAGGCCAGGAACCTCAGGGTGCTGAGGGCCGAGGCCAGAGCAGAAGCTGAGCAGGGAGAGCAAGAAGACCAGCTGTGAGGTGAGGGCTAGAGACAGCCCACGGGCCCTCCCTCCAAGTGTGGGAGGGAGAGATGCTCTGCCTCTGAACTTCAAAGTGGAGGTGGAGTGCTGGCCACGTCTCCACCTAACAACCCTCTTTATTCTCTTGTTAAAGTTTTGTTCATGCTTTGATTTTTTTTTAAATTTTTTAGAGACAGGGTCTCACTCTGTTGCCCAGGCTGGAGTGCAGTGGCATGATCATAACTCACTGCAGCCTCAAACTTCTGGCCTCAAGTGATCCTCCTGCCTCGGCCTCCCAAAATGCTGGGATTACAGATGTGAGCCACCACACACACCATCTGATTAAAAAAAAAAAATACTGATTCCTTGTAGCAACCCAAAAAATGTAAAGAAAGAATTCGACACAATGGGGTTGCGTCACCTATAGTTTTCATTTCCTCAAATGCAACTCAAGGTGCTCAGCTTGATAAAGGGAGAGAGGGAGGGCAGGGGAGAAACTGACTCCTTTTTCCATCTCTTTTTTGCCTGCACACTTAATGTGGACTGCCTCCTTGGACTTAAAAAGAGTTGAGCCAACATGCAAATCAAAAAACATTTATGAACTGATTTCTTAGCTTTGGACTTGACAACTGACGAATGCTCTGGGGGTGACCTGGCCCTTGCTGTCCGTTCCACTCCCATCCTTGATGATGGAGACACCTGTGTTTATGTTGTCACTTCGCTTGCCATCCTCATGCCCCGGGCTCTGCTGGTTTGGAGGGGACAGGGCCCTTGGTTTGCACACCTCACCCGATCTTGGTTATAAGGTACAGTAAAAGCGTCTGAAAAATGCATTCAAAACACAGATTCTGGGGCCCTCGGCACCAGAGGTGTGGATTTGCTAGCGGTGCCTGTGTGGCTCTGAATTCTGTTTGCATCAAGCTCCACGGACATCTGGGCAACTCGGCCACTGGACACATTGAAAAATCATTGCAATAGGAAAAGGCCCAAAAGAGGGGCTGTGGTTGGCCGGGCATGGTGGCTCACGCCTGTAATCCCAGCACTTAGGGAGGCCAAGGCGGGTGGATCACGAGGTCAAGAGATCGAGACCATCCTGGCCAACGTGGTGAAACCCCGTCTCTAATAAAAATACAAAAATTAGACTGGCCTTGTGGCGCACGCCTGTAGTCCCAGCTACTCTGGAGGCTGAGGCAAGAGAATCTCTTGAACCCAGGAGGTGGAGGTTGCAGTGAGCCGAGATTGTGCCATTGCACTCCAGCCTAGTGACACAGTGAGACTCTGTCTCAAAAAAAAAAAAAAAAAAAAAAAAAAAAAGAGGCTGTGTGTATTGTGCATTAATTGCTGCTGCATTTTTTTTTTTCTTTTTGGAGATGGAATCTCACTCTCTGTCTCCCAGGCTGGAGTGCAGTGGCACGATCTCGGCTCACTGCCATCTCCGCCTCCCTGGTTCAAGCGATTCTCCTCCCTCAGCCTCCCGAATAGCTGGGACTACAGGTGTGTGCCACCACACCTGGCTAATTTTTGTATTTTTAGTAGAGATGAGGTTTCACCATATTGGCCAAGCTTGTCTTGAACTCCTAACCTCAGCTGATCTGCCCACCTCTGCTTCCCAAAGTGCTGGGATTACAGGCATGAGCCACTGCACGCGGCCAACTGCTTCCTATAATTGGGAAGAAACTGGGTTGCTAAAGCCCTGTGGAGGTTAGGAGGAAGCTGGGGGCCTGTATTGCCTTGTGTCCCCACAACCCCTAGCAGTGAAAAACAGCAAATGACCACACTCTAGCCTTGCTGAGGGCAGGAGAAAAGAGAGTTCGTGGAGGTCCAAAGGCCAGTCTGTCTTCCTAACTGGTTGCAGGCCTGGCCTAAGTTTCTTATTTTTTTCCTCAGGAAAGTAAAGAATTCTATCCCACCACCCTCCTTTTGTTTTTCTCTCTTCCACCCTCCTCCCTCCTTCCCTCCCTCCCCTCCCCTTCCCTCCCTCCCCTCCCCTCTCCCTCTCTCCCTCCACTCCCCTCCCCTCTCCCTCTCTCCCTCCACTCCCCTCCCCTCTCCCTCTCTCCCTCCCCTCTCCCTCTCCCTCCCCTTCCCCCTCCCACCCTCCCTCCTTTCCTTCCTTCCTTCCTTCCCTCTTTCTTTCTTCCTCCCTCCCTCCCTCTCTCTTTCTCTCTCTCTCTTGCTTTCTTTCCTTTCTCTTTCTCTCTTTTCTTTACTCTTTTCTTTCTTTCAAGACAGGGTCTGGCTCTGTCACCCAGGCTGGAGTGTGGTGTTGCAATCACGGCTCACTTGCACTCTTGGGATCAAGCGATCCTCTGGCCTCAGCTCTGGGACTATGGGAGTGAGCCACCGCGCCCCACCCCTGCTCTTTTCTGAGTGGAGTGGTTACTGCTGGTGCTGCTTGCTGCCTGGCGCGCCGCATGGCCTTGCTAGAGCCGCTTTGTGCATGCTGGTGGATACTTGGCCGTGTAGTCCACGGCTCACAGCAAGAACGAGGCCCTGGGAGGTTTGGAAGAAATACAAGCTGTGGACCTCACCTGGAGGGGAGGCTTTGCAGGTGCGCGGAGGAAGACAGGCTGGGTGGGAAGGTTCTGGTTGGTGGGGAGGGAGGCTGTCCTTTGTCGCTGCCCACTTCGGAGGGCAGAGGTCTCGTGACCATGGGGACCTGGCCTGCCTGAGGAGCTGGAAGGTAAAAAGGAACAGCAGAGACAGATGTTTGGAGGGATTCGGAGACTGGAGGAGCCGACGGCATGAATGCAGGAAATGAAGGCTCAGAGCGAGTCTCTCTGCTCCTCCTCCCTGCAGCGCCCAGAGCTATGGGGGGGGGGGGGTCTCGGGGGAACATCAGGGGCCCATGAGAAGGAAAGTGGTGTGGACCCCAAACAAGTGGCAAGATGGAGTTAAACGAGGAGCTGCGTGGATTTCACAGACATCAGGCAACACTGGGTCAGTCTCTCTCACTGCCATACACGTGTGGACACACACATAGACACATGCACACTCGGATCCAGGCACGCAGGCACAGCACATACCACAGACACATGTACACTCAGGCACCACTGGCAGACCCACATTCACCAACAGAAATTATGATTAATCTGCCCATACATAGACACAGACACGGACACACACATGTAGTACACACACGTGTACTCACAGAGGCGCACAGACCCACTGTGCTCCGGGAAGCCAACCCCCACACATTCACAGACCCATTCATACAAACACTGACATACTTGGAAATGTCAACGTGTTCACCCACTCAGGACCCGTCACACACTGCTAGATGCCGTTGGACACTTTGATTCCCTCAGCCAGATGGACACACTCACATGTTATCACACAAACTCAAAAGCCAGGCAGTCACAGACACACAGATGCTTGCAGAAAGTTTCACAGCCGGGCGCGGTGGCTCACGCCTGTAATCCCAGCATTTTGGGAGGCCGAGGTGGGTGGATCACCTGAAGTCAGGAGTTCGAGACCAGCCTGGCCAACATGGTGAAACCCCATCTGTACTAAAAATACAAAAAATTAGCTGGGCATGATGGTGCATGCCTGTAATCCCAGCTACTCGGGAGGCTGAGGTAGGAGGAGGATCAGTTGAACCCAGGAGGTTGCGGCGAGCTGAGATTGCGCTATTGTACTCCAACCTGGGCAACAAGCAAAACCCTGTCTCAAAAAAGAAAAAAGAAACAGTTTCACACCGTCTCCCTGGGTTTTTTTGTTTGTTTTTGTTTTTGTTTTTAGGCAGAGTCTCTGTCAACCAGGCTGGAGTGCAGTGGTGGGATCTCAACTCACTGCAACCTCTGCCTCCCGGGTTCAAGCAATTCTCGTGCCTCAGCCCCCCCAGTCTTACTTGTATACCCGGCCATCCCTGGGTCTTATTTGCATAGCCTTTCTGGGTGGCCCTGAGGCTTTGGGCAAGTCTATCCCCCACTGAGTCAAAATTTGTTGCCCCCCGAGTGAACACAACCTTTTCTGAACTGTTCCCAGCATCCCCACCGTGAGCATTCAGGGAGGCCCCACAGGTAGGGGAGCCCTCTAGTAACTGAGACAGAACAGAGTGTTCGCTATTATATTTCAGCGCAGGGGCCTTCAAACAGCACCTGCAGGGCCAGTCAGTCCCTTGATGCCTCTGGGGTGTGGTTTCAAATGCACGAAGGTTTCCAAGAGGAAGCCCAGGAAACCAGAGATTGGTCTCTGAATCAGCCTTCATCTGGACCAGTCCAGCTGCTCCTCATTGTTTGTTTGTTTGTTTGTTTGTTTGTTTTTGTGACAGAGTCTCGCTCTGTCACCCAGGCTGGAGTGCAGTGGCGCGATCTCGGCTTACTGCAAACTCCGCCTGCTGGGTTCACGCCATTCTCCTGCCTCAGCCTCCCTAGTAGCTGGGACTACAGGCACCCTCCATCACGCCCAGCTAATTTTTTTGTATTTTTAGTAGAGATGGGGTTTCACTGTGTTAGGATGGTCTTGATCTCCTGACCTCGTGATCCGCCCGCCTCGGCCTCCCAAAGTACTGGGATTACAGGCGTGAGCCACCGTGCCCGACCCAGCTGCTCCTCATTTTTACCAAAGAGGAAAATAAGAGGCCACAGGTGATTCCAGAACACAGACATGGAAGGGAGGGATGCCACCCTGAGACATGGGGGTGGAGGGGCTGCGTACAGTGTCTCACGCCTATAATTCCAACACTTTGGGGGGTCGAGATGGGCAGATCACTTGAGGTCAGGAGTTTGAGACCAGCCTGGCCAACATGGCAAAAATCCGTCTCTACTGTAAATACAAAAATTAGCTGGACGTGATGGCAGGTGCTTGTAATCCCAGCTACTTGGGAGGCTGAGGCATGAGAATTGTTTGAACCCAGGAGGCGGAGGTTGCAGTGAGCCGAGATTGCACCACTGCACTCCAGCCTAGGTGACAGAGCGAGATTCTGTCAAAAAAAAAAAAAAAAAAAAAGACATGGGGGTGGAAGGATTTCTGATTTGTGGGTCTCCCTCCCAGGCCCACAGGGTGTGACAGGAGAGCAATTTGGAGCTCAGCTGCCTGGCTCCCCCAGCACCGCTCCTTGCAAGCTGTGTGACCTTGGGCTGGTAACTTGACCTCTCTGTGACTCCATGTCCTCATGGGAAAGGGGGATCATAGCAGAGCTTTCCTTCCAGCATTGCTCAGGGTACTGAAAAGGGTGTGATGTGTTCGTGCTCCAATCAACCCTAGGAGACGTCATCTCGTCTTATTCCTGCTAGGTATCAGCAGCGGCCAGTTTTTCACTGCACACATCGGCCTTGACAGAGACCCCAGGGCAGCAGTCCCCGCCCCGGCTGTCCCTGAAATGACCCGGAGCCCATGTCCAGCATGCACACAGGACCCACTCTGGGAATCTCGGGATGGTGCCAGGCCTCCGCTGGGGCAGCAACAGTCCCTAAAGCTTCCCAGGTGATTCCCAGCAATGGGCAGCCGGGGCTGACAACTGTGACCCTAGGGGTCCTAGAGACCATCAGACCCCACATCTGGGGTCTCAAACTGTGATGCCGGACCGTTTCTCCAACTGGTCCCGTATCGCAGGTGCCTGGGGGGTCCTTCGAAAATTCAGCTTGCCGGGCTGCCTGCCCAAAGGGGTTCTGTAGGTCTCGGGTGGGCCCGAACATGTGTATCTAGTTCCCAGGAGACGTTGGCGCAGCTGGTCCAGAACCTGACTTTGAGAACCGCTGTCCTGCCGCTTTCTGCAGTCTAGCGTTCAAAGGCCAGGGAAAACTTAGGCGCTTCGAGTGCTCGGGAAACACCATCGCCGGCACGATGTAATATTTATTTGCTTATTTTATTTTATTTATGTATATTTATTTTTGTATAGACGAGAGGCGGGGAGCGGGGGTTGGGGGTGGGTCACTATTTTGCTCGGGCCGGTCTTGAACTCCTGGCGTCAAGCTATCTCTTCCCGCACGATTTTAACCAGCGGCCCTGGAGCCTCTTGGTGGTTAAATGGGGCGCTGCAGCTCTTGCGCGTTGACACGCTCTCTGCATATCTACGTGTAGGAGATGTGGCCTCCTATGCAAGGGGCGAAGACTGCGCTGGGGAAGGTGGGGCCTCAGTGGAAACCGGGTCTGGGGAACCCGTTGGCGGTAGGGACTGTCTTTTTCTGTCCCCGGAACCCAGACTTCTCCCTCCCTCCAGCACCTGGTCATGTCCCTAGGAGTTTTCAGGCGCCCCTGTGTCTGAGCTGGCTCCGGGATCGGGGTGGGGGCGGGTTCAGGATCGAGGTCCCTGCCTGGGCCCGCTATCTGAAAGTCTGCACGGCCAAACCTCCCCCACGCCCCCAGCGAACTCTGCAAGCTCATTTCCAGGCTGCCTCACTTTTAAACTCCAGGCACGTGGAAATCCAACCCGACAGCGACCACCATGGAGGCAGGTGGCCTTCTTTGGCCCCACTGCCTCCCCTACGCCAGCACCGAGCCTGGCACGGGAGGGGCAGTAGTCACACATTAACAGCCCCATATTATCACACTCTGGCTTGGGGCTTTTAACCTGGCTCTTCCTGCGCTTCCGGTCATGCGCTTTCCCCAGGCATCTGCCGGCCGCAACCCCTCACCTCCTTGGGGTCTTTGGCACCTTCTCAGTGAGGGCTTTCCATGCCGCCCCGTTTACGATGACTGCAAACCCTCTCCTGCCCCGGCCCTCCTGGGGCCCTGCCTGCCAGACTTTTGTCCCCAGCAGGCCTCACTTCCTAATGCGTGGATCTCCTCCTCATGTAGGAGGCGTACCCCCTGCCTCCCCACCGCATGCTCGCTCCAGGAGGTTCCTGTTTCTTGCACCTAGAACAGGGCCTGGGACGCCCCGGGACCCTTCCTTGCGAGACCTCAGGGCCTTTACGCGGCCACTCCTTCGATCTCAAACGCTCCTCCCCACTTCCTGGGCGCACTCCCTCCAGGGGGCGTATCTTTCCAGCACATTCCCAACTAGGCGCATCTGGGGTCAGCCTTCCTCAGTCCGGGTGGTTTCTTCCGACCGACCGTCAGCACTCGACAAATAACTGAGCAGCTGCTGGGGCCGGGAACACCGCGGGGACAGGTCAGAGCTGACCCTGAGCGACTCTACTGCCTCTCCCCGCCACGCCCACCTGCCCCCTGCGGGGTAGGACCCCGCAACCACCACTCCAGAGTCCTCTGCAGGGACTGCTGTTGCTACGGGAGAGGAAGCCAGAGGAAGGGGACGCCATCTGGGGGATGCTTGGGCCGTGGTGGCTGCAGAAGCAGCAGCAGCAGTGACGGCCACCGCCGCCAACCAGGGGCTTCTCCCTGGCCAGCGCAGCCACCTGGGCTCCGGGCAGCAGCATTTTCCACGTGGCTCCTCCAATCCTCACGAGACAGCAGCTCCCTGCATTGCTAATGGTGAGCCCACCTGACTTGCTACTCTCAGCCCTTCCTGATTGCAATGTCTGTGTCACCAATTTCCTCTATTAACCTTCCTGACAAGTCGGCGTGCTATTGAGAAACAAATGAGTGAACCAGGGCAATCAGAGCTCCGAAAAATAAAGCGAGCAAGTGCAGAAAAGGTCACTTTTTTTTTTTCTTTTTGAGACGGGGTCTTGCTCTGTCACCCAGGCTGGAGTGCAGTGGCACGATCTCAGCTCACTGCCCCTCTGCCTCCCGGGTTCAAGCGATTCTCGTGCCTCAGCCTCCCGAGTAGCTGGGATTACAGGCGCGCGCCACCACGCGTGGCTAATTTTTGTGTATTTTAATAGAGACGGAGTTTCTCCATGTTGGCCAGGCTGGTCTCGAACTCCTGACCTTAAGTGATCCACCCGCCTCGGCCTCCCAAAGTGCTGGGATTACAGGCGTGAGCCACCGAGCCAGGCTAGGGTTTGTTTGTTTGTTTGTTTTTGAGATGCAGTTTCGCTCTTGTTGCCCAGGCTGGAGTGCAGTGGCGCGATCTCCGCTCACCGCGATCTCCGCTCACCGCAATCTCCACCTTCTGGATTCAAGCGATTCTCCTGCTTCAGCCTTCTGAGTAGCTGGGATTACAGGCATGCACCACCACGCCCGGCTAATTTTATATTTTTAGTAGAGACGGGGTTTCTCCGTGTTGTTCAGGCTGGTCTTGAACTTCCAACCTCAGGTGATCCGCCCGCTTCAGCCTCCCAAAGTGCTGGGATTACAGGGGTGAGCCACTGCGCCCAGCCTGGGTTACATTTTTATAGGTGGTCAGGGAAGCCCTCCCTGGGAATGTGACATTTGAAGAAAGAGAACAGCAGTGCAAAGGCCCTGAGGCAGGAATATGCCTGGTGTGACCCGGAGACCTGGGTGGCTGAAGCCACGGGGGGAGACACAGAGAGGGAGGTGGGAAACAAGGCAGGGGGTGAGATGGAGGCGGAGTGTGTAGACCTGAGCTGTGCAAGAGAACTGCGTGCGATGGTGGCAGTGTCCTGCACCAGCACTGCGTGATGTGGTAGCCACTGGCCACGTGTGGCTCTTGAGCACTTGCGATGTAGCTACTGTGACTTCAGGATGTGGATGTTTAATTGTATTTAGTTACATTGAAATTAAAATATCCCCATGTCAGTAGTGGCTGCTGCACTGAACAGGTCCAGACCCTGTTATAAGGACTCTGGCTTTGACCTTTAGTGACATAGGAAGCCATAAGAGGATTTGAAGAGAAGAGGAGTCATTCGATGGGACTCAACTTCTTGGTCAAACCAAGTCATAAGGCTAGTCTGGATTCAAGCGGAAGGGAAATAGACTTCACCTCTTGACGGGGGGAGGTACCAGGGGCATACGGGGAAGGGAAGAATTGACAGCGGCTGTTTTTTGGAGACAATGAGCCACGTTGCGCCCCCTGGCGGCAGCTGGGAAAAGAGGTCCGGAGTCTAAGTTTGACTCGGGAATGGACACAACTTTTTCTTTCTTCTTTTCTTTTCTCTTTTCTTTTCCTTTGCTTTTATTTTCTTTTTTCTTATTCCTTCATTTCCTTCCTTTCCCTTCCTTCCTTCCTTCCTCCCTCCCTCCCTTCCTTCCTTCCTTCCTCCCTTCCTCCCTTCCTTTCTTGACGGAGTCTCGCTCTGTCGCCCAGGCTGGAGTGCAGTGGCACAATCTCAGCTCACTGCAACCTCCGCCTTCTGGTTTCAAGTGATTCTCCTACCTCAGCCTCCTGAGTAGCTGGGATTACAGGCTCCCGCCACCTCACCCAGCTAATTTTTTGTATTTTTAGTAGAGACGAGGTTTCACCATGTTGGCCAGGCTGGTCTCGAACTCCTGACCTCGTGATCTGCGTGCCTCGGCCTCCCAAAGTGCTGCGATTACAGGCGTGAGCCAACTTATTAGTATCTCTGTCCTCGGGATCCCACTTCAGAATCGCCCAGGACTCAGATGTGGAATGGACACTTTAGTGGCCTGCAGATGGCAGCAGGGGGGGTTCACTATTTGTAACACAAAAAGGGATTTAAATAGTGCCTGCAGGGTCCAGTCTCCCAATTTAAACTTTGGCATTTGTGGTTTCAAACTCACAGAATCTGAACGGTTGCCCCAAAAGACCGATGTCTTGATTCCAAATCAGCCTCTATCTGACAGGCCCAGCTGCCACCCGCTGCCACAAAAAAACAAGTTCAGGGGAACAGTTTGGTTTTTTGTTTGTTTGTTTTTGAGAAGGAGTCTCGCTTTGTCACCCAGGCTGGAGGGCAGTGAAGCGATCTCGGTTCACTGCAACCTTTGCCTCCCGGGCTCAAGCGATTCTTCTGCCCTCGGCCTCCCTAATGGCTGGGATTACAGGCTCCTGCCACCACACCTGGCTAATTTTTGTATTTTTAGTAGAGACGGGGTTTCACCATGTTGGCCTGGCTGGTCTTGAACTCCTGATCTCAAGTGATCCACCTGCCTTGGCCTCCCAAAGTGCTGGGATTACAGGGGTGAGCCACCGCCCCCAGCCTCACTCTTTACTACGGGCAGATTCGTCATAGCCTTGGGGGTTGAACTCTGTAATTCTCACAGCAGCCCAGGGATGCAGCTTCTATTATTATCATCCCCATTATATAGATGAGGAACCTGTGGCTTAAGGAATTGAGGGACCTCTCCAGGGTCACAAGGCATGGTGGAGACAGAGGCAGGGGCCTTAGCCAGGGCAGGACACAGAGGCAGAGGCCTCAAATGGCAGGATGAAGAAATGGAATGCCTTCCTATGAGAAGGAGGGAAGTAATGGAAGGGAAGGGAGAATAAGGGCCTATTTATCAATGAGGATAGGTCAGGCTTTACGTTTGCATCCAAGCTTCAGGGGAACCTTGAAGTCTTGGAGTTCTTTTTTCTTTTTTTTTTTTTTTTTTTGAGACGGAGTCTCGCTCTGTCACCAGGTTGGAGTGCAGTGGTGCAATCTCAGCTCACTGCAACCTCCAGCTCCCTGGTTCCAGTGATTCTCTTGCCTCAGCCTCCGAGTAGCTGAGATTACAGGCACGTGTCACCATGCCCGGCTAATTTTTGTATTTTTAGTAGAGACGGGGTTTCACCATATTGGCCAGGGTGGTCTTGATCTCCTGACCTCGTGATCCACCCACCTCGGCCTCCCAAAGTGCTGGGATTACAGGCGTGAGCCACTGCGCCTGGCTGGACGTTTTTACTTTAAGAAGTCCCTGAAGGATGCAGACTAGGGGGCTATTAGAAAGAACAGTTGCCCAGGCGCAGTGGCTCATGCCTATAATTCCAGCACTTTGGGAGGCTGAGGCAGGAGGATGGCTTGAGCTCAGGAGTGAGAAAAGACTGGGCAACATGGTGAAACCCTGTCTCTACAAAAAATTAGTCGGGCGTGGTGGCATGTGTTCCCAGCTATTCAGGAGGCTGAGGTGGGAGGAGATAGCTTGAGCCCAGGAGATGGAGGCTGCAGTTAGCTGAGATCGTGCTACTGCACTCCAACCCGAGTGACAGAGCAAGACCCTGTCTCAAAAAAAAAAAAAAAAAAAAAAAAGAAAAAAGAAAAAAAAGAAGGAAGGCAAGAGAAAGAAAGAAAGATCCTTACAGGCCTGCCTAGAAAAAAATGTCCAGATAATAATAAGGAAAAAAATGATAGAAATACATATGTAGAATGAGTCCATTTTGGTTAAATAAATAAATTTATAAAACTAACATTTATCGCCTGCTAAGACATGCCAGGGATTGTCTGAATGTTTTTGTTCGTTTGTTTTTGAGAGGGAGTCTCGCTCTGTCGCCCAGGCTGGAGTGCAGTGGCACGATCTCGGCTCACTGCAAGCTCCGCCTCCCGGGTTCACGCCATTCTCCTGCCTCAGCCTCCCGAGTAGCTGGGACTACAGGCGCCCGCCACCACGCCCGGCCTGTCTGAATGTTTTCTATGGGCTTTGTCACTAATCCCACAACTGTTAACTATTCCCGTTTTACAGGCGCAGAGGTCGCACAATGCCCAAGGATGGCAAAGTGAGGTGGCAAACCTAGGTCTTCTGACTCCAGAGCCCAGGCTCTCAACCCCTGTGCCCTGGTGCAGGTGGCTCTGGACTTGCTTGGTGCACCAGACCTTAGTAATTCAGTCATTTTTTCCATAGCGCCCCCAAAGAAATACCTAACAGT
The DNA here is from genome assembly GCF_000001405.40 of Homo sapiens. NCBI lineage: Eukaryota > Metazoa > Chordata > Mammalia > Primates > Hominidae > Homo > Homo sapiens. The sequence continues at coordinate 46,399,663 of NC_000019.10, read as the reverse complement.
TCCATTCTCATCTGGTGAGGTCTAAACAACCTAAGCTCTTATGTCCTAAGAAGTTAGTAGCCATTTGAAAATATGTAGAGCTAAGGAGTTTGAGATCAGCCTGGGCAACATAGCGAGACCTTGTCTTTATTAACATAAAAAATGAAAATATATAGACACATAAATTGAAAGAAAACAATTTTTTTTTTACTTCATTCTTAACCGTATTTCCTTACTAAGGGGAACGTGTGTGCTTGTTAGGCACTGCACCAGTTCTCAAAACCCTGGGAACAGACTGAACACCGCCACCCTCAGTTCCTGGTTGGCATTGATTTTCTGGTGGGACTTGCCTTTTATCCCTGCAACCAATGAAAATGCAGGTTGGGGCCAGGCGCGGTGGCGCACGCCTGTAATCCCAGCTACTCGGGAGGGTGAGGCAGGAGAATTGCTTGAACCCGGGAGGCGGAGGTTGCAGTGAGCCGAGATCCCGCCACTGCACTCCAGCCTGGGCGACAGAGTGAGACTCTGTCTGGGGAAAAAAAAAAAACAAAAAAAAAAAACCACAGACAGCATATGTCCACTCCTGTGAACCATTCGATTTGGAATCATTTGGCACCTTCATCAATAGGGTGTTGGGGTTGGGCACTATGGGACTTTTTTTAAATTATACTTTAAGTTTTAGGGTACATGTGCACAACGTGCAGGTTTGTTACATATGTATACGGGACATTTTTAAATGTTTTATTTATGGGTGTAGTAAAGATCCCATGGAGATCGAGATCTTGTACAAATATCCATCCTCATCTGTACATTTTTTAAAACAGGATAGGAACATTACAAGAAATAGCCCGTTTCATTAAATCTTCTGTTGTAGGAGTTTGCACATGTATGGCTTTTTGTAAAGCGGGTACTGAGACAACTTCAACAGTGGTTTTGAAAGATTAATCTGAATTTTCATAGGTTCAGCATTTTTTATTTTGCCCACATCTGTGGAAGAAGAGGCCCATACAGTGTCAGGGATCTCAGAGAGATCCATAAAAATCTATGTATGTATGTATGTATGTATGTATGTATGTATCTATCTATCTATCTATCTATCTATCTATCTATCTATTTTTTTTTTTTTGAGACAGTATTTTGGCTGTTGCCCAGGCTGGAATGCAGTGATGCGATCTCAGCTCACTGCAACCTCCGCCTCCTGGGTTCAAGAGATTCTCCTGCCTCAGCCTCTGGAGTAGCCGGGATTACAGGCTCCCACCACCATGCCCGGCTAATTTTTGTATTTTTAGTGGAGATGGGGTTTCGCCATATTGGCCAGGCTGGTCTTGAACTCCTGACCTCAAGTGATCCGCCCTGCCTTGGCATCCCAAAGTGCTGGGATTACAGGCATGAGCCACTGTGCCTGGCTGACACTGGGAATTTGAGATGGAGTCTCGGTGTATTGCCAGGCTGGAGTGCAGTGCAGAGGCACGATCTCGGCTTACTGCAATCTCCACCTCCTGGGTTCAAGAGATTCTCCTGCCTCAGCCTCTGGAATAGCTGGGATTACAGGTTCCTGCCACCATGCCCGGCTAATTTTTGTATTCTTAGTAGAGATGGGGTTTCGCCATATTGGCCAGGCTGGTCTTGAACTCCTGACCTCAAGTGATCCGCCCTGCCTTGGCCTCCCAAAATGCTGGGATTACAGGTGTGAGCCACCGCGCCCGGCCATAGTTCTTAAACATATAAGCAGGTAGAGTTCTAGATGGAGAATACTGGGATGTTCTGAATGCACCCTGGCCTTCGTTTCCTCTGAGACTCTGCCAAATAAGCTATGGGGTGTCTAGCCAGGGGGTTACCATTCTAGGATGCAGGGAAACACAGATCCTCCTCCATTATTGAACAGGAAAGAATGACTTACCCGAGCTCAAACTCAGACAGACAAATAGAAACAAACAGAATCGGCCCCTTTTGTGTGACAAACGGAGAGCTCAAAGGTGAAGAGAAGGAAGCTCAGATCCGAAAAAGACTTATCCCAAACCCCTTGGTTAGCAAGAAAGTAGTGAACACAGCTGGCTGTGTGGGTGCCCATGCCTGGTTACTCCCTGCAGTCAGGGCTCCTTGGGATCTTCTTTGAATCTCACTTCTAATTCCCCCAAAATGTCCAGAATAAAATAGGCTCCAATTAGGGGGGGGAAAAAAAAGTTTATTGTCATGCAAAAAGCACGAATTGTCATCCAGGAGACTTCAATCTGAGCGGTAAGCAACTCAGAGGCAGGCTGGTGTAGGATGGCTTAGAAAGCAAAAACCAGCCGGGCACAGTGGCTCACGCCTGTAATCCCAGCACTCTGGGAGGCCGAGCCAGGCAGATCACGAGGTCAGGAGTTCGAGACTAGCCTAGCCAACATAGTGAAACCCCATCTCTACTAAAAATACACAAAATTAGCCAGGCATGGTGGCGGGTGCCTGTAGTCCCAGCTACTCAGGAGGCTGAGGCAGGAGAATCGCTTGAACCCAGGAGGCAGAGGTTGCAGTGAATGGAGATTGCACCACTGCACTCCAGCCTGGGCGACAAGAGTGAGACTCCATCTCAAAAAAAAAAAAAAAAAAAAAAAAAAGGCCAGGCGCGGTGGCTCACGCCTGTAATCCTAGCACTTTGGGAGACCAAGGCGGGTGGATCATGAGGTCAGGAGATCGAGACCATCCTGGGTAACACAGTGAAACCTTGTCTCTACTAAAAATACAAAACATTAGTCAGGCGTGGTGGCGGGCACCTGTAGTCCCAGCTACTCGGGAGGCTGAGGCAGGAGAATGGCGTGAACCCGGGAGGCGGAGCTTGCAGTGAGCCAAGATCGCACCACTGCACTCCAACCTGGGCGACAGAGCGAGACTCCATCTCAAAAAAAAAAAAAAAAAAAAAAAAGCAAAAACCAGGAGGTGGCTTCACCTTCACGATGACCGACTATGATGGTGGGGGCTTCCATATGACAAGGGATCGGTTAAAAGTGATTGTCTTACATCCTTTTGGAAGGCGATTTCAGCTTTGTTTATGATTCTCAGCAGCATTTATTTACAGGGAATAAGCTAAGTTTCACTCACATTCAGAAGTCAAACTAGATTAAGTTGTGTTTACATGGCCTAACTGCTTTTGTCTGCTTTGGGGAATTCTCAGTCCTGGTCTCCATTTTTAAAAAATTATTTATTTTTTGAGATGGAGTCTTGCTCTGTCACCCAGGCTGGCACGATCTCCGATCACTGCAACCTCCACCTCCCGGGTTCAAGCAATTCTCCTGCTTCAGCCTCCCGAGTAACTGAGATTACAGGCACCCGCCACCACACCTTAATTTGTTCTTTGACAATTTTAGTAGAGATCGGGTCTCACCATGTTGGCCAGGCTGGTCTCGAACTCCTGACCTCAGGTCATCCGCCCACCTCGGCCTCCCAAAGTGCTGGGATTACAGGCGTGAGCCACCACGCCCGGCCCATGTTATTTTATTTTAACACAGATAACTAACTGTCTTTGAGTTAGAGACAGGACTTTGGGGCCCAAAAGGGGCAGGAACTCCAAGGGGCTAAGAGAGGGGAGGCTGGGCCCACAGAGGAGGTCTGGAGGGGAGTGTCCACCATGCTATTTGAGAATCCAGCAGGCAGGGCCTTAAGAGCAGCTCCACGCTCCAAAAAGAGAGAAACTGCCCCAAATGGGCCATCAGGACAGCTCTGGGAAAGGGGCCCCAAAAAAACTCCTTTAAACATCCCTGTTTCACTGACAGGAAGACTTCGGCCCAGATTGGAGGGGAAACAGAGAAGCGTAAGCCTCAAATAGTTAGAATGGTAGCTGAGACCAAATTTTGAGCATTGGAAATGTTTGCATACCATACAAAGAAAATTAGAAAAATATATGGGGATTGGCAAAAAGGCACCCTCTTTCCCCAACACTTTGCCGCCATCTGCTGGAAGAGTGTTGTAATGACTATAAAACACCGTGGTGTTACAGCGCCCCCTAGCGCCATACAGTGGACAATCACAGAACAGTTACAAGAGAAATTTTTTTTTTTTTTTTTTTTTTTTTTTTGAGACGGAGTCCCGCTCTGTAGCCCAGGCTGGAATACAGTGGCGCCATCTCGGCTCACTGCAACCTCCGCCTCCTGGGTCCTGGTTCAAGCAATTCTCCTGCCTCAGCCTCCTGAGTAGCTGGGATTACAGGCACGTGCCACCATGCCCGGCTAATTTTTTTGTATTTTTAGTGGAGACGGGGTTTCACCATGTTGGCCAGGCTGGTGTTACACTCCTGACCTCGTGATCTGCCCGCCGCGGCCTCCCAAAATGCTGAGATTACAGGCGTGAGCCACCACACCCGGTGGAGAAATCTTAAAAAGACCGCTAACAAAAATGCTTTGAGGCCGGGCGCAGTGGCTCACACCTGTAATCCCAGCACTTTGGGCAGCCGAGGCGGGCAGATCACTTGAGGTCAGGAGTTCGAGACCAGCCTGACTAACATGGGGAAACCCCGTCTCTACTAAAAATACAAAAATTAGCTGGGCGTGGTGGCACACGCCTGTAATCCCAGCTACTTACGAGGCTTGAACCCAGGAGGGGGAGGGGAGGCTTCAGTGAGCGAGATTGCGCCACTGCACTCCAACCTGGGCGACAGAGCAAGACTCCATCTCAGGAAAAAAAAAAAAAAAAAAAAAAAAAAAGCTTTGAGAATGCACAGCTCTGGGGGAAGTCATGAGTTTTCTCTTCAGGGGTAAGGTTAGGGAACACCCATGTACTAAAAAGGGAAAAATCAGATTAACCAGCAGGATAAATTCTTGCCATCATAAAATTTTTGTTTGCTAAAAGGGGTCAAAAGCTTTTCCCCAAATATTATTTTAGCATTTGGCATCAAAGGTTTTATTATCTCCCACCGAATATGCTCTATCCTCCTTCCTAGTTGTGTGTCCTCAGGTATATTGCTGCTTCTGTGCCTCAGTTTCCTCATCTGTAAAATGGGGCTGTTGCGAGGACCCAAAGTGCCTGTAAACTGCCTGACACATAAAGTGCTCAATGCTACTGCAAACTGGCTCAGGGCACAGACTCTGCAGCCAGTCAGCTGGTGCTCAAGTCCCGTTCTGCCATTTGCTGGCTGTGTGACTCTGAGCATGTAACTTAACCTCTCTGTACTTCTTATCTTGCTTATCTGTAAAATGGGCATCTGAAAAGTGTCTGACTCACTGAGTTAGAATGAAATGTTAATGCGTGTAAACTCTTAGAACAGAGCCAAGGGGCCGGGCATGGAAAATCACCCTGCTGCTCTTCGACTCATCTGAGATGGGTGCCCACCCTGCCCCTCCTGGTCCCCTCAGGTTTTAACTGCTTCCACCCATTTTCCAGTGTCCAAATTCCTCAACCTGTTTCCCCCCATCCGCTGGACCACGGAGATGAGAGCCATGGGAGGGTGTGGGCAGAGGGAACCATGGGCCCAGTTTCTCCATCTGTGGTGCTGGCCGGGAGGGGAGGGGTGGTGGCCTCTGTCCCTCTGGCTGCCAAGCAACTGACACCCCCCACAGGTGGGAGGCAGGGGCCCCACCCGGTGCTATGGAGGTTAGGTCATCTTTCTGCCTTCCCTGGTGGCCAGAGCTTGGGTCTGTGATCTAATCATGGCCATTGACAGATGGGGGTGGGGAAAGACAGCGTGAAAGGGTCCAAGAGAACGACAGGGAGACAGAACTCGGGTCCTTCCTGCCTTGGAGTCTCTGTTCCATCCAGCTGGGCAGATGCCTGGGTCCATCCTGGTCGATGGGGTGGGGAGCACCTAAGACCCCCGCTCCCCCCGGTTCTCTGGTCTTCCCTTCACAGCTTCCTTTGTCAGTGGCGAGGCTTCTTAGGACCCCTAATTCATGTCCATGACTCCTGGGAGTCCACATCTGCTCCTGCCAGACCCTGAGACTCCCCAGCAGCCTCTGACACCATTGCTTAGTGTCCACACCTGCCCCCAGCCCCCAGCATCTCCCCCACCTCCGTGTGCCTGGCACGTCCCCAGCGTGATGACCCTGATCCAAACTGTAACTAGAGTGGTGTCCCCTATTTTAGCAGACTCCTGTGCTCAAGCGATCCACATGACTCGGCCTCCCCAAGTGCTGGGATCACAGGCGTGAGCCCCCGTGCCCGGCCAGCCCTGGATGTTCATCACCTGCGTCTATGGGCATCTCTCCGTCACACTCCCTTTTGGAAGTTACTGTTTCTTTTTGGTCAATTCATTGCCTCTAACTTCAGAGCCCTACTCACGTGTATTTATCCCCCTTGATTCCCCAAAACTTATCGGCTTACCCAGACCTTCCCCCATTAAATGCTTTCCCTCCCTCCCATGGCCCTTCCGTTTTCCCGAGCCCAGCTCTGTGGCGTTGATCTGCTCAAAGTTTTGGTACTTGTGGTGGGTGTGCCTGAGTCTCTTTGTTCTGACTTTACTGAGACATTGATCGCCGTAAAGGTCCCATCTCTTGCAGCATCTTCTGAATTTCTCTTCTCGTTTAAAAACTTCCTCCAATATCCACTTGGAAAAAGATAAAATTAGATCCATTCCTCACATCACATACAAGAAGGAACTCCAAATAGACTGGAGATCTTGACATAAAGAAGAAAACTGTACAAAAACCAGAAGAAACCCGAGGGAACTTCCCTGAAACCCGGGTGTAGGGAGAAGTACTGACTCCCACGCCAGCACAATTAAAGAAATACTGATACATTTGGCTTCATAAAAATAAACTTGTACTGTGGCAACAAACCACAAGTGAAGTCTAAAGATAAAAGACAGTCTGGGATATATACTTTCAAATGGTTAAGGTGGTACAGTTTATGTTATGTGCTTTTTACCACAATTTAACAAAAAAGGACAGAATGGGGGAAAATGATCTGCAACATACATCACGAGCATGGGGCCTCTGCTGTGTCCCCTCCGCAGCACTCCCTCTGGAGAACCCAGCCAGACCCGACAGGGAGGAGACGGCAGCCAGTCAGGGAGCACTCTTCAGACACGGGGAGCGGGAGGAACGTGATCATCACAAACGTCCATGTCAAAGACAAAGCGGGGCTGAGGAAATGTTCCAGATTGAAGGAAATGAAAGAGACAATTGAATGTGTGGCAGGACATTGCTGAGGCAAGAGCTACAGCTGGAATGCAGTTGGTTGACTTAAATATAAACATTTAATGCTCCCTTGAGGGACCCTGCTGCCACGTTGAGAGAAGCTCAGGCCACATGGAAGCCACACGCAGGCGTTCCAGTGCCAGCCCAGCTAACAGCCCACAGCAACTGCCGTCACGGGAGTGAGCCCCCACGGAGTCCAGCCGGGCGAGTCTTCAGATGCCTCCAGCCCCAAATGCCCCCGACCACAAATGCCTCAGCCCTCAGGTGCGCCCTGCACGGCCAAGCCCAGCCAATCACAGAACTGAGGAAGACAGCAAGGCATTCGTTGTTGAAGCTGAGGGGGTGGGGGGGGTTAGGGTGTTTGTTATGCAGCTGTGCAGCATGGCTGCAGCCCTGACGGAAGAAAAGGCTGGCTCCTGGGAGGTCACCGGAGAGCCCTCGGTGTGTCCTACCTCATAGGAGCGTCTCTTTATCTGGGGCCCTGGGCCACAGTGGACAGTCTATGCTAAGGATGTGATTTAGGGTGGGGGCCGTGGGTCTCTCTGGAGGCTACGGTCAGCCACGCGGGGTGAGCAGTCCCCATGACCAACCCCTGAAGAAAACCTTGGATGCAGAGGCCCGGGTGAGCTTCCCTAGGTGGCCACACTCCAGCACGCTGTCGCATCCATGCGGGGAAAATAAGCGCTGTCCACACAGCTCCACGGGAGAGGGCAGTGGGACGCTTGCGCCTGCCTCTTCCCTCCTCTCATTCTCATCCCCATATTCTTGCTATAATAGGCCCTCACTGTGAGGATAATGACCATACCGGGTCCTGGGAGACCTCCTGAACTGCAGCGGCAGGGAACCCCGACACCCAGTGAGTCTGAGAGCCTCACAGCTGCCCGCCTGGCTGACTCCCATCAGGTCTGAAGCACCCTCCCGACAGTCATGGTGGCTGTTTTTGTCTTTCCCAGGAGAAATGAATGGCACTGGCAACCTGGGCCTCGTGCCTGTTTTCCTGAAGCCATGTGTACTTGGCTTCTGGACCGTGGCGCACCTGACCCCAGAAGGCGGTGCACTTACTGTAAGGCTGATGGGCCTTAGAGAACACCTCCCCAGCGCCTACGCGCAATCAGGACCGCGGACGCCTCATGTCTGCCTGGGAGGTCTCCAAAGGGCCAAACACTCCCGGACTCGGCCCTGCAGGAGTCATTTGCTGTAGACCATCCCCCAGTGCCACATACCACTGGAGAAAGCTGAGTCCAGAGGAGCTCAAACTTGAAAACACAATCTCTCTGGAGGGTCAAGGCCTGGCAGGGCAGCCTGAATGGAATCCAACGTTACCTGTGACTAAGAGCCAACTGGGAGTGAGACAAGGGTCCTCTGGTCTCCCTGGATGACGGGAGATGCGCGCCTCATCGTGTGATGTCAAGAACCACTGCTGGGCCTACCCTGAGCAGGGAGCAGGGAGCGGCACTGTCATGCTTGTTGCTGGAGCCAGCAAAGGATGAGGCTATGCCTCAGCTTCCGCTCCGCTCCACTCAGTGCTGGCCTCATCGCCCCACCCAGGGGGCAGAACTCTCCCCAGGAGCCCACGGTGCTGGGCAGAGGCAGAGGCCACTTGGGCGGTCAGCCCAGAGCTGGGTGGGCCCGGCCAGCGGGACTTTGCGGCCTCCCCACCCTCCGGATCTCCTGAGCAGGCGTAACCCAACCCGGGCAGCTCCTTCGGCTCCACCATCCAGAGACAAGCTGACTTCCGATAATGACTTTATTTTAACATATTTAATTACAGACATAAAATAGCTGGGGAGGGGGGTGAGCCCCAGCCTAGCCCCACCATGGGGCTATAGGAGGGGAGGCGCAGGCGGGGCCCCCCTGCTGACCCTCTCTCTGGGGGTCTTCCTATGGCGGGGCCCTATTGCTTGAGTGGGGGAGGAGCCATGCAAATGAGGGGGGCAGGGCAGCCACTCGGCCCCACCCCACCCCGAGGACGGCCTCCCCACAGAATGCCCAGGCTGTGCCCCCAGCCCCAGCTGCTCCACCTCCTTCCTCTCTGTCCAGGGAGCAGACCCTCTGGCCAGCCCCTGACTCTGCCCCTACCCCCTCTGCAAACCTAAAGGGGAATAAATACAAACTTTACAAAGTAAAAGGGGGTCCAACATTGCCCTGGGGCGGGGCCTGCTCTGCCCCTAGCCCAGGGCCTGGGTCCGGTGGGATTGGAGGGGCCCTGGGATGCAGGCCGCCCCGCCCGTCACCTCACATCATTCCTAGCTGCAGCAGCGTGTTGGCATAGGCCATGGGCTTGACGTTGGGATGAGGCTGTGGGACCAGGGCAGGTGGGATGGACAGAAGTCAGAACAGAGCCCCTGAGCACCCACCGGCAGAACCTACCCCTGCCCCTTACCAGGGTCTCAGCCTCCTTGTCCCCAGGCCGGGATGGAAGGGGCAGGGGCCCTGAGGGGTGACTCACCACTGCTGTGAACTGGTGGAACTGAGGCCGTAGGTCAGAGCCCTGGAGGTGGATGTAGGAGGCTTTGTTCCCCATCTGGTCGCTGCAGGGACAGGAGCAGAGTGGACAGTGTGGTCAGGGCTGGGTGGGGCTGGTGGGTTAAGAGAAGGAATGGCTGGGCAAGAAGGGACAGAGGGAGAGGGAGGGACAGAGCCACAACAGACACAGATGGACAGAGAGACAGAGATGGGAAAGACGAATCCAGGGGAAAGAATGGGAGGGGCAGGAGGATGGGGATGGGGAAAAGAGGGTGGGAGTGCAGGAAGCAGGAGCAGGAAGGGGCAGGGCATAGCTCATGGAGGTGGATGCTCGCCAGACCCCACTAGGAATCTGACCACGCTTCTAGCTTTGCCCACCCAGAGATGCAGGGAACAGAGGAACATGTCACACGGCACCACGGGGATGCAGTCAGCCTAGTCCAGGACACAGGTGACTCGTACAGCAGGCAGCAACCTATTCTTCAACAAATAAATGATGCGGGTGGGGAGAGACAGGGAACTCACAGGCAAAGAGACTGAAAATGTGGTCCTTGTTTAGGTCCTGTCTGGAAGAAGTCAGCTGGAAAAGACACTTAGGAGAGACCAGGAGAAAGAGAACTTGGCAGGATTCGGGTGGGGGCAAGGGATCAACACTGTGTGTGTGTGTGTGTGTGTGTGTGTGTGTGTGTGTGTGTGTGTGTGTGTGTGTGTGTGTGTGTGTGTGTGTGTGTGTGTGTGTGTGTGTGTGTGTGTTTTGAGATGGAGTCTTACTCTTGCCCGTGTGCGTGTGTTTTGAGATGGAGTCTTACTCTTCCCCAGGCTGGAGTGCAGTGGTGCAATCTCAGCTCACTGCAACCTCTACCTCCCGGGTTCGAACAATTCTCCTGACTCAGCCTCCTGAGTAGCTGGGATTACGGGTGTGTGCCACCACGCCCTGCTAATTTTTGTATTTTTAGTAGAGATGGGGTTTCACCATGTTGGCCAGGCTGGTCTCAAACTCCTGACCTCAGGTGATCCGCCCACCTCGGCCTCCCAAAGTGCTGGGATTATAGGCGTGAGCCACCATGCCCAGCCAGCACTCAAAAGTGTAAACACGATATTGTGGTTAAGAAAAAGATCCCTTTCCTTCTGAAAAGTGCTGGGCAATCAGTGGGAGAAAGGTGAAGTGCCAGGGGCTTGCTGTAACACAGGGCAGCTGGTCAGCACTCACAGGCTGGCCCCACTGGTGCTGCATGGGTGGGTGACACATACGGGGGTGTTCGTCATGTTCTTTTATCTGCTCTTGCCTGTCTTTGAAATGTTCCATCATAAAAAGGCAAAACAAAAACCAAGACAAAAACCCGTGGCTTGGTAGAGGCCCTGGGCTGGAAAGGCAAAGACATACCAGTAGTTGGGGGCAGAGAAGACGGTGACACAGCGGCCTCCGTGAGCCACCTCGTAGCCCTCGGCCTTGACTTCGTGGCTGCGGATGATATAGTCCAGGTTGTTCTCTTCCAAGAAGGCCTTGGTGACGTCAGGCCCAAACTGACAGCTCACGCCCCGCTTGCTGATCGAGCGCCCGTTCTGAGGGTGGGCAGAAGGGAGAGACAGGGGTTCAGGGTGACTGTCTGCCTCCACCTGCTGCCACAGCCCACACCCGCCGGCCCTGCACCCCACCCTAGACTCACCTGTGGCTGTGGATCTGACCAGAGCAGGTCACACATGGGCCCTGGTGGGGAGCGAGGGAAACATTAGGGACTCGTCCACCTCCCCGGGGGTGGTCACTCACAGGCCACCTCCTGGCCCGGCCAGGTGCTGACCCCACAGCCCAGCCTGGGTGGGTGTTGGGCAGGGGACATCCAGCATGGACATGGACATTCAGGACAGGTGACTGTGATTCTGAGCCACCCCCACCCTCTCTGCTGATCTGCCCTCCAGACCCCATTCAATCCCCTGTGGCCCCGAAGCCAGATAGAGCTTTCAATGTCACTATTCAGATCAGGCCCCTCTCCCACTCAAAGCCTTTGGTGGCTCCGCACTGCCCTAGGAACAAAGTTCCTCACTGGGGCCTGTAAAGCGCCATAGGATTTGGGCCCAGTGAACCCCATGTCCAATGTCAGCCCTCAAAGCACAGCCCTGCCCACTCGCCAACTTCTCCCTGCCTTAGGACCCCTCCTCAAGCCTGGAATATGCTCGCCAGGCTCTGTGCACGGCAGATGCCTCTGCTTCCCGCAGTGTCAGCTCAAACCTCGCCTCCCTGGAGAGGCCTTCCTGAGCACCCAGCACCAGCCCACCCAATCCATGTCCTCTGCAGCACTCACAGTGTGCACGTGCGTGTGCACCTGTGGGTGAACTCTCTGAAGTGTGCCCGTCACTAGCACAGGAGCCCCAAGACCTCCCCTCCTTCCAGGGTTCCACAGCTGAACTCACAAATAAATAAGGACAGGTGTGCTCGGCGGTCACCGTGCCTTCACCCCGCACCATGGTCACGACCGTGCTTGCCATCACAGCCCCATGAAGGAGGTGCACTGGCCCAAGTCGCAGGTGAGGAAACTGAGGCTCAGACCCGCTGTTTCTTGCCAAGGGCACAAAGCCCATCCTCCGAGGCAGGGCTGGGTTGCAGGGGAGAGCTCAGCCCAGGCTGCCCCTTTCTGCTGGAGACACCTGGCCCCGCGCTGCTCACCTGAATCTGGGGGTTGTCGATTCCGCTCAATTTTCCGGATGTCATCCAGGGTGACACCGTCTTCACTGAACAGGCCTCCGTGCATGATCTGGGGAGATGGGGGATGCCGCTGTGAGGGAAGGTGCCACCCACCCACAGGCCCCAACTTCCTTCACCAGCACATCTGCCCAGGTGTGGCTGGGTGGGGAACCCACACTCAGGGCTCGCGCCGTCCTCACCAGCACTTTGCCGTTGATGCACTGGGCCAACGGGAGCCACTCGAACACCTCGCTAAAGAGCTCGTACATCTGGGCTGTGTACTTGGCCTTCACCTCACCCTCGAAACCGTAGATCTGGTTCATGTTGTCTGTCTCGTGGTTGCCTGGCCAACACGGGGACAGAAGAGAAAGCTCAGCCTCCAGGTACATCAGTGTCCTCCAGCCTGGCACCCTCAAGGCCCAGAACTGTGCATGCGTCCCTTGCCCCCATGGGCCTCGCACTTGCCACTGCGGTGCCTTCCAGACTGGAGGTACCAAGGGGGGAATCTTGACAAAAAGTAGGTCCATGGCTAAGCACCATGGCTCACGCCTATAATTCCAGCACTTTGGGAAGCCAAGGCAGAACTGCTTGAGCCCAGCAATTTGAGACCAGCCTGGGCAATATACTGAGACCTCTCTATAAAACAATTTTAAAAATTAGCTGGGCATGGTGGTGCGTGCCTATAGTGCCAGCTACTTGGGAGGCTGAGGCCAGAGGATCACTTGAGCCCACGAAGCAGAGGCTGCAGTGAGCTATGCTCATGCTACTGCACTCCAGCCTGGGCAACAGAGCAAAGCAAGACCGTCTCAAAACCAAAAAGTAGGCCCATCTACAGAACATGTGCCCCAGCCCACCCCACCCTGAGCTCCATCCTTCTGTCTCAGACACAAGCACCCGGCCTCCTTCTTCCCTTCCAGAGCTTGGGGGCAAGGAGAAGGCTGCCCAGTCTCGCATCTGCTCAGACTCTGCTTGTCTGACTTCTCGGCCTGAGCACTTGTTGCCTCCTGCAACGAGGCCCACAGTCGGGCTTCCTGAGCTTTGACCCTGTGCTGGACACTGCTGCGTGAACCCTGTGAGCCCAGGGACACGGGCATGCAGGCTTCGCCCCAGCCTATCACTCACCTCCCAACTCACCCCGGCCCCGCCATGGGCAGGGCCTCCCCTGTGTGGCCCTCACATCCCAGTGAGCTCCTCTTGTCTAATCTCATCTGGACACCAAGAAACCTACATTTTCAACACCCCTTGGAACCCCACCCACATCCCATGTCTCCTGAGTCTCAGCCACATCCAAAGGGGAGCTCCTCAGCTCCTGGCCACACCCTGCTCTACATGTTCCCGTCTTCGTCACTGGCAGCCATAGCCCTCCAGATACTCCGGCCAAAACCCTAGAGGGCCCCTTTCGTTCCCTCTTTGTCTCACACCTGTGTCTGTTCCTCCAGCAAATACTCTGGGCTCTACTTCCAAGTTTCTTACTTTTTTTTTTTTTTTCAAAGAGACAGGGTCTTGCTCTGTTGCCCACGCTGGAGTGCAGCGGTGTGATCATGGCTCACTGCAGCCTTACACTCCTGGGCTCAAGCAATCCTTCCACTTTGGCCACCCAAGAAGCTGGGACTACGGGTGCACGGTGCCACCATGCCTGGCTTTTTTTTTTTTTTTTAGACTGAGTCTCACTCTATCGACTAGGCTGGAGTGCAGTGGCGCAATCTCGGCTCATTGCAACATGTGCCTCCTGGGTTCAAGCGATTCTCCTGCCTCAGCCTCCCAGGCAGCTGGGATTACAGGCGTGTACCACCATGCCCGGCTAATTTTTGTATTTTTAGTAGAGACGGGGTTTCACCACATTGGACAGGCTGGTTTCGAACTCTTGACCTCAGATGATCCACCTGCCTTGGCCTCCCAAAATGCTGGGATTACAGGCATGAGCCACTGCGCCTGGCCTTTTTAAAAAATGTTTACTGGAGACAAAGTCTCACTGTGTTGCCCAGGCTGGTCTCAAACTCCTGGGCTGAAGTGATCCTCCTACCTGGGCCTTCCAAAGTGCTGGGATTACAGGTGTGAACCAGCACACTCAGCTCCGGGCTCTACTTCAATCAAGAGAACCCAAATCTGACACCAAGCCTGAATCTGAGGGGGCACAACTGCCTCGTCAACAGTCTCCTTACTCCCACCCTCGAGCCCTGGTCTGTTCACTCAGTCACTCAGCTTTAGTGCCAGATTTAGGGCCACCCAGGAGCCTGTTTCATGCCCTTGTGCAAATTAGAATAAGGGGCCCATCCTCACACCCTTGTTTGCCATCTGCTGAAAAATGGTCAGAGTAAACATCCATTTCTACACTATCTATGATGTAAACGCGTCCTTTGGTGTGATGCTTTTGTGCAGTGCACTACATACTCAATCTTAAAAGGTCGCCCTGTGCATGATCTCCGAGTCCACAAAATAAATACAGCTGCAACTATTATCCTTGCAGAGTGAGTGCCCCACTCAGGACCCCACAATGAACCCAAACCTTGTCACTTCCCAGCTCACCTCGAAGGAGGTGAAAGTGATCTGGGTACAGGAGCTTGAAGCCGAAAAGGGTGAGGATCACTTCTACAGAGAAGGAGCCTCGGTCCACAAAGTCACCATTAAATATCTGTCCTGCTGAGGAAAACATGGCAAGCGTGGAGGGGAAGGGTGCGGTGCGGTGGGGTTGGGGGTGGTGGCAGAAGATGGGCCAGATGGGCTGCTCCTGCCTGGCCTCAAGCCTCCTGTCAGCACCTCCCAGGGAGTGAGGACTTGGCAGGGCTCAAGGGATCTGGGTTTCTAATCCTTTCCTCACCGTGGCTCCAGCCAGAGCTTGGCCGCTGAGCCTCAGTAGTATGGCACTGAGGACCCTGCCTCCTGTCTCCCGGAAAGCCAGTGGCGGGGAGGTGCGGGGACTAGTCAGTCCACCTCCTTCAGCTCTCCTCAGAGAGGCCTGGAGCCATGGGGGAGATGGGACACGGGCCCTCCCACTCAACAATGCATAGGCCTAGTGGCCCTACAAGTGGCCGTTCATCGAGCAGATACCATAACACGGGGAAATACTTAGATAGCATCAGGTGTGGGCCAGGCCCTGTTCTTAACCTGTCCTCTCAGTAACTGCTGAGTAACAAGGTTGCACATATTATTATCCCTCTTTGCAAATGGGGAAACTGTGACACCAAGCAGTGAAGTAACCTGCTTCGGTCACACAGCTGGGAAGTGGCAAAGCCAGGATGGAACCCAAGTGTGGCCAGTGCCAGGTGCCATTCAAATGTGATCCTGAGGCAGACGAAGACAAGCCAAGACCCAGAGAGACTGAGCTACCAGCTTAGGTCACACAGCAGGTGGGTGCTGGCCCAGGCCTGTCCGAGCCTGGAGCCTGGGGTGCATGGCCAGCCTGCAGCTCCACCCACACCTTGGTGCCCCAGCATGGCCAGGCCTCTCCTTTCCAAGGTCACGTCTTTTCCTGGCAAGGGCTCCTCCCACTCTGTGCAGACCTGAGGCTGCGGCTGGGGGTGGAGGTGGGGAGAGGGTGGCTCTGCTGAGAAGGATACATAGGGGTTGGTCTCCGAGGGTAAACCGTTGAGCTCGAATATGTTGAGGAGGTCATAGAACTGGCCATGGGTGTCCCCACATACTGTAATCTTCTCTGTCTGAAAGAAAAGAGGCCACCGGAGAGGGACGGGCCGAGAGAGAGACGTGGGGAGGGGGCAGAGGTGAGGGGAAGGGTAAGAGTTCACAGTAGACCAAGAAGAATCATGCAAGAGACACAAGCAGGGAACACAAACGAAGACCAAGAGGCCAGGAGAGAAATGGGATATTCAGGAGGAAAGGCACAGGGGTGGGGTGTGAGGGAGAGAGGGAGGTGGATCCGTGAGTTCCTGAGCTCTGTGGCCCCTCCCCAGCCAGAGAGCCCACCCCCGCTGGCCCTCCCCGCACTGCCCCACAACGCGCACCTCTTTGAGTGTGGTTTCCACGAGCGTGCTCAGCTTGGAGAGGACCTCTTTGACCTGTACCAGAATCTGGAAGGCAGGGCAGACTCAGTGGGACCGGCTGCAGGGGCTGCTGCCCAACCTGGCCCCGAAAGCCTGGACTGCCCATGAGACGCTGCTGGGCTGAGGGCGAGGGAGAAGCAGGGAGAGAAGAAAAAGGGCAGGGCAGGCCTGGGGGAGCGGGAGCAGGCGGGGCCGGAGGCAGCCGCAGGCTTCTGTGGCCTGTGCAGTGCCGAAGCATTGCGATTGTTTTGTACGAAAACCTGATTCTTGAATTATCTTAAAATACTCAGCATCAAGTGGAAATACATGCATGAATCCAGATCGTAGAACATTTTATAAAAGAACTGGCCTGGACACAGCGCAATGTCACTGTCATAAAAGAGTCTCCCAAAAAAGAAGTGAGACTTTCTAGGTAAAAAGAGGTAAAAAGGCAGGTCATAGGCAACACTGGTGCTTTCAACGGACGCTGAATTTTTTAAAAGCAGCTAAAAAGGATGTTTTGGGGAGAGCTGGGGAGAATTAAAATACTAATAGATGTCTAGAAATGCAGATGATTTATTTTTCACAGATTGGATATGACCTTGACAATGACATGCATATTTGTCAATGTTTCCAGATTTTCCGGATGGCCTGTGGACTGTCTACCTTAGTCAGTATTATCACATCAATGATGAATTTCTAAGGTAGGACAATTCAACTGTGGTCACACAAGAGGACGTCTTTGTTTTTGGGAGATCCAGGTTATGATGGCTGCAACTTACTTTCAAATGGGTTAGGGGAAAAAAAAGAAAAAAGTATACACATACAAATGCATAAATAAGTAGACAGACACATAAAGTTAATGCATTAAAATGTTCACAAGTGGTGAATCTGTGTGAAGGGTGGACAGATGTTAACTGTACTGTTCTTTCAGCTCTCTGTAGGTCTGACGATTTCCAAAATAAGCTGGGGAAAAAGGTGTTAAGAAAATGCAGGCGGCATCCACTTCTAGTCAGAAGGTAGAAAAGTTACAAAAGACTGTCTCGCCCTAAAGATGAAAACAAGCCAAACAAGCAACAAAATCAAAGGTAAAGCCATCTGAGAGCTGGCAATGCAAAGGGACCTAAATTAATCAAAATGCAGACAGGACGAGCCCTTCCTTGGGGAAGGAGCCCACAGCTTTCACCCTGGTGCGAGGCAGCAGGGCGGGATGCCCTGCGTGAGGGGAAATGAGTGGAAGTTCATGACCGTGTGGGGACTGGCGTGACAGATGAGGACTCCAGGGAGCCCCAGCACAGCCCGCCTCTGCCCCCTGCCAACTCCCTCACACGGGCTTCATGGAAGGTTGGGCGCGAGGGAGTGAGGTGCAGAGAAACCTCCTGAGGTACAGAAGTGGGGGCGAGACTGGAGAGCGGAGAGCACCCCAGTGGCCCCACAGTCTGGCGGCAGGGCTGAATACCAGAGGCCTCCCACAGTTCCAAAAGCTGGCGACTTTAAAACATAAAGACATCCCTGGAATTCTGCCAGGGCTAAGATCCCAAGCTCTGCTGAAGGGAAAGTCCTAATTCTACTCTGAACACATTTAAAGCCGGTGGTAAAGAAACTCCAATAAAAGCTGCCCCTAAACTACAGATGAGGTTCACACAGCCCCTCCCTCTTGTGGCTCAACAGGAGAAATGTGTGCCATTTTCTTATTTGTTTATTTGTTTTAAGACAGGGTCTCACTCTGTCACCCAGGCTGGAGTGCAGTGGCTCGAACACAGTTCACTGCAGCCTCAACCTCCCAGGTTCAGGTGATCCTCCCCACTCAGCCTCCCAAGTAGCTAGGACTACAGGTGCCAACCACCATGCCTGGCTAATTTTTGTATTTTTTTTGTAGAGGTGGGGTTTCTACAAGTTGCCCAGGCTGGTCTTGAACTACTGGGCTCAAGCGATCTGCCCACCTTGGCCTCCCAAAGTGCTAGGATTACAGGCCTGAGCCATGGTGCCCAGCCTAAGTGTGCCATTTTCTGAGGAAAAACTTTATTTACCTCAGTCTCTAATGTTCTTTTATACAAAATAGCTGGCATACAATAAAATTGTAAAACACATGAAGAACTGGTAACAGAGCAGACTCAGAGATGAACCAGATGATGGAACTATCAGACAGAGACGTTAAGATAACCATGGTAAATGTGTGAAAGGACTTGGTGGAAAAGGTGGACAACATGCATGAACACATGAGACACAGAGATGAAAAGTCTATTAAAAAAAACACAACTAAATGAAAATGCTACCAATAAAAAATACAATGTAAGAAATAAATAATTCATTTGTTGGGCTTGACAGCAGTTACAAAGAATCAGTGAACATAAGGACAACTGAAATTATCTGAACTGAAATACATAGAGGAAAAATCGTGAAAAGAATTAAAAAAATTCAGGTCATTAAGATCTAAGGAATAGTATCAAATAGTATCAAAGAGCATGTTATTAGCTTTCCAGACGGAGAGGAGAGCAGAAATGGGAAGAAATATAAGAAATAATGGCTAAGAACTTTCCAAAACTAATGAAAGATATTAACCCACAGACTCAAAAAAAGCACATCAAAGCCCATCATAGTCAAACTACTAAAACCCAAAGGCAACATCTTAAAACCAGTGAAGAAAAAAGCAGACTATATAGAACAAAGATATGAATGATTGCTGAGTTCTCACAGAAACAATGGAGGTCAAAAGGCAATGGGAAAAAAACACATTTAAAGCCTTGAAAGAAACAATGTCAACCTAGAACTCTACATCCAGCAAAGACACCCCTAAAAATGAAGACAAAATAAAAACATTTTCAGGCAGACCAAAGCTGAGAGAATTAGTCTACAGCAGACGTGCACTGTAAGAAATGCTAAAAGTACTCAGGCAGAAGGGGCATGATACCAGATAGAAACTCACATATGGAAGAAGAAACAAGGAGTAAGAGAAAGGGTAAATATAAAAGACATTTTCTGTGTATTCATACGTGTATTTCTTTAGAAGACTAGTGTCTATTTAAGGAAATGACAACAATGTATTTATAGCAGATGCATAAGCATGACAAGAGCACAAAGGCTGGGAGAAAATAAAAGCAATCACAATATTGTAAGATTCTTTTTTTTTTTTTCTTTTGAGATGGAGTCTCGCTCTGTTGCCCAGGCTGGAGTGCAGTGGCACGACCTTGGCTCACTGCAACCTCCACCTCCTGGGTTCAAGTGATTCTTCTGCCTCAGCCTCTCGAGCAGCTGGGATTAGAAGTGTGTGCCACCATGCCTGGCTAATTTTTGTATTTTTAGTAGAGACAGGGTTGTAGAGATGGGGTTTTTGCCATGTTGACCAGGCTAGTCTGGAACTCCTGACCCCAAGTGATTCACCTGCCTCGGCCTCCGAAACTGCTGGGATTACAGGCATGAGCCACTGCCCCAGGCCATAAGATTCTTATATTGTCCATTAAGTATCATATTATTATTTGAAAGTAGAATAGGACAAGTTAAAGTTACACATTGTAATCTTTGGAGCAGCCTTTTTCATCCAGGGTTCCGGGAAATGATTAAGCCCCACAAAAAATATTTTCAGTGATATCTGCTCAGTTCTCCCAAGGAGAGCACACAGATTCACAGGAGAGGAGTTAATTCACTGCGGATATAATGGATGCCTAAGGGAGTTAGGGCTTAATTCTCTCTATAGAGCCTCAGCTGAGAAGGGCTGCTCTAGAGCAACCATGTAACACTCCACCCCTCGCCACACACATTCAAAAGTATAACAAAAAATTCAATAAAACAGATGAAATGCTAAAAGATTCCTGATTCACACAAAAGAAAGTCAAAGAAGGAGAAACAAGGGGGAAAAAAACAAATGGGACATATAGAAAAGAGACATCTAGACAGTAGATTGAAATGCAATCATATGATTGCTGATAGTTAAACATAAATGAACTAAACACTCCAATTAAAAGGTAAAGATTGGCTGGGAATGGTGGCTGACACCTGTAATTCCAGCACTTTAGGAGGCCGAGGTGGGTGGATTATCTGAGGTCAGGAGTTTGAGACCAACTTGACCAACATGGTGAAACACTGTCTCTATTAAAAATACAAAAATCAGGCCAGGCATGGTGGCTCATGCCTGTAATTCCAGCACTTTGGGAGGCTGAGGCAGGTGGATCACGAGGTCAAGAGATCGAGGCCATCCTGGCCAACATGGTACAATCCCATCTCTACTAAAAATACAGAAGTTAGCTGGGCATGGTGGTGCACACCTGTAGTCCCAGCTACTCGGGAGGCTGAGGCAGGAGAATCACTTGAATCTGGGACACAGAGGTTGCAGTGAGCTGAGATTGCGCCACTGCACTCTACCCTGGTGACAGAATGAGACTCCGTCTCAAAAAACAAAACGAAACAAAAATTAGTTGGGTATAGTGGCGTGTGCCTGTAATCCTAGCTACTCTGGAGGCTGAGGCAGGAGAATTGCTTGAATCCAGGAGGCAGAAGTTGCAGTGAGCCAAGATCACACCATTGCACTCCAACCTGGGCAACAAGAGCGAAATTCCACCTCAAAAAAAAAAAGGTAAAGATTGTCCAACTGGATAAAAAGGCAAGACCCAAGTATATGCTGTTTATAAGAAAAACATTTTAAATATAAAGATACCAATGGGTTAAATACAAAAGGGTAGAAAAGTTATAGCATGCAAATATTAACTGTAAAAATCTGGTTTAACTATTTTAATAGAAAACAGGGATTTCAAGCCAAAAAGTACTGAAGTCACTTCATTATAATGAGTCAATTCATCAAGAAAGCATAACAATCCTAAATGTGTGCCTAATAAAAATTTCAAAATACAGGAAGCAAAAAACTGAGAATTATAGGGAGAAATAGGCAAATCTACAAGTATAGTCGGAGCTTTTAACAGCCCCCTCAATAAATGATTGAGCAATTAGAAAAAATAGGCTATAAAAGATTTTTAACAGCAGTCTCAACCATCTTGAACTAATTGACATTTATAGAGCCCTATGACTAACGACTGCAAAATACACACTATTTTCCAGTACATACTGCATGTTTGCCAAGACAGATCTAAAAATAGCCCCAATGGAATCATCCAGAGTGTGTTGTCTGACCAAATTAGAAATCAGTAACAGTAACATCTAGAAGTCCCCAAATATTTGGGAGTTAAACAATACCCTTCTCAATAATCTATGGATAAAATCAGAAACCATAAAGAAAATTAGAAAACAATTCTAACTCAATGATAATGAAAATACGACGTATTAAAATTCACGGGACGCAGCTAACTTACTGCCTGGAAGGAAATTTAGTTTTAAATGCTTTGTGTGGAAGAAAAGATGTAAAATTAACAGCATTAATGTCCATCTTCAGAAGCCAGAAGAAAGCAAATTAAACCTCAAGCATGCATAGAGAATAATGAATGAAAAATCAATGAAACAAAAGACAATCAATAGAGAAATTCAACATGAACAATGAAAACATGTTCACAAAAAGACTTGTCCAAGAAGTTCATAGCAGCTTATACTTATAAAAGCTACAAAGTAGAAATAACCCAAATGTCTCTCAAAAGAAGACTGCATAAACAAGTCATGGGCTGTTCAGACAATGGAGGACTTGAGCTACCGATATACACAACATCCATGTATGAATCCCACACACATTGTGCCACATGAAAGAAGAGACACTAAACGCTGTAAGCCCATATGACATTGAAATGAAATTCAAAACCAGGCAGAATTAATTTACAGTGGTGAAAAATCAGATCAGTGGTTGCCCCTGGGATGGGAGTGAGGGCTGACTAGAAAGGGGTCAAAGGGAGCTTTCTGGTTGATGGAAATGTTCTGTAACTTGTTTGGGCAGTGGGCACATAAAACTCTAAAAACTCATCTAACAGGACACTTCAGATTTGTGTATTTTATTGTGCATTAATTATACTTCAATTAAAAACAACCAGGAATGTGGACATTCCTCCTCCTGTCTCACCTTTAACAACATGATCAACAGCTAACCCATACAGAGCACTAACCATGTGCTAGGCACTATTCGAAGCACTGATGTGGATTACACGCAGTTACTCCTTACAACAGCCCTTGGTGGAGACAGTATGATTATCTCCACTGCACAGAGGAGGAAATCAAGGCACAGAGAGGTGAAGCCATCTGCCCACAGGCACACAGCTAGTATGTGGGAAGGTAGAGATTTGAACCCAGGCCACTTGGCTCTCTAGGACCTATCAAATGGCGGCTTCCCATATTGCCTGCACACTCCTGTAAGAGTCACCTGCCTGTCAACCTGACTCACAAGAAGTCCCGCATCCTCATAACCAACCCAGGAGGTGGTGGATCTCAGCAGTTCCCCAAAACTATGGTAAGGTCCCTGTAGCCCTGAGAGGTCAGGGCAGGGGGCCTTGTCCAGATGGGATACCAGAGCCTGAGTCTCACTCAACCAGTTAACACCCTGTGGCCAGCTGCCCTCCTAGGTCGGGGAGGGGGTGGTCTCAGGACTAGGAGCAACCAGCAGGTCCCAAACAACCTGCAACAACCAGCAGCCACAGACGCCCAAGAGCCTGGGATGAGAACTCAAAGCAACAGACTCTACTGCTTCCTCACCTTTCACCCTGGGCCAGTCACCTGACCTCTCTGGCCCTTTGTCCCTGCATCTGTCAAATGGCACTGCCTGCCACCTCCCCAAACTGCTGTGGGACGAGATGAGATCATGTGGTAAGCCCTCGGCACAGTGTCCGGCACACGACTCCTGTTTGGTGTTGGCTGTCATGGCCGCCCTTCTCCTGTCGTTTTGCTCAGTGCCCGCGGCTGGCAGTGCTGTGATGCCATCCCAGGGTTCCCGGGTGCCCAGTACCTGACAGATGCATTACCTGGTAGGCACATTTCCGGTGCAGTTTCTTCTGGTCCTTGTACCACTGCATGAGCTCCTTCATGAAACTGATTGTCACTTTGCCGTCTTCAAGCTTGGGTCCGCTGTACTCATCCTCAATGGCTAGGGTGTGAACAACGGGACACGAGAGTCAGTGACCACAGCCACTATGAGGGAGAAGGGGGTCTCGCTCCCAGGGATGGGGAAAACTTGGGTGTGGACACACAGGTCGAGAGCGGGACAGAGTGAGTGAAGAGTCCCCTCCTGGGTCAGGTCTGGCCCAGAGGCCTCTTCCTGACCTCCCTGTCTTCCTTCACCCACCCCCCTTTACTCTATTCAGTTTTATGGCACTTAGCACTATTCATTTCATGACTTATTCATCATCTTATCTCCCTCCTAGAATATCGGCTCCATGTGGACAGGAAGGGTTTTGTTCATAGCTGTACCCCTAGTGCCTAGGACAGTGCCGGGCACATAGGAGATGCTCAATAATCATCTGTGGGATGATCCACAACAATCCCTTGGATCTTCTCAGCACCTAGAGGTGAATCAGACACAGCCTGTGGGGACTGTGCTACTACCCGGAGGAAGGGCCCGTGAAATGGCAGGGGGACCATGGCTCTCCAATCTCGCTCACTGGGAAGCGTGAGGCCCAGCTTTGGGCTGTGGATGGAGCGCCCTGGAACACAGGCAGAGGAGCGACAGACACCAGCCTGGGGACAGAACAAGGGGCCACCCCTGAGCCCAACCCCACCCCCAGGGAATGGAGAAGGCCCGTGTGGAATGTTCTGGGCTGGAGCGTGGAGCATCCAGGCCTGACTCACTCATGCTCTCGATGTCCAGCGAGTCCACCACGGAGCGCTTGTGCTCGTCGCCCGCGATGGCCCGCTCAAAGGCCTTCTGCTTCACGATCTTGTTGCACTCCTGGTATTTCATTTTGGCATCCTTGTCATGGGGCTTCACCTTGACCACCTGGGTGGGAGGGAAGGGGCGTGCACACTGAGGCTGAGGTGGGGGCACAGCGGTTGCCCCCAGGCTGCCCAGCCCTGGGTTCCATGAAAGTGGAAGTCAGACCGCCTGGGCGCCAGGTGCTGATGGTGCAACCCTAGACGTATTTAACTGCCGAGCCTTGGTTTCTGCACCCCAAAACTGGGCACAGCAAAGCTGCCCGCATGGGTGCACTTCATCAATCTTAGCTATGAGCGCGCTAAAATCAAACAACTGCCTGTCTGAGGACTGCGGGCTCAGCTTCAGGTGCCCTGTGAGAATCCCTGTGGGGTGAGCAGCATCCCAAGCACAGGTCCTGATGCTACTATCGTGACTACCAAGGTGGCGGAGCATGAGAGGAAGGGCCCGGCTGGGTCTACGGTCACAGAACAGCCCAGACTCACACAAAGGGCCAATGACTTGCTGGACGACATGGACTCCCCAAGCCCAGGTTACCTAATCTCTAACAGGGAGGTGACACAGGGCTCCCCTGCCAGGGCTGTGGGAAGGAATAAGTAACACAGGGGGCCCGGCATGCAGCAGGGGCAGGTGGGCAGCAGCACCGAGTGCTGTTACTTCCCTCCCTCACACTCTGGGGAGGCCCAGGACAAAAGATTTCCCTGTTTTGTCCACTGAAGAGAGGAACTGAGGGTCACAGATCCCTGAGACCGGGTTCAAATCCCAGCTCTGCAAGTCATGAGCTGGGTGACCTCAGGCAGGTGAGTCTGCCTCTCTGTGGCTCAGTTTCTCTCTGAGGTGGGACTGAGAACCATATATATCTCCCTCAAGAGGGCCACTGGGAGAGCTGCATGGGTGAATGCTTGTGAACCCTGCACAGTGGTGCCAGGTGAAAGGAAACTCCACGTGGGCGCCCACTGCTCTTCACGGTCCCCCTTCTGGGGCTGCTGCGCTGATGACCAGATCATACACAATAGGCATGGGGCGTTCAGCTTTGGGACATAGCAAGTTCCCAGTGAAAGGAGCCCTATCCCCGCAACCTTATTTACCCCGATTCCTGCAAACTCTGATCTTCTAACCTGAAAAGCAGACTGGATTTGGGGGCTGGATTCAGATCCTGGCTCTGCTACTTACTTGCCATGTGACTTTGGGCAAGTGACTTCACCTGTTTAGTCACGTAGACCCCCGTCTGACCTGCCCACCATCCTTAGCCTCCCCAGGAGCAGACCCCCGTATCTCCTGTGCCAGAGGACAGACTGGGAGGTCCCAGGGCCGGCCCTCAAGGAGCAGGGGTGGCCTCTGGTGGAAAGCCTGGCAGCGTGACTCAGAAACCTCCACAGAGACACCCACTGACCCCTGCAGGTTGGTGTGACAGAAGCAGGGGGTGAGGCTCATCCATGCTGGAAACAGGTGTGTGCGCCAAGCGGGGTGAGAAGAGCCCAGGCCCAGCAGGCCACGGCCTCCTCCCTGTCTGGGCAGGCCTAGGGCACCCTGCCAGGCAGCTCCACCTGGGCTGTGGGTGGGTGTAAGGCAGGGGAGGAAGACAGTGCCAGGCAGCCCCTGGCATCCTTCCCAATGAGGAGTGGTTATGTGCCCACACCCGGCTGGCATCCAAACCAGCATGTGGCCTGGCCCATGCGGCTCCTCCCACCCCTCTATACCTCCCAGCCAGACCACTCATGTCCCCGGCATGCTGGCTCCAGGCCTTTATGCAGGCTGCCTCTGCCCAGAGCACCTCATTTGCACCTCCAGCTCCTCCTCCAGGTCTCAGCCCCACTGATCCCTCCTCTAGGAAGCCCCAGAGGCTGGGTCAGGCACCCCCTCTGGGCTCCCAAAGGCCCCTGGGCTCCCTTGTTCCAGCCGTGAGCCCTGCTGGTTCGGAACCGGTCTGTCCACCCCGCTGGAAGGTGGCCCTGTGAGGGCAGGGCTGAGGCTCAGCCATAGCTGTGCGTGCAGCAGTCAATGAATTTCCCTTCCCCCCTTTCTCCAAAGAAATGAATGAGTGACTGAGCATTTCCTCCCCGCCAGTCTCCTGTTCTCCAGGGGTGGGCGGGCTGGGAAGGCAGATGAAGGCAAACAATGACAGCGCAGGGAGGAGAAAGGGAGTGGGAATACCAACAGTGGCAGCGGCAACAATAATAATACACAGCTCACTTCTAGAGCACTTACTATGTGCCTAATATTGTGTAAGCAATTCACTTGCTCATTTATCCTCCATGCACCTCTACATGGCAGTGTTTTCACAATCCTCATCTGACAGACAAGAAAACCAAGGCCCGGGGAGGTGAAGTCACCCACCCAGGAAGCCAGGATTCCCTTCTCTCCCAGGCGAAACTGCGCCAAAGCCCAGGCTCCTGATTTCCGCTATGCACGCTGGGATGGGCTCCCCTTCCACCACCTCCCCTCCCTGCCTGGGCCTCTCGTCCCTGGGGCACACTGCATGCCCTCCAGGGAGGCAGCGTGGGGCAGTGGTTATGAGCCTGGGCTCTGGGACTAGGCCTCCTGGGTCTGAATCCAGGCCTGCCAGGACAGGCGGCCTCACATCTCAAGCCTCCCTCAGTTTCTAGAAAGTAGGGGTGGTGCCAGCACCCCCTGGAGGATTGTCGTGAGAACTTAATGCCAGGCAGCAGCAGGCAAGTGCTCATCCCAAGGCCTGCTGCTACTGTAGCTGCTGCGACACGCAAGGTCTAGCTGGGACAGTGAAGATGCCCTGCTGGGCTCCTGCTCCTGAGGAAGGTCATTCAGTCCAGACCAGAAGGGACTCAGCTCCTGAAGGCCCACCGGGTCAGAACTTCACACTGAACTTTTTTTTTAAAGTGGCAGTTGGATTGTATCAAGGTCAGTATTCTGACTGTGATATTTATGTAGTTATGCCAGATATACCTTTAGGGAAAACTGGGATTTCTGCATTACTTCTTACAACTGCAGGTGAATCCACAGTGCTAAGTAAACAAGTTGTTTCTAAAAGCATTATCTTCGTCAGCGAGTACTCATGGGTAATGATGTCTGGAGCTGGTGAAATGGTAACACAGGTTCACAATCCCCGAAGAAGCCCTGGGGGCTGCGTGTATTTGGGGATTGGGAATTTTTTGGATTTTAGTAAGGTGATTTGGTAGATGGCCGGGTGTGGTGGCTCACACCTATAATCCCACCACTGTGGGAGGCTGAGGTGGGAGGATCACTTGAGCTCAGGAGTTCAAGACCAGCCTGGACAACATAGTGAGTCCCTATCTCTAGAAAAAAATAACAACAACAACAAAAAGCTAGCCAGGTATGGTGGTGCATGCCTGTAGTCCCAGCTACTTTGGGGGGCTGAGGTGGGAGGATTGCTTGAGCCCAGGTAAGGCTGCAGTGAGTCATGATTGTGCCATCACACTCCAGCCTGGGTAACACAGTGAGATTCTGTCTCAAAAAAAAACCAAAACAAAACAATACAAAAAAACCCACATGATTTTGTGTACATGCTCTATCATAGGACACCCCCAGCAGGTCCAAGGCAGTACCTAGTAATCACAAGCACATACACGGCCATTTCTGCAGCAAAACCTCCAGACATGCCACTGGAGAGTAATCAAGACCATCAGCAGCTTCTTAGTAGTTCAGGTCAGGTTTTGCCACTGAACGAGCTGCCCAAACTTACCAGAACAACTGTTCTTCAGAACTGCTTGGGTTTTAAAACTAAGGGTGAGGGATTATAGAGCAGCATCAAGATCCCACATGGAGTGGACCCACAGTACAAGGTGTAACAGGGCATTCTGAATATCTCCAACATGCA
Source organism: Homo sapiens (assembly GCF_000001405.40). Classification (NCBI taxonomy): domain Eukaryota; kingdom Metazoa; phylum Chordata; class Mammalia; order Primates; family Hominidae; genus Homo; species Homo sapiens. The sequence continues at coordinate 46,371,855 of NC_000019.10, read as the reverse complement.
GACAATGAGCAGCAGCCCAGAAGGGAGCCGTGCCTGCCTGAGGCATGCAGGCAGCTGGGGGAAGTCAGGTTTCCAGGGCAGGAAATGCCGCTGCTAGTGACAGCCTGAAGCCTGACATAAGGGTTTTTACCCTAGTGGGTTAGTTTCTGGTGAATGAGTTTGGCAAGTCATACCCAGCATTCTCTGTATAATAAGTCAGAGAGACCACCAAGGTGCACTGCCTGAGCTAAGGGTGAGTGCTGTGCCGAGAAACTCGGACCCGCTGCGCCTGCCCTGCTTATGGCCTGACTCTGGGACAAAGCTGCCACCTCCTGGCTGTGCAACCTCAGTGGAGTGAGCTACCCTCTGGGCCTTGGTTTCCTCACCTATAAACCAGGGACAAAGAGAGTCTCCACTGCGCAGGGTAGCCGTGAAGATGAAATGAGTTATATTACTGCATGAAGGTCACACCCTGGGCCCTGGCGAGCGCTGGATGAAATAGTGGTTGTGACTATTCCTGTTACTTTCACAGATCCATGCTGTAGGTGTACAGGCACTAGTATCCGCTTGCAAGGCAACACGCATTTCTAACTGACTGTGCTGGACTCTGATGTAAGGAACCCAAAGCCACAGAACAAAAATCAGGAGATCCCAGGAAGGGCCAGGGAGCACAGAGGGAGTCCCCCAGATCCGGCCTAGGTTTGCACCCAAGTTCCAAGCATAGACAGGAAAGAACATAGGTGGTGTCTTCCGGAAAAGGACCCCGTGAGGGACATCCATCATGAGAGTCAGGGTTCTCCAGAGAGACAGAACTAATGAGAGAGACACACACACACAGGCTGGACGTGGTGGCTCACGCCTGTAATCCCAGCACTTTGGGAGGCCGAGGTGGGCGGATCATGAGGTCAGGAGATCAAGACCATCCTGGCTAACATAGTGAAACCCCATCTCTACTAAAAATATAAAAAATTAGCTGGACGCAGTGGCGGGCACCTGTAGTCCCAGGTACTAGAGAGGCTGAAGCAGGAGAATGGTATGAACCCGGGAGGCGGAGCTTGCAGTGAGCCGAGATCCCGCCACTGCACTCCAGCATGGGCGACAGAGCAAGACCCATCTCAAAAAAAAAAGAGAGAGACATACACACAGTCATGAGCTGTATAATGATGTTTAGTCAGCAGTGGCCCACATATACAAGTGTGGTCCCAGAAGATAAACACACTGAAATAGTCCTATTGCCTGGTGACAGCACAGCCATGGGAATGTCTCAGCACAACGCCATTACTCACACAAATCCATGACGAAAAAAGAAGCCAAGCGAACCACCATGGACATTTTTCTGAAAAGAACCACACCTTCTCAAGGGCCTCACGCAGGTCCTTCAGGGGTATCCAGAAGGCACTGTCACCCTAGATGACAGCTCCATGCGTGTGACAGCCCCAGAGGACCTTCCAGTGGGACACGGTGTGGAGGTGGGAGACAGTGATACTGATCTCCTGACCCTGCGTAGGCCTAGGCTAATGTCTGCGTTTGTGTCTTCGTTTTTAACAAAAAAGTTTAAAAAGCAAAAGAAATATTTTTTCAACAGAAAAAAGCTTACAGAATAAGGATATAAAGAAAATATTTTTGTACAGGTGTATATGTGTGTTTTAAGCTAAGTGTTATTACAACAAAGTGAGAAAGTTTTAAAAAATTAAAAAGTTTATAAAGTAAGTTACAGTAAGCTAAGGTTAATTTATTATTGAAGAACCAAAAACTTTTAAAAATAAATTTAATATAATCTAGTGTACAGTGTTTATGAAGCCTACAGACATACACATTACTGTCCTAGCCTTACATTCACTCACCACTCACGCACTGACTCACCCAGTGAAACTTCCAGTCCTGCAAGCTCTATTCATGGTAAGTGCCCTAAACAGGTGTACTAGATTTTATCTTTTTTTTTTTTTTTTTCCAGACGGAGTCTCGCTCTGCTGCCCAGGCTGGAGTGCAATGGCTTGATCTCGGCTCACTGTAACCTCCGCCTCCCGGGTTCAAGCAATTCTCCTGCCTCAGCCTCCCGAGTAGCTGGGATTACAGGAGCATGCCACCACGCCTGGCTAATTTTTGTATTTTTAGTAGAGATGGGGTTTCACCATCTTGGCCAGGCTGGTCCTGAACTCCTGACCTCGTGATCTGCCCGCCTCAGACTCCTAAAGTGCTGGGATTACAGGCGTGAGCCACCATGCCTGGCCTTTTTTTTTTTTTTGAGACAGAGTCTCGCCCTGTCACCCAGGCTGGGGTGCAGTGGCGCAATGTCCGCTCACTGCAAGCTCTGCCTCCCGGGTTCACGCCATTCTCCTGCCTCAGCCCCCAGAGTGGCTAGGACTACAGGCACCTGCCACCACGCCCGGCTAATTTTTTGTATATTTAGTAGAGACGGTGTTTCACCGTGTTGGCCAGGATGGTCTTGATCTCCTGACCTCGTGATCCACCCGCCTCGGCCTCCCAAAGTGCTGGGATTACAGGTGTAAGCCATGACTTTACCATCCCTTTTCTACGTTCAGATGCATAAATACTTACTGTTTTGCTACAGTTGCCACAGCATTCACTAAAGTAACATGCTGTACAGGCGTGTAGCCTAGGAGCACTCGGCCATGCCACATAACCTAGGTGTGTATGCAGTAAGCTGTAACATCGAGGTTTGTGTAAGCACACTCTATGATGCTCACACAATGAAATCACCTAACAACACACTTCTCAAAAACTACCCCTTGTTAAGCAATGCATGACTATACCTATGCATGTGGATATATATGAGAGGGTGTTTATTAGGAGAATTGCCTCACTCCACACTGTCTTACCAATAAGTACAGAGTAGCTGCTTCATGCTCACTAGGTCCAATTAGTAAAATGCCATCAGTGTCGTGGACCAGTGTGATAGCTTGCAGAAGGGAAGGGTGATCAAGATCCCCATGAAGGAATACTACTTTACCCGTAAACAAGAGCAAAATAATGTCTTTTGTAGACTTGGATGGAGTTGGAGGCCATTATTCTAAGTGAAATAACTCACTAATGGAAAATAAAACACTCTATGTTCTCACTTGTAAGTGGAAGCTAAGCTATGGGTATGCAAGGCATACAGAGTGGTATAATGGAAACTGGAGACCTAGAAGGGGGAGAGTGGGAGGGGTGAGGGGTAAAATCTATGTACTGGGTGCACTGTACAGTACTCGGGTGACGGGTACACTAAGATCTCAGACTCTGCCACTATACAGTTCATCCCTGTTATACAGTTCATCCATGCCACTAAAACCACGGGTACCCCCAAAGCTATTAAAATAAAAAGGTAACAAATTAATAAAAATTTCATTAATTTTTTAAAAAGAAAAGATCCCTGTGAAGGAAACTGTAACCCAGGGCTGAAGGACTGATATGTCCCTGAGGCAGGCAGCAAGGGTGTGGCACTGGCCTTGCCAACTGAAAGCAAACTGCTTCTGGTGGGTCTTACGGACAGGGATGGAGAAAGGACACTCGCCACGAGTAGCTGCATGGCAGGTCCAGGAGATGCGTTCACCTGCTCAAGCAATGAAACCGCATGGTACAGCAGCTGCAACTGGGGTCACCACCTGGTGAAGCTTACGATAATCCCCTGCCATTCTCCAGGATGCAGCCGTCTTCTGCATAGGCCAAACAGGAGAGTGAAGTGGGGGTGTGGTAAGGCTCTCCACCCCTGCAGCTTTCAAGTCTCTGATGGTGGCACTAATCTCTACAATCTCTCCAGGGATGTGCTGCTGTTTTGATTTACAATTTTCCTAGGTAGAGGCAGCTCTATGGCTTCCATTTAGCCTTTCCCACCATAATGGCCCTTACTCCACAGCTTAGGGAACCAACGTGGGGATTTTCCGCCAGCTGCTGAGTACATTTATTCCAATTGTGCAGCTGGAACGGGGGAAATGACCACAGGAGGGGTCCAGGGACCAACTCAACCCACTGAGAGTCGGACCTGAGCTAAAACTCCATTCATCACCAGGCCCCCATAAGCCCTTATTCTGACTGGGGCGCAACAGTCAGATTATTCTAATTGTGGATTTGCTTCTGTGTCCATGACAGACATCTTGCCTTCAGCAGCTGAGTGCTGACACTTGGTCCCTGCCTCTCCAGGATCTAATTGTTCCCACTGCATGTAAGTTTTCCAACTGAGTGACTGCGGTTCCCACCGTAAGGTCCAGCTTGCAGAGAGGAGCAACCAGGGATGCCGGGGCCCCCTCATAAATCTGCTTCTCAAAGTATTGGTGAAAGGTGTGTTCTCTGGACCCTCCAGTGTGGGTGAGTGGGTTTTAAGTTACAAATCCACTCAAGCATTACAATTTCCCTAAGCCTTTGATTCCCCGTCCTCTATGTTAAACCAAGAGAGACCGGGCATCTCCAGCTCACTCCTGGTGGGCCACCTTCTGATCCCTGCTTCAAACTGTCAGCATCTTCTCAAACTCCCCAAGCAGCAACATTACATGCAGAATCTGGGGAAGATGTTGGTGTGACTCTGCAGTTCTAGCCAAGGGAGAAATACGCTGGTACAGTGATTATAAATTTTATTTCTCTCTTTCTTTCTCCTACCTGATGTAATGGTCCTAGCACCAAGGCTCTATCTACCAGCACCAAGTGCTGGAAGCAGGGATAATTCCTAAGAAACCGTAACTATGTTTTTAAACCTTCTGTCAGAATTCCCAAGGGCCGGATGGGAGTGGGTTGTGCTTTCACACCATCTGGTGAAACTGGGGCTAACAGTGAATGCAGTTATATAGCCTGCTGATAAAAATAGCCCACTAGTCCCGCACCTATGTAACCACACCCTATCTGAATGGAAGTGATCTAAGAGGAGGCATGTGCTAGATTACTTTGCTGCCTACGACCTAGATCCAGCACAGTGGCCAATTCCAATGTCCCTTCGAAAAGGGTGGGTATGAGAAAGAAAAGTTATATGGTGAGCCCCTTTAAATGATCAGGCCCAGAGAGGCACTGGAATAGGACAGCAGTCATATCCCACTTCTCACTTAAGAGAAGTACTCATCGCCTGAAGCCACGTGCTACGTGGACTCTAGACTGCCACCAACCACAGACACCGTAACTCACACCCTCTAGTTCCACAATGGATGGGCAATTATTAATCAATGTTATTTCTGTAAACCAATGATATTTCCTGCAAAACCCCTTTTATAATCACCCCTCTTCTCATTTGTCCTTTTTTTCTTTAAAAGCTCAAGCAGGCCATGCATGGTGCCTCACACCTGTAATCCTGGCACTTCGGGAGGCTGAGGCAGAAGTCCAGGAGTTCGAGATCAGCCTGGGGAACACAGCAAGACCCCATCTCTACGATAAAGAAAAAAATTAGCCAGGCACGGTGGCATGCACTTGCAGTCCCAGCTACTTGGGAGGCTGAGGTGGGAGGATCACTTGAGCCCAGGAGTTTGAGGCTGCAGTGAGCAATGATGGTGCCACTGCACTCTAGCCTGGGTGACAGAGTAAAATTCTGTCTCTAAAAAAAAAACAAAAACCACAAGCCTCTCCCTTGTTCTCCAGTGCTCTTCCCAAGGTAACTTAAAGTGTTTCCAGGGCTGCAATTCTCTCAACCCTGGCCCAAATAAACTCTGTCTATGTTAATTTTGCCTCAGTTTCTTCGGTTATGTCAATGTTTTTTGGCCCTGTGAGCAGGGTTCAGAGCTACCCACTCAGACACTGGGTGCCCCTGGACTCGATGCTCAGTACCAGAACAAACCCACTGTGTTCCTCCAATTCCACAGGTTCACTGGGGGCAAAAGGGTGAGTGCTCCTGAATCTGGACCCCCTCTCTTGTCAGATGAGGTCTAGACTTTATTTGAGTGGTTCTATCTCTCTTTTTCTAGAATGAAGGTTTCCATCTTTGTCTATGAGCAAGGGATTCGAGTTTCAGGGGGAAAAAAAGAAAACTGCCTTCTCCACCGCTGCTTCACAGCAGGAGGCCCGGGTCACAGTACTGGCATTCTGGCACTGGTGGCTGCACTTCTGGGCTGAAATTAGACAGCATGCTTTTTAAATTGCAGCTGCTTCTGACTAAGCTGCATGAGGGTAAGTCATCTTGCCTCAAAGAGAAGAGAAAATTGCCCCCTTTGACCCACTGGATTCTTTAGGCAACCAGAGACTTTGCAGAGGTATGGGGATGTTTTTCCATGCATGACGTGTTGGAGTCTTAAAGGGCCTCCCATTAGGAAGAAGACCAGTAAGGACTCTTGCTCAGCTGGAAAGGTATGAATAAGGGACTGGTCACTCTGATACCTGAAGCACTCTGCTGCCACAAGGTGATAAGAGATTCCAAGACACATAAGAACATGCCTCACGATTCACTGGTGACACCTGGAAGAGTGACACCCACAAAGCGGCACACCTCGACGCAATATACTGTCCTGGCCTTGGTCACTTTTGAGAAGGAAATTCTAAAATTATAGGAGGCTGGGTGTGTGGCTCACGCCTGTAATCCCAGCACTTTGGGAGGCTGAGACAGGTGGATCACTTGAGGTCAGGCATTTGAAACCAGCCTAGCCAACATCGTGAAACCCCGCCTCTACTAAAAACACAAACATTAGCTGGGCATGGTGGCTCACGCTTGTAATCCCAGCACTTTGGGAGGCCGAGGTGGGCAGATTACTTGAGGTCAGGAGTTCAAAACCTGCCTGGCCAACATCATGAAACCCCGTTTCCACTAAAAACACAAAAAGTAGCTGGGCGTGGTGGCTCATGCCTGTAATCCCAGCTACTTGGGAGACCGAGGCAAGAGAGTTGCTTGAACCCAGGAGGCGGAGGTTGCAGGGAGCTGAGATTGCGCCACTGCACCCCAGGCTGGGTGACAGAGCAAGACTCCATCTCAAATAAATAAATAAATAAAATTATAGGAAACTGCTCATTGAAACTGAGCTTTGCCTTAAAGGACAGCCCCCCCGCCCCGGCCCCGAAACACCAGCTGGATTTATGTCTAATACCTATGGAGCGCCATCCTGCAAATACCTAGGTAAATGGACCCAGCGGCGTGAGATACCCCAAAGTGCAATGGCCCAAATGAGGGTCTTGAAATTCCTAAATTAATGTATTTGTGCACACAATTGGAAAAGGCAGGATTTAGAACCAGACAAATCGAATGGAGACCTACTTCCTATTTGTCCTGGCTGCAATCTCATAAGAGATTTGAAAGGTACAATTATTTTTTTTTTAGGAAACTCCCCCAGAAAACCCTTTAAATGCTCCAACTGTCTGCTGAACTTTGCTGCAAGATTTACAAAAGACAAATAGCTTTAAATAATGATTACCCTAGACCTCTAATAAACAAATATGACCCACCTCCCAAAGCAAACTCCTTGATGTGAATTTCAGAAAGGGAAAGCCAAGGAACAGATAGGTTTGCTATCTGTTTAAAAACATTTTTTTGAGACTAGAGAAGAGGTCTTGCCATGTTGCCCAGGATTCTGGCCTCAAGTGATCTTCCTGCCTCGGTCTCCCAAAATACTGGGATTACAGGGGTGAGCCACTGCATCTGGCCGAATGTTTACTATCTGCCTGGCTAAAACCTGATTAAAAGTTTTTAAAGAGCTCTATAGTCAAAAGCTGACTTGATTAAAAGCTGATATTTGGCTACATATGTATGCACACACATACACACACACACGTATATATATATTTTTTGATGCCTCTGTTCTCTCTGATTTCCTCTCTTCTCAAACTGCTCCTAATTATACACAATCCCTCTTTCTTCTTGTTGACATGATTTTTGCCAAGGATAATGTAAAACTTAATTGCTTTATGGAAAACAAGATCTCCTTGACTGGCTCCTCTAAGTCCTGTTCTTTGATGTACCGCTGTCTGTCCCTCCTTCCTCTTGCCACCTTTGGTATCACATGAGTGAACCTCTGTTTATCCTCATGGAGCCCCAAGCATTGTGGGTAAACAGGCTCCTCTCAGGTCTAAAGCTCTATTCTCTTTTACATAGAGCTCCTTGATCTCTGTAACTTGTCGATACATACATGTGTACATGTGTGCTATATGTTGTGTCTACATATATGTTATGTCTATACATGTTTTTGTATATTATCTACATGATACAAAATTAAAGACAAACGAGCACTCACAAATTAGAAGGTAAACCGAGGCCAGGTGCAGTGGCTCATGCCTGTAATCCCAGCACTTTGGGAGGCTGAGCGGGGGCAGATCACAAGGTCAGGAGATCGAGACCATCTGGCCAACATGGTGAAACCCCATCTCTACTAAAAGTATGAAAAAATTAGGTGGATGTGGTGGTGCGTGCCTGCAATCCCAGCTACTTGGAGGCTGAGGCAGGAGAATCGCTTGAAACTGGGAGGCAGAGATTGCAGTGAGCCGAGATCGCGCCACTGCTCTCCAGCCTGGCGACAGAGTGAGACTCCGTCTGAAAAAGAAAAAAATAAAGAAAGTAAGCCCAAAGATTTTCCAAGTTCACATGACCTGAGTAAATCAGTAAATCTTTTGGCAAATAAAACTAGTTTAAAATTGTTTTTTTTTTTTTTTTTTTTTTTTTTTTTTTTTTTTTTTTGAGATGGAGTCTCGCTCTGTCGCCCAGGCTGGAGTGCAGTGGCGGGATCTCGGCTCACTGCAAGCTCCGCCTCCCGGGTTCACGCCATTCTCCTGCCTCAGCCTCCCAAGTAGCTGGGACTACAGGCGCCCGCCACCATGCCCAGCTAATTGTTTGTATTTTTAGTAGAGACGGGGTTTCACCGTTTTAGCCGGGATGGTTTTAATAAAAACTATGTCGGCGGCCCGGGGCAGTGGCTCATGCCTGTAATCCCAGCACTTTGGGAGGCCAAGGCAGGCGGATCACGAGGTCAGGAGATCGAGACCATCCTGGCTAACACGGTGAAACCCCATCTCTACTAAAAATACAAAAAATTAGCCGGGTGTGGTGGCGGGCGCCTGTAGTCCCAGGTACTCGGGAGGCTGAGGCAGGGGAATGGCATGAACCTGGGCGGCGGAGCTTGCAGTGAGCCGAGATCGCGCCACTGCACTCCAGCCTGGGCGACAGAGTGAGACCCCATCTCAAAAAAAATAAAAATAAAAAATAAAAATAAATAAATAAAAACTATGTTTTCTGAGTTACCAGCAAAATATGTATGTATCTAACTTTAAGGTTCTTACTTCTATGATACTTGCCTAACGTACAATAATAAAAAATGGTTAATAGAAAATTTAACTTGAGATGATGGTTGGATTTGTCTGTCTCACGAAATTTTCCCAACAATCACTAAAAATGAATAAATTAAATACATATAAATAGAATCAACTTTATAAATGAACTTTTAATAATAATTATGTTTTATAATATGCCTACTTAAAAAGGTTTCTCAAATCTTTTGGTAATTATGCCCTTAGGGTTTTACTAAGCTAAATTAATGACAAATATTCATTGAATATCTAGATCATTTCCAAATAAGAGATGATGCTAAGACAGTAACTACTAAATATGGCTTCTGACTTCTTATTTTAGAGAAACAAAAGATACTGAGATCTGTTAGGAAAAATGTCCTGTTCCATTGAAAAATTGTTCCATTAGAAACCCTATATTTCTAAAAATTATAAAGATGGCATCATAAATTACTGCTACATGACTAACAGTTAAAAATTGCTTGCTTCTTAGGTTTTTGCTATGAATTACGGTCACTAAGAGTTAAAATTCTAATATGTGATAACCAAGAGAAACAATTCTGTATACAGAACGTCTAAGATGTGGTTTTGGTAAGGAAGGTTATACACAAGACAGAGGATGTGGTTTTGTTAAAGGAAAAGCAATTTTACTTAGTTTAGAGGTAAAGGTTGTATTAAATTGAAGGAATAAAAGAAAGAAAAAATGAGATAAACTGAATAGATATGGAAAGTAGGGAGAAAAAAGAATGGAAAAATTTGTAAATTACAAAAGATTCATGGAAATCTTATTTTGTATGGTCAAAGCTGATTGAGATTGGATAGATTTGTTTATAAGGTTTTATTAAAATTAGCTTTACCATAAATAATACATTGATGCAAAGGAAGAATTTGTTTTTCTCTTTTGAGCAAAATTTTGGTATAGTATTTTTTTTTTTTTTTGAGACGGAGTCTGGCTCTGTCGCCAGGCTAGAGTGCAATGGCACGATCTTGCCTCACTGCAGCCTCCACCTCCCGGATTCAAGTGATTTTCCTGTCTCAGCCTCCCGAGTAGGTGGGACTACAGGCACATGCCACCAAGCCCGGCTAATTTTTTTTTTTTTTTTTTTTTTTTTTAATTTTTAGTAGAGACAGGGTTTCACCGTGTTGGTCAGGATGGTCTCGATCTCTTGACCTCATGATCCGCCTGCCTCAGTCTCCCAAAGTGCTGGGATTACAGGAGTGAGCCACCATGCCCGGCTGGTGTAGTATTAGTAAAAGATAATAAAAGATTTTTCAGCCAGGCGCAGTGGCTCACGCCTGTAATCCCAGCACTTTGGGAGGCCGAGGCGGGCGGATCATGAGGTCAAGAGATTGAGACCATCCTGGCTAACACAGTGAAACCCCGTCTCTCATAAAAATACAAAAAATACGCTGGGCGTGGTAGCAGGCACCTGTAGTCACAGCTACTCAGGAGGCTGAGGCAGGAGAATGGGGTGAATCCGGGAGGTGGAGCTTGCAGCGAGTGGAGATTGCACCACTGCACTCCAGCCTGGGCGACAGAGTGAGACTCCGTCTCAAAAAAAAAAAAAAAAAATTTTCTTTCACTTATCTTTTGGGTAAATTGCAAAACACAAAACAAAACAAAAATCCCAAAAAACAAACAAACAAACAACACAGAAAAAACAAAAAAGGGGAGAGGGAGAGAAAGATTCTGTTGCTCTTATGCTGTCTTTATTAGGTCTTTTGATTATTTGGGAAACTGAGTCTCCTCTCTACCAAAGAGTAAAGGTTTTTGCTTTTTGAAATCTTCTAATTAACACTTTGGCTAAATGAATGACTATATTATTTCACAGTGATGTGTGATCCTATTTTGATTAAGTGTTTCAAACCTTTGATGCATTTGTAGGGTTTACAAAACCAAATTTCAGGGCTGGGCGTGGTGGCTAACACATGTAATCCTGGCACTTTGGGAGGCTGAAGCTGATCACTTGAGGCTAGTTCAAGACCACCTTGGCCAACATAGCAAAACCCTGTCTCTACAAAAAATACAAAAAAATTAGCGGGGTGTGGTGGCACATGCCTGTAATCCCAGCTACTTGGGAGGCTGAGGCACAAGAATCAATTGAGCCCAGGAGGCCGTGGTTGCAGTGAGCCAAGATTGTGCCAATGCACTCCAGCCTGGGCAACACAGTGAGACTTTGTCTCCAAAAAAGAAAAAAAAAAAAAGAAAAATCTAATTTCAAAGAAAAATCTAATTTCAAATTCTAAAATTAAGTCTTTTTGACCTCGAACTAACTTCTGGATGTCAGGGACCCCGGAAGACCAAGAGAGACATATTAGGCTTATCTGGGATGTTAAAAACCATATGGGAAGTATTGTCACGTAGGAAATGGTGCTGATCTTTTTTGTTATATTTGTATGGGTCTCATTAATATATGTTCCAAAATTGTACAGATTTCTAAAAAAGAAACTATGTCCTCGTATATGTTATCAGTTATTAATTATGATTATTATGTTAAATTATATGCTGCAGAAATAGCCAAATTTCCTGGTCAATTGAGTCTTTAACCATGGCTGTTCTAAGTCCTCTGTCATACACAGGCAATTATTGTTTTACTTTAATTCTTCTCAAAAAGTATCTTACAGGCCGGGTGCAGTGGCTCAGGCCTGTAATCCCAGCACTCTGTGAGGCCGAGGCAGGTGGATCACCTGAGGTCAGGAGTTCAAGACCAGCCTGGCCAACGTGGTGAAACCCCGTCTCTAGTAAAAATACAAAAATTAGCCAGGTGTGTGGCAGGTGCCTGTAATCCCAGCTACTCAGGAGGCTGAAGCAGGAGAATCACTTGAACCCAGGAGGCAGAAGTTGCAGTGAGCCGAGTTTGCGCCATTGCACTCCTGCCTGGGCAACAAGAGGAAAACTCCGCCTCAAAAAAAAAAAAAAAAAAAGTCTAATCCGAAATTCCTCATTTTCCGGGAAAGCCAACTTAAAAGGAGTCTATATGGTCAGTCACTAATCTTGCTGTACTTTATGCAAATAAAGTATAACACTAAAACTTATTTTGAGAATAAATTGGTCTTGCTATTATTAGTGTCTTTGGTAAAACTGGGGGACTGGAAAGGAAAAATGATGCTTCAGTTGCACATCTGTGTTTAGATTCTAGCCCTGACCACTGTTTTTGGGTTTTTATTACTTGCCTACAGTTTGTACTGAATCTTGAATTCTATCTTGGCTACAGTAAGTCCCCAAAGCAGAAGCTGGGTTTCATTTTCCTCATGTTTTTAGCTGGCTCCCTAATTGGAAAAGGCTCTTTTTTTCATTCTGGCATATACATTCTTGTTTTCATTATAATCCTTATGTGCATTATATTTCTACTATTTAAATTACTAATCTTCTTGTTTTACTTCCGAGAAAATGAAAATCATGGTATTCTGAAGACTAGAGATGATTGGACACAGAGACGCAGCTGTATAAATCAGTGACTTGATTCAGGTCTTCTTTTTGCCACTCTGTGAGGCCATCCTACTTCAGCTTTTGGACACACTGAAAATTCCTCACTGAGCCATCTCCTTCCCCCTCCCCAACATAGAACAGGCCTGTCCTAAAGTGAGCCTTCCTAGTGACGAGGGACACCCTGACACTCAGACTCTGATCAATGCTTTTAAAAAGAAAGATTTTGACCAAAAGGGAAAAATGAGAAAGAAAAGAAACTTTTCCTTGAGTAATGCAAACCCCCTTTAAATGATTGAGCCTAGAGAGGAACTGGAATGAGGGAGCAGTCATGTCCCACTCCCCATCTTGAGAAAAACTCATCCCCCGAAGCCACTGACCCTGTGGACTCAAGAGTAAGAGTCCAGAGACAGCTACACATCAACCTCACAATGCCATACACGGATGCCATCACTTACACCCTGTAATTTAATAACGCAGAGCCAATTACTGATCAATGTTATTTTTTAAACCAATGAGAATTCCTGAAAGACACCCTTTGTAATCACTCCTCCCCGATTTATCCTTTTGTCTTTAAACGCTTGAGCTTATCTGTTCTCTGGAGCACTTCCCGAGATAACCTGAGGCTCCCAGGCTGGTCCTCAACCTTGGCCCAAATAAAATCTCTACTTATATTAATTTTGCCTCAGTTTCTTCCTTTAGGACAACAGGTATAAATGAAGAAACGGAGGAACATTTACGAGGGTAAACGAATGAATAAATGAGTTATGAATTAAGAAATCTCCAGTATTACATTAACACTTTGAAAGAGGCTCAGAACAAGGGTGACATTGTCTCTTATCTCAATTATACCTAATGCCTGAAAGGGGGGAGCCATATATTTGCTGAGATCACGCCTGCTTTTGGAAATTGGCAAGACTGAATAGAAACCTGCAAACCTGACTGGTCTCACCCTGGGAGACATAATCATATAATATGATGAACTAATTATTAATGACCTAATGGAGTTCTAGTAACAAACTGGCCAGTAATACCTTTTGAGTTGTATATTCTTTGGATATGAGGGAACTGTGTTTGAAGACCACGGGTGGCCAGTGGTACTATGAAATACAGGTTTGATATTCATCATGTACTGTTTTCTGGCACATAACTCCTAAAATCTTTGGAATCTCCAAAGTGATGTGTCTTTTTGCATGCTCATGTGTTGACTAATGGCTAGCCACCCCTATGTAGCTTCAGGATGGGGGCTGGTCACTGGAATGACCAAAGTGGGCCTGTAAGGTTGGAATGTTTCAGCCCCACCCTCCAACCTCCGGGAGGGGAGAAGGGCTGAAGGTTAAGTTGATCACCAATGACCAATGGTATAATTAATCATGTCTACATAATGAAGCTTCCATAAAAACCCGAAAGGACTGGGTCCAGGGAGCTTCTGAATAGCTGAACACATGGAGGTTCCTGAAGAGTGGTGCTCCAGGAGAGGGCGCGGAAGCTCTGCACTCCATCCCACACGTTGCTCTGCGCATCTCATCTGTATCCTTTGTAGCAGCCTTTATAATAAGCTGGTAAATGTGTTTCTCTGAATTCCATGAGGGAGTTCTCTAGCAAATTAATTGAACCCAAGGAGTGGGTCACAGAAACCCTAATTAATAGCCAGTCAGTCAGAATCACCGGCAAAATAACCTAGGTCTTGTGATCAGCATCAGAAATAAGGGACAAGTGGGGACTAAGTCCTCAACCTGTGGAATCTAATGCTATCTCTGGACAGATAGTGTCAGAATTAATTCAATAAGAGAACACCCAGCTGGTGTCCACTGCAGAATCGACTGCTTGGTTGCCGGTAGGGAGAGACCTCCACTCCCTTTCGTGACCAGTGGTCACAGAAATTTTCTGTGTAACTGTTGACTGAGAGAATAGAAAAAACACTTTGGGGCCGGGTGCCATGGCTCATGCTTGTAAGCCCAGCCCTTTGGGAGGCTAAGGTGGGCAAATTCCTTAAGCCTAGGAGTTTGAGACCAGCCTGGGCAACATGGTGAAACCCCATCTCCACAAAAATTACACAAATTACCCGGGCTTGATGGCACACGCCTGTAGTCCCAGCTACTTGGGAGGCTGAGGTGGGAGGATCGCTTGAACCCAAGAGGCAGAGGTTGCAGTGAGCCAAGATTTGTGCCACTGCACTCCAGCCTGGGTGACAGAGCAAGACTCTCTCTCAAACAAAAAACAAAAAACAAAAACAAAGAAAAAACACTTTGGTTGTTATTCCTATATTCTCACCTCCTTTAACAGATGAGGACACTAAGGCTGAGAAAAAAGGCACTAGGAGCCATGCAGCTGCTACCCAATCTGAGCTGGCTGTGAACCTAGGCGTCCTGAGCCCAGAGCCTGCCCCATCTAGCCCCTGCACTGGTGACCGCAGACTCTCTGCCTGCAGCCCACATGTAAAATAGGGATTTTTATATCACATCCATCACTCATCTGTACTTGTGTAAATGAAAAGTCATTTCCACAAAACAATATTTATACACACTTCCTCCAAACAATGAACCGTTTTTAATTCTCTGTTTGATGAAGACAAAAGTGCTGAAGCTATTCAACTGATTGTGGCCCAGAAACAGTTACAAGCATGGACTAGGGGTTCAAGTCTCAGCTCTGCCACTTCCCTGCTGGGTGACCTTGGAGGAGGGACATCTCCTCTCTAGGCCTCAGTCTGAATTCAGGCTGAATTCAGGTGCACAAAGGGCTCCCAGCAGTGCTGGGCCCAGAGTGAGCAGACCGCTGAGGAAACCGAGGCTAAGGGGAGCTCCCCCGCCCAAGGCCAAGGTCACGTCTTTGCTCTGCTTCCCTGGCGAGCTTCTGGTCTAGGAGGAAACTCTAGCATCCAGCAAGCAGGAGGTAGAGTCTTGGGAAGATGAACTGCCCCAGGGCACATGGAGCCTGAAGAACTGCGCAGAAAGGAGCAAGGCTGAAGGCCTGCAGGCATATGGATGGCCTGATGACAGGTAAGCCCTCATGTTCATGTGGGGGTCCCCAATGCTGCTGGGAGAGCCCCCATGGGGAAATGGGCCATGACAATTTAGGTGCTGGGTATTCTGTAAAAGACTCTGAATTCCCCACCCCCTCAACCCTCCCTGCCATCCGCCAGGCCTGGGACACAGCTCAGACGTGGCACACCCACAAGATGGCTGAAGCCAACCAGCCCAGCCTCAGGGAGTATGCGGGGTTGGGAGTATGCGGGGTTGGGCCCTAGACTGGGCCAGAGTCTTGAAAAGCCTGCTCCTTACCCTGGGGAAAGACACTCTTGCAGCCCCACACTTGACGAAGACCCTGCCTGCAGCCCCTGCTCCTTACCCTGGGGAAAGATGCTCCTGCAGCCCCACACGAGATGAAGACCCTGCCCTAAACCTGTCCTTGGGGCTCCTCTCTTCTGCCCCACTGTCTCCCCAGGCCCCCTTCCCACCTGGAGCCCTGCCCCAACCCAACACCGACTGTCCTTGGTTACTCATTACTGAGCCCTGCAGCTCGTGACCTTTACTCAACCATGTCATCACAGCCACAGCCATCCGGAGGCGGCCACTCCTCTTGTCACCATTTTCTAGATTAGGACAGGAAGAGACAATGAGGGAGGGGCTTGGCCAAGAATGGCTTGGGAGCCCAAGCTGGGAAGGCCTCTGCTCTGCTGCCCCTGCCCCCACCCTTCTAGGTGTCGCCCTAACCCCCCGCCACATCTCTGCCCCCATCCTAACATGTGTCCCCTGGACTCATGCTTAGCTCAAGCCTTCACCTGGCCTGAAGTCCACCCTCCACCCCAGGCCAGCGGCCAACAGCCAGGACAGTGTCTGAGCTGGCTCCACCGACTGCAGACTCGTGCTTCTCAGCCCCGCGACCAACTGCAGACTCGCGGCTCCCAGCTCCCTGGTTGCCCCTCCCTACACGACACAAGCAGCTCCGAGTGTGATGGTTGCAAGGGAAGGAGGGAGTGAAGTGTGTCTGTGTCGGGGGGCAGGATAACAATCCTCTCGACACACACTGACCAAGCCCCCTGCTGCACCATCCCCATGCGCAGGACAAGCGCACGGCCCCGTCTCAGGGAGCGAACTCTGAGGTGGGAGAGATAAGGCCCTGAGGCCAGGCCTCCTGGGTTCAAATCCCAGCTCTGCTACTAACCAGGTGGGGGTCACTGGGCAGGTGACTTCACCCCTTAGGGACTGTTTCCTCATCTGTGCAAGGGGAGTAATCCCAGTTCCCACGTCCCAGGGTGCTGTAATGATTCAGCCAGCCTCCCTGAAGGAAGATGCAGAGCACACCTGGTGTGAAGGTGTGTGCTCGCTCTGCAGAGCCTCATACCGTCAGGATTTTCATTAGGTGGGTGAGGGCACTAGCGAATTCTCACTGTGCCCTAGGTCCCCTCCCTCATCAGCATATCACACATATCCTGTCTGCTGTCCCTGGCAGCATATCACCCTTCTTGTTTTTTTTTTTGAGACAGGGTCTCACTGTGTCGCCCAGGCTGGAGTGGAGTGGTGAGAGCATAGCTCACTGCGGCCTTGAGCTCCTGAGCTCAAGTAATCCTCTTGCCTCAGCCTCCTGAGTAGCTGGGACTAAAGGTGCGTGCCACCACGCTTGGCTAATTTTTGTATTTTTTGTAGAGATGAGGTCTCCTCCCTATGTGGCCCAGGCTTGTCTTAAACTCCTGGGCTCAAGCAATCCTCTCACCCTGGCCTCCCAAAGTGCTGGGATTACTGCCGTGAGCCACTGTGCCCGACTGCCCTTCCTCTTTTCTTCAAAGTGCAGATCCTCACCTGCAATTATTCTGCTAACCTATTCAGTGGTGGGTTTTCTGCCTGCCCCTGAAAGACAAGCTCCACCAGAAGAAGAGAGGCTGTGTGGCTCCTGTCCAGCACCAGCACTAACAATGACAGTAACCATCAGGTGAACCATCACAGGACACTGACCCCGGGCCAAGTACTGGTCTACTCGTGTGAAAGGCAAAAGCTCACTTTTCCTCACCGCTACCCTTGAGGCTGATCCTCTTGTTCTCCTCATTTCACGGATATGGAAAGGAAGGTGTGGCGAGGCGGGGTAACTGGCTCAGGGTCACAAAATGTGAGATGGCTGAGCAGAGCTGTGGCCTGGGTACTCTGGCCTGGGCCCAAGGCCCCACAGGCACTTGCTGGCTGGCTGAGTGGTAAGTAGAGGAGTGAATGGCTCCTCACACCCGTCCCCGCCAGCCCAGCCCTCAGTATCTGCCTGGCTCAGGTGCCAGGCCTGGCCCACTCCCCAGCTCACCGTCTCGTAGTCTCGCAGCGCGGCCCGGAACTTGCCCAGTGCCATGTTGCTGGCAGCCCGGCGGTAATAACCCTTGATGTACTTCTTGTCCAGCTCAATGGCCCGCGTGGCGTCTCCCAGCGCGTAGCCATAGCACTCAGTGCGCAGGTAGGCCAGGCTGCGGTTGCCATAGTAGATGGCATTGCTGGGGTTCAGCTCGATGGCCTGGCTGTAGAACTTGATGGCGTTCTCGTAGTCCTTGGCTGCGGAGACAGAAGAAGAGGCATGAGGCAGTGCTCCAACCCTGCGAGGACAGGCCCTGGGCTGGGTGACGCCCAGTCTCCCTGTTCACAGATGGGGAAGCTGAGGGCTACCCTGAGCCCAGAGACATCTCTTCAGCCTGCCCCTCCTGCCTGTCCCAACCAACCTAGCTCAGGGCTTGTCCTCTCGGCCACAGTCTCCAGGACTCCACACACCCGCCCACCCACCCCTCCAGCCCCAAGCTGGGCACTAGCAGCAGACTGAGGGAAGAGCACTCCGATAGCAAGAAGAGCAGGTGCAGAGGCCCAGAGGTGGTTGAGCCTTGTCTGAGGGCCAGTGAGAGCTGAGGCAGCTGGGTGGAGTGGGCAGGGGGAGGAGAGATGAGGCAGGGAGGCTGGTGGGACAGATCCCTGGGCCCCGGGCAGCCACAGTGAGGTCTGGACACTGATGTTCTAAGTGTGGAGTGACAGGATGTGACATCTGGCCAAGGAGGAGAGGTCGGATTTTATTTGAGATGAGCTATAGCTGTACCCTGCACTTTACCTCGTGACCTGTGGAATCCTCATGTCTCCACGGGAGTAAGGACCATCTGGTGCTCATTTTACAGACAAGCCATGGAGGTCTTGCTCAAGGTCAAATGCCCTGTCTGCACCTGCAGAGCCAGGCTTGATCCCTCCCTCGTGCCCATTTGACAGGCAGGAGAGCCAAGGCTTAAACAGCCTTAGAGGCTTGTCCCCACTGGGGGCCGTGATGTACCAGAGCCATGCAGGGCTTTAGTACACAGGTCCCCCTTCACTGAACTCTCACAAGCCCAGGGAAACTACATTAACCCCCGTCTCCAAATCTGGGGACTGAAGCTCAGGGAAGAAAGGCCGGTGCTCAAGGTCACACAGCAGGTGACAAGTGGGCCTTCTTTTTTTTTTTTTTTTTGAGATGGAGTCTCGCTCTGTCGCCCAGGCTGGAGTGCAGCGGTGCGATCTCCGCTCACTGCAAGCTCCGCCTCCCAGGTTCACACCATTCTCCAGCCTTAGCCCCCCGAGCAGCTGGGACTATAGGCGCCCGCCACTATACCCGGCTAATTTTTTGTATTTTTAGTAGAGACGGGGTTTCACCGTGTTAGCCAGGATGGTCTCGATCTCCTGACCTCGTGATCCTCCTGCCTTGGCCTCCCAAAGTGCTGGGATTACAGGCGTGAGCCACAGCGCCTGGCCGAGAAGTGGGCCTTCTGAGCCAGGCCAAGACCAAAAGGCTCCCACTCTCACGCCCCATGCCATGGTGACCTCTGGGCAGGAGCGTGGCACAGGGGTAAGCACAGAGGCAGGAGTAGGTGGCCTGGGCCCAGTCCCTAGCTCTGCCTCTTACTACCTGGGTATCCCTGGGCTACTGAGGAACCCCCTGTGGACTAGGGTTTCCTAGAGTCCTTCTACCAGCAGCCCTGCACAGAGTCCCCACCCTCACTCCCATTTTAATGTTCTCAACAGCACTCCGAGAGTCCTTCTTACACACAGCCCTGCCCTCCCAGGGCTTACCATCCAGTGGAGGAGACAGATCCATCCCTAGACAGTGGTGCCCAGTGTTTAGGGTTGGGGCAGCTCGGAGGGGACACTGGGGCTGAGACCTGGAGGATGGGAGTCAGTTGGTTGAAGAGATGGAAGAAGAGAGTCCCAGGCTCCATGAGTGGCTCCAGAGGGAAAGGAAGGAGGGATGCAGAGAGAGATGAGGACTGACATTACAGAAGGGAGAAGCCGGGTCCTGGGGATGTGGCCAGCAACAATCTAACAACATTCCTCTTTGCCACGCCAACTCCTGGCAATCTTTCAAATGCTCACATGTCCCCTCCTCCGGGAAGCCCTCCTTTACTCCCAGGCTGGGTCAGGCCCCCGACTGGGCTGCCCCAGCCCCTGGGATCTCCTGTGCCAGCCCTGTCCACTCTCATCGTCACTGTTGAGTAATGAGTGTGTCCCTCCAGAGCTGTAAGCCCCAGGAGGGCAGGGCCCGGGACTTCCCAAAAACAAACAAGGGCAGAACTGGGCAGCCCAGATCTGACCGACCCTCCCTGGAATGCCAGCGCCTTTGAGGACTCCTTCAGGCCTCCTGGCTGTGGTCCAGAGGCTGCCTGGCCCGCGCTCCTGATGGGGCAGCTGTTACTCCAGTGGCACAGGGAGGGGATCCTGGAGTCTCAGGGCCTGCCACCCGGCTCTGCAGATCTCTAACTCGAGGCTGCAGGCAAATAGCCTCCTCTTTCTGAGCTCTGCCTCACTGGGTGGCCGTGAGGATTTTACGAACTTGTGTAAGAAAACTGGCTGCAGCAAAAGAAGCAGGCAAAAGAAGTGAATGCGTGAATGACTAAATGAAGGGAGGAAGTGAAGGGAACAAGAGGAAATGGGAGGAGCCTGTACTCCACGGGTCGACCCACATGCCATATCCTGGCCCTGTTCTATGCGCTTTACAAACAGGACCATATTTAAGCCTCAAGACATTCCCCATTTTAGATGCAAGGAAACAGAGGCCCAGAGAAGTTAAGTCATTTGCCCAGGCGTCATCAAGCAGGTAAAGGAAGACATAGGGTTTGAACCCAGGCAGCCTGAGCTCTCAACCATGGCCTGCTTCCTCCCCACAAGCTCTTATACCTGGAGCCTCCTTAGGGGTTAAGCATAAGCCCCCACCCCCCATTTTACAGAAGCGGGGCACTGAGGCCCACAGAGAGGGGAAGACAGTTGAGACACTTCCCTTAGACTCAGACATGAGACGGGGGACGAGGCTCTGCCCCCAGGATTTCTGGAATAGGCCTGAACTTACAGAGCAACCAGCCACAGTTGAGGGGACAGTCCTCTGAGCCCTGGGACCTCTCTTCTCCCTGCTGGGGCCCCTCTTCTCCTCAACAGGGCCAGTACAGCTCTGGGAGGAACCTGAACGTGGGAGCCAAGCACGTGGCGAGGAAGGGGATATCCGGGCCCTGCTGCTCACACACTCTGACCTTGGGCGAGTGGTTTTTTCACTTCTCCGAGCCTTGCTTCCTTTATAAAACAAACAGGGCCACTCCTAGCCATCTCCCAGCCCCCGGGGAGGATTAAACCCCACAGCGTACCTGGCCACAAGGCTCAATTAAGGTGAGCTGTCATTATTCTTTTTTATTGTTATTCCCACAGCCCTGGAGCCTGGGGCTCTGTGCCTGCTACTGCCTGACAGACAGCAAGGGGCCTGGGCCAGCAGGGCCGTTCTCCTCCGTGCCAGCTCAGTGCCAGGCCCCTCTGGCTGCCTGCCCAGCCCCAGGACTCCTGAGAGCCTGGATCCCAGGTCCTGGGGGGCAACAGGCTCCTCCCAATGGCTGCTGTGGCCCAGAATTCTGATGCGGCCTCAGCAGCAACCCCCATGCAGGCTGCTCCCATCCCAGGGAATTCCACCTTCCACCCCATCACCTGGCTGAGACAGCCTCATCCTGGACTCCTCTCCATCCCTCAGCCCCCAAAGCCCGGTAGTCACTTCACTTATTCTGCCAAGTCAGCCTCCTGAACATCTCTCAGATTCAGCCACTCCCTTCTCACCCTCCAGCCCCACCCAGCCCTGGTCTGGCCTCTCCTGCCCAGGTTCCTGGCTCAGCCTCCACCTGGCCTCGCAGCCTCTTGTCCTGCCCCTCCAGAGGGGTGTTCCTAAAACACAAACCTGACCCTGTCCTTTCCCTACTCAGAACCTCCCAGGGCTCCCCAGAGCCCCACCCCCCACCGCCACCCCACCCCAGAAAGCCCTGGCTCCTTCCTACAGCCCTGCGCAATCTACTCCCTGCAAACTCATCATAACCTCCTCCAGCCTCCTACGCTGTGGCCCCACTTATGGCCTCCATGCCTGGCTCTGCTCACCTTTGGGCCTTTGCCACCTGTTTTTGTTTTTTTTTTCCCTGCCTGGAGTACCGTCCACCCTCTCTCCAGGCAGCCACTCTCACTTCCTCCCTGAAACACTTCTTGAATCTATTTCTGTCCCTCCAGCCTGGCTGGCGATCACCACCCCTCCTCACCTGTCCACTAATCTAGACTCCTTCCTGTCTTACCCTGGAGTCCAGTCTCTGCATGGCAGCCAGGGATCTTTTCTGAACACTAACTGAACCACAGCACCCCGCTCTTGAAACTTCCCATGGCATCGACCACCCCCAGGATGACACCCATATTCCCCAATCTGACTTCCAAGGTTCTACCTCTGGCCTCATCTCTCACTGGTCCTACCTCCCTCTCACGGCTCCCACCGGATCGAGCTTCTCCACACTTTGCTTCTGCTCCCGTTGGAGGCCAAGTCTCTTCCAGGGCTCCAGACCCTTCCCACCTCCGCCTTCTCCAGGGTTTTGCTGCTGCAAGTCCCCCCTCTCCTGTGCAGAATCAATTCTCCATCTCTATTGGACTCTACTCTCTTCCATCCTTACAAAAAATCCATCTTTCCCTGACACTGCATCTTCTCTCTTTTTTTTTTTCTTGAGACGGAGTCTGTTGCCCAGGCTGGAATGCAGTGGTGTGATCTTGGCTCACTGCAGCCTCTGCCTCCAAGGATCAAGCAATTCTCCTGCCTCAGCCTCCCAAGTAGCTGGGACTACAGGTGTGTGCCACCACACCCAACTAATTTTTTCAGCAGAGACGTCGTTTCACCATGTTGGCCAGGTTGGTCTCGAACTCCTGTGCACGTTCTCGTCTTACCACCCTCCCCCATTTCTCCACTCCCCTTCAGAACCAATACTCCTAACACTTAACATTTGCTGTCTCCACTTCCTCCCCTCCCATTCACTCTTCAGCACCTCCTGGCTGCATCACCCCCATCACTCCCCAATAACTGCTCCTGTCAACATCACTACCAGCATCCATGGAGCCAAAGCCAATGGCCAGTGCTTGCCTTGGCAGCATCGGACTAAAGGCACCAGCTCCTTGTTCTAGAAGCGCTCCCTTCTCTCAGCCTTCCCGACACCTTTCCTGGCTTCCTTTCCACCTCACTAAGTGCTCCTCCTTAGCCTCACCCTCTTCCATTTGGGTTCTGTCCTAAGTCCCCCCTCTAGACCCTCTTACTAGATGATCTCATCCATTCCCAACCATAGTTTGATCACACCCAAATTCTTCTCCAGTCCAGACTGGCCCATTTACTTAATGTGTCTTCTTGTAGGGCTGGGCGTGGTGGCTCATGCCTGTAATCCCAGCACTTTGAGAGGCCGAGATGGGCGGATCACCTGCGGTCAGAGGTTCGACACCAGCCTGGCCAACATGGCGAAACCCCATCTCTACTAAAAGTACAAAAATTATCTGGGCATGGTGGTGTGCGTCTATAATCCCAGCTACTCGGGAGGCTGAGGCAGGAGAATCGCTTGAACCAGGGAGGCGGAGGTTGCAGTGAGCCGAGATTGCGCCATTGCACTCTAGCCTGGGCAAAAAGAGCAAAACTCCCGTCTCAAAAAAAAAAAAAAAAAAAAAATTCCAAACTGGTCTTTGTAATGACTCACGGAGACCCTGCATGATCTGGCCTCTGTCCTAATCTCATCTTGTTATTGGTCTCCCCCTAAGTAGCCAAAGCCCCAGCCATGCCAGTACCCTTTCATTCCCCATCCCAGGGCCTTTGCACAGGCTGCTTTACCTCCCTGGAACACTCCTCTCCAGTTCTCCCTCTGTGAGTTTCAGCTTAAACGCCTCCTGCTCAGTAAGGCCTTCCCCCACTACCCTATCTAAAGTAGCCTCCAACCCTTATTCTCTACTTCATCACACTGCTGGTTTGCTTTCAAAGCACTCATCACAATTTAAGTATTTTACTTATTTACATGGTTTTTTTTTGTTTTTTTTTTTTTCATGTCTGGTTCACCTGCAAAATTACAAGCTAAGGACAGGGCCACATCTGTCTCATTCACTGCTATATCCCCAAAGTCAAGCACAGTCCTTGGCACATAACAGGTACTCAATAAATATTTGTTGAATTAATGAATGAATGGGTGCCCCACACTTGACTCTCAATATTCTAAGTGATACTATTCTTAAGGATCCCCACCCTTACTCCCAAGGCCCCCACCATCACATTCCTTTTCCTCGGGTCAGCCCAAATCTCCTACTTCCTTGTTCCCCCCATCTAATGATCCATTCCCCACCCCCACGATTGCCTTCTCTATTGGGGCTGTGCCCCCTCTACCCCCCACTTGGCGGCACCCACCCCAGGACTCCCCATTTGGTAGCGCCATCAATCACTCCCCCACCACATGTCACTGCCTGGTAGCGCCCTCTACAGGCCTCACGTTTGGTAGCGCCCTCATTCCAGTCCCCCTCTCGCCCCACAATTGGTGGCGCCCTCCTCAGTCTCTCCACTGAGTAGCACCCGCTCCGCACGCCACTCCTAGGTATCACTCTCCGAAGCCCCCTATGTCGCTCCTTGGCAGCGCCATCCTGGGCCTCCCCACGCCCGGTCACTTGGTAGTGTCTGCCCCGCGCCCAGGCTGCAGCTCCGCGTTGCTATGGTTCCGCGCGGGCCCGGCACCCCTCAGCCTGGGCCACTGTCCACCCTCCCTGCCAGGCGGGCGCACCTTTGAAGTAGTCATTGGCCTGAGTCTTGAGCTCCTCTGCCCGCTTCAGAGCTCCATCAGCCGGGGGTTCGTCCCGGGGGGGCTCAGCACACTCAGTCCTCTCGCCCTCCGCCATCGCCATGCCGCAAAGCGACCCCTACCCTGGCAACGGCCGCCAGCGGCACCCGGCCGAACCGTCGCGAAGGAGCGCCGGGTGGCCGCCGCCGCTGCCGCACAAGTGTCGTAAAGCGCGGGCCCTGAAGGCGCCCTTCACGCGCCTGCGCAGGTCCCTTTCGCCACAGAGCGCGCGGAGGACAAGGTGACCAGAGGTTCCCCAGACGGTACCCCTGGTAGAGAGAGCCAATAGGGAATGAGAGAAGGGGCGCGCGGGGAAACAGACCTGGTGTGGCCTCTCCTCCCAAAGTTACCGTGTTCCAAGGCTGTAAAAAGTTTCTCGGTTCTGAAAGTGGGATTTCCCCGCTGTCCTCTAGGGTTGGGGGGTGGGTTGTGAATGTCGCTGGCGGGTGTGGCTGTTTTGCAAGGCAGCGCCATGCCCTACGCGGAGCCGGACCCGGGCGTCGAGCCCTATTGTCGACTACCTGTGTGACCTTGAACAAATCTTCCCTTCCTCTCTAGGGTCTCAGTTACCCATCTCTGAAAAATTAGTGGTTTCTCAAGCCAAAAAGGGTCCAACCTTGAGGGTCAGTGTTTGAGTTTTTAACTGAAGGCACTCTGGATTTCAAGTCCTGAGCAAGGCTTAGAAGTGTGTTGCACCATCTCCTTTCTTCCTGTGTTCAGCTTCCCAAATCCTGAATCTTCAAATAAACTCTCCTGTTTGTGTTTTTACAGATTCTCTTGTCTGAGATCACAGCATTGATTGCATGCACTCTGCCTCCCTCCAGTTTACCCTTCACATTTTTTTTTTTTTTTTTTTTTTTTTGAGAGGGAGTCTCCCTCTGTCGCCCAGGCTGGAGTGCAGTGGCGCCATCTAGGCTCACTGCAACCTCCGCCTCCCGGTTTAAGCGATTCTTCTGCCTCAGCCTCCCAAGTAGCTGGGATTACAGGCGCCCGCCACCATGCCCGGCTAATTTTTGTATTTTAGTAGAAACGGGTTTCACCACGTTGGCCAGGCTGGCCTCGAACTGCCGACCTCAAGCTATCCGCCCGCCTCGGCCTCCCAAAGTGCTGGGATTACAGGCGTGAGCCACCGTGCCCGGCCGAGGGATCTTTCTAAGACATGATAAAACCATGGCACACTCTCGCTCCCAGGCTTCCATGGCCCCAGCACCCTTAGGAGAAAACCCAAACTCCTGATTAGGAGACCCTGAATAGTCTTAACCTCAGGCTGAATAGTCTAATATCCAGATTCCACCCCTTTGCCAATCCCCACCCGCCGTACACGCTTCCAGTCTGTCCTTTCTAAGCCCTCATGTAGCACTAAGTCCTGTAAGGCTCTGGATCCCCTCCTGGAAGCACACTCCTAAACCTATCTATCCCACTCCCAAACCTCTTGTTAGTCCAACCCCATCTCTCCTACTGGCCCCCAGCACAACCAACAATCACCCTAAAGGGCAGATATTAGTATCATCTCCATTTTACAGATAAAGACACAGACTTGCAGAGGTGTTTGACGAAGGTCACAACAACATAAGAAGGTGACAGAGCCAGGATCAGGAATCCCATCTAATTCCTATGTCCTTCATTGCCACTCTACTGCCTCTGTAGGTGCCAGAGCCCATCTTGGTGGGTTAGTAAATTTTTCTTTTGTTTGTTCGTATTGTTTGTTTTGGGGTTGGGGGAAAAGGAGCTGCCATAGTGGATTTGAATTCTGGTTTCGAGTCCAGCGGAATCCTTCCTGACACTGTGACCTTGGGCAAGTGATCACCCTCTTCTAAGCCTCAGTTTCAACCTCTGTAAAGTGGGGATAATAATTATCCCCATCATACAGGATTAGAGGAGAGTTCGACAACATGAGTACAGCATTTGTCAGGGAGCCTGACACAGAGTAGTACTTTTATATTCACTCCATCACAAATACTCAAAGTGGGCTGGGTATGGTAGCTCATGCCTGTAATCGAAGCACTTTGGGAGGCCAAAGCAGGCAGATCACTTGAGGTCAGAAGTTCAAGACCAGCCTGGCCAACATGGCAAAACCCCGTCACTACCAGAAATACAAAAATTTAGCTGGGCATGATGGTGCGCACCTATAGTCCCAGTTATTAGGGAGGTTGAGGCAGGAGAATTGCTTGAACCTAGGAGGCGGAGGCTGCAGTGAGCCGAGATCGCGCCACTGCACGACAGCCTGGGCTACAGAGTGAGACTCTGTCTCAAAAAACAAATAAAACAAAACAAATATTCAGAGTTGGGCAGAGTGCCTAGTGCTGTGATGGGAGGGGGCTTCCAAGGGGAGCTTTTAGGGGCACTTTACCCAATTGGAGCAGGCAGGGAAGGCTTCCTGGAGTAGCTGTTACCTAAACCAAGATGTGAAATATGAGTAGGAGGTAACCAAGTGAGGGGAGAGGGGAAGGGAGAGAGGCATTTCAGGCAGAAGAATAGGAAGTGCAAAGGCTTGAGAGTGTTTTTCTTCCCTTGAAGAGATTCCTATGTGCAACCCTGTATGGGGGGTTATGAGAGTGACGTACATGACAACAGACACACCCACCTGCACATGAGTCCATGGACACACACTCTTGCACACACATGCTCACTTAACTATGGGCAATCATGTCACACACACATTGGTACCCAGAATTATAGCATCAAGCAGTCCCACACATGTACACAGAATCACATCATACAGACATACATAGGCAAAAAAAAAAAAAAAAAATCACAGCACCTTCCACACTCAGAAACACAGAAACCCAAAATAACCAGAAACACACATAAGGCAGAATCACTTCACCCAGATACTAATATGCACTTGTAGAAGGAATCACAACCCCACCCACCTGCTGCAACACAGGTTCACAGAATGTGACAAAGACCCATACACATACACAGAATGACACTGTGCACACACTCGTGTGCATGCACACACACACACACATACAGATACACAGAATCAGAAAGTAACATGGGGCTGGTGCAGTGGCTCAAGCCTATAATCCTAGAACTTTGGGAGGCTGAGGCAGGAGGATCGCTTAAACCCAGGAGTTTGAGACCAGCCTGGGCAACATGGTAAGGCTCTGTCTCTACAAAAAAATGAAAATAATTAGCTGGGCCTCGTGTCATGCACCTGTAGTCCCAGCTACCGGGAAGGGTGAGATGGGAGGATTGCTTGAGCCCAGGAGGCTGCAGTGAGCCGTGATCACACCACTGCACTCCAGCTTGGGTGAGATAGTGAGACCCTGTCTCGAAAGAAAGAAAGGGCCTGGCATGGTGGCTCATGCCTGCAATCCCAGCACTTTGGGAGGCCGAGGCGGGCAGATTACCTGAGTTCAGGAGTTCGAGACCAGCCTGACCAATGTGGTGAAACCCCATCTCTATTAAAAACACAAAAATTAGCTGGGTGTGGTGGCACATGCCTGAAATCCCAGCTACTTGGGAGACGGAGGCAGGAGAATCGCTTGAACCTGGGTAGTGGAGGTTGCAGTGAGCAGAGATTGTGCCACTGCACTCCAGCCTGGGCAACAGAGTGAGACTCCAAGAAAAAAAAAAAAAGAAAAGAAAGAGAGAGAGCGGAAGGAAGGAAGGAAGGAAGGAAGGAAGGAAGGAAGGAAGGAAGGAAAAAAAAAAAGACACTCAGCCACCAGTGCACCCACACTCCCAGAGGAGATCCAAAAGATGAGTCAACACGCAGAGCTCTGGTGCCTACCAAGGTGAGGTCTTTATGGTGTATAGAGATTGGTGAGTTTCAGAGCCAGTGTGGCCAGTCTAGTCCCTCCCCTTTCCCTAGCCCAGCACAATTCCCTCCATTGAGGGCCCACATCACCTCCAGAGGGAGGAGGGAGGGGTCAGACCCCCCCATAGCACCAATCTGGATAGGCCACTCTCTGACAAAACAGAGCGAGCAGTGCCTTCCACAAACGGGGTAAATGGGGCTAA
This sequence comes from Homo sapiens, assembly GCF_000001405.40. Taxonomy (NCBI): domain Eukaryota; kingdom Metazoa; phylum Chordata; class Mammalia; order Primates; family Hominidae; genus Homo; species Homo sapiens. The sequence goes on along the minus strand of NC_000019.10, from coordinate 46,343,191 downwards.
GAAGGGGGGAGGCCTTTTCCTGTGGGAGACCAAGAGTAGCACCATCTGTAGAAAGAAAGCTGGGGGGTAAGGGAGGCACATAGATGGTGGCAGACAGCTGAGGGGTCCTGGCTTCTCTCCCCACCTGGCAATATGCAGACAGCACCGTGCCTGTGCATGTGCCTGTGTGGCTGGAGAAGTCTTCAGATTGCAAACCACCCAAGGGGTGAGGGAGCCCCAGGTGCCCCAAACATGTGGGGTAAAGTCAAGGTAAGTGCATGTCTGGAGGGCTGGGGTGGGAAGTGGAGGGGGTTCTGGGGCACAGAGATTGTAGGCAATGAGAATGGAGAGGCATGAAGTCCAGGAGCAGCACAGCCTAGAGGGTAGGGGTTTAGAATGGGAAAACTTAAGACTGAAAGAAGGAATTGGGTAAGTTCAGTGGGGTGGGAAGCCCAGAATAGATTTAGGAGGCTGGGGTCTGGAATTAGGGAGTTGAGGTTATAAGATTCAGAACCAGAGGAATCTTTAGGGAAAAGTCTAGATTCCAGAATCAGAAGCATTTGGAGGCTGAATTATAGAATCAGAGGAATTTGGATCTGAAATCAAAGGCAGTTGGAAGCTGTGAGGCTTAGAAGCAGAGGAATTTATAGAATAAAGCATAGAATTAGAAAAAGCCTGGCTGGGCTCAGTGGCTCATGCCTGTAGTCCCAGCACTTTGGTGAGGCCAAGGAGGGAGAATTGCTTGAGCTCAGTAGTTCGCGACCAGCCTGGGCAACATGGTGAAACCCCGTCTCTATTTTTTTTTTTTTAACAAAAAAAAGGAAAAACAAAAGCCTAAAATCTGAGTTCTAGAACCAGAGAGATTTGGGAACCATAAGATCTAGAATCAGAAGGAGTTGAGGGTGGTAAGATCTAAAACCAGAGAAATGTATAAGGCAAAGTCTAAAATCAGAAGATATTTGAAGGCTGAATTCTAGACCCAGGGTAATTTGGAGTCAGATCTTGAGTGAGGAGGAGCTGGAAATGATGAAGTCTAGAGCCAAGGGAACTTACGGAATGAGGTCTAGAATCAGAAGGCACTTGTAAGTCAGTTCTAGAACCAGAGAAACAGCAGATCACCAGATCTTGAATCAGGACCCTGGAGGTGGCACCTTCTAGAAGTTGTGTAGTCTGGAACTAGTGAGTGGTACAGGTCATGAGGTTCAGAATCTAGGAGAACTAGAGCATCGTCTGGTTCTAGAAGAACTGGTTATTATAAGATAAGGACAGGGTCGGGCACGGTGGCTTATGCCTGTAATCCCAGCACTTTGGGAGGCTGAGGCGGGTGGATCATCTGAGGTCAAGAGTTCAAGACCAGCCCCTCCAACTTGGCAAAACCCCGTCTCTACTAAAAAATACACAAAGGTAGCCGGATGTGGTGGTGGGCTCCTGTAATCCCACCAATTTAGGAGGCTGAGGCAGGAGAATCACTTGAATCAGGAGGCGGAGGTTGCAGTGAGCCTAGATGGCACCATTATACTCCAGCCTGGGCAACAGAGAGAGACTCCATCTCAAAAAAGAAAAAAAAAAAAAAGAAGAGGAAGAAAAAAGAGATAAACACATCAAACTCTCTGTACTTGTTTTTGATGAGAGAAAATGAGTCTTGGTTATAGAGAACTGCAGAAGAATAAGCTGAGCCTCATAAGGTCTAAAACAAAAGTGATTTAGAAATTAAGAAGTCTGGCCAGGCTCACTCCTGTAATTTCAGCACTTTGGGAGGCTGAGGCGGGTGGATCAGTTGAGGTCGGGAGTTCAAGACCAGCCTGGCCAACATGGTGAAACACTGTCTCTACTAAAAATATAAAACTTAGCTGGGCGTGGTGGCACATGCCTGTAATCCCAGCTATTTGGGAGGCTGAGGCCCAAGAATTGCTTGAACCCAGGAGGTGGAGGCTGCAGTGAGCCGAGATTGAGCCACTGTACTCCAGCCTGGGTGACAGAGTGGGACTCTGTCTCAAAAAAAAAAAAAAAAAAAGAGAGAGATTAAGAGGTCTGGATTTGGAACCAAATGTATTACCGATCAGGAGAACTGGAACCAATAGGAAGCTTGGAGTTGTGGGGTCCAGAACCAGAGGAAATCACTGAATATAAGATCTGGAACCGGAGGGCGTTGGAGGGTGTGAGATCTAAAACAAGAGGGATTAATTTATAGGAAGAGGTCTAGAACCAGAGGAAGTTAGTGAATTCTAGAACCAAAAGAATCTGGTAGTCATAGACTATAGAGCCAGAGGGAGTTAGAGGCCCAGAACCAGACAATTTTTGGGGATCGTAAGGTTTGAAAACAGGCAGAATGAGAGGCTGGTGAGGCCCAGAACTAGAAAGAGCTGAAGACGGTGAAATTCGAAGCAGAGGGATTTGGAGAAAGTGAGTTCTAGCCGGGTGCAGTGGCTCACGCCTGTAATCCCAGCACTTTGGAAGGCTGAGGCAGGTGGAGCACTTGAGGTCAGGAGTTCGAGACCAGACTGGACAACGTGGTGAAACCCCATCTCTACTAAAAATACAAAAATTAGCCGGGCAATGTGGCACATGCCCGTAGTCCCGGCTATTTGGGAAGTTGAGGCAGGAGAATCACTTGAACCCAGGGCGCGGAGGCTGCAGTAAGCTGAAATCGCGCCACTGCACTCCAGCCTGGGTGACAGAGCAAGACTCTGTCAAAAAAAAAAAAGAAGAAGAAGAGGAAGAGGAGCAGGAGGAAGAGGAAGAGGAAGAAGGAAGAAGAAGAAGGTGATCTAAAGCAGACCACATTGGAGGTTGTGTGGTCTAGAACCAGTGCAGGTCAGAGGTTATACAGTCTGGAACTGGAGCAGGTTGGAGGTTGCATAGTTTGGAAGCAGAGGAACTGGGAGGCTGCCCCTGAAGTAGGAGGACCATGAATGAAGTCAGTGTCCAGGCAAAGCTGGGGGCGGCAGGAAGCCCAGAGCGCAAGGGGCAGTCAGAGCTGGCGGGCAGCTTGGGGTCTTTGGCCTCAATCGGAAGTCACTGGGGGTGAGGTCTGGCCCAGAGCCTCTCCGCACTGACACCTGAAGAGGGGGAAGATCAGAGTCCCACATTCTTACAGACCCCAGGCAATTCATCATGATTAAAAACCATATCATGAAATTGACAAAAATAAAAATAATAATACAAGAAGGATAGAAGGAAATGTGATCACGTTGACCCGTGGATCATTGTTCTCCCCAGAACCTGGAAACACAGATATGACCCCCCCAACCCTCCTCACCCCTGATTCCCCAAAATAAAGCCAAGAGAGGCAGAGAAAGGGATAATGAGGTAACCAAGTATTGAGAACCCCAAGAGAAATCCTGAGAGAAGGAGGAGGGGGCCAGGGACCACCTCCCAGAGGTCACTGAGCTGAGACCACCCCAGAGAGCCCCCAGATTGGGAGCAGGCAGAGGGGTGAGGGCTGAGGTAGGCCCGAGGTGGGCAGGGGGTACATAGAGGAGAGAGGGGCCCCTCTCCTGGCGCCCCCATCCTGTGCGTTGGCTGCCGGCGTGGAGTGTGGTTGAGGTCCTTTCTGGGGGAGGAGAAGGCAGATGGGGAGAGGAGCCGGCTCAGTCAGCCTGGGCTGAGCCTGCCCTTGGCTGGAAGGGGCCCCCGGGCTGGGTAGTGTCCTCGTCTGAGTACGGAGAGAGCAGTGAGGGGCCCAGGCCTGCAAAGATGAAAGATAAATGATAAATGAAAGGTAAAAGACGAAAGATAAATCACAGGACAACCATAACCCCAATGTCAGGAATAATGTTTAAAATCTTAAGGAAATTGAACACTCGAACAAAGGATTTTTAGTAATTTTACTTTTGCGCAGAGGGGTGCCTCTTTGGCTAGTTGCCATGAGAGCACACTGGAACAAAGGGGCACAAGAGCCTTTATTTTTGACGCAAGTCTTGTTTTTGTACTTTTTTTTTATTGGCTGGGGTCGGGTTATACAATTTAAACTAATTTCGGTTGGCTAAACATTTGATTTTTTTTTAGATAAGGTGGACACGTAAAAGAAAGCAGAGAGGAAAGGGGAAGGGGTGTCTGTGATGAGTTAGAAAGTTAGTCCTTTTTTTAAATAAGGAAAGGAATGTGAGCTGGTATTGATAACGCCTGGTATTGTGGCGTGTCTGGGCATTTAACAAAGGCAAAAAGGAAAAGAGGAGAAGAAGGGAAAAAGGTGGGGGGTACTATCAATTAAAGAATAAAAGATTGATCGGGTTATTTGAAGAGAAACCTCATCATATCCCACACCAACCCGTCTCCCCTTCCTGGCAGTTAAAAGCCTGGGTGGTGAGGCAAGCCTGTCTGGATTCAAACGGCAGTGACGTCTTGGGCACGTTCTGCTCTCTGAACCTCTCTGGGGTGTTCAGGGCTGCGGTGAAGAACCCGAGTCCAGAGTCAGATGCTGCCCTAGTTTGAATCCAGGCATTGCTATTTACTTGCTGTGTGACCTGGGGCAGGTGGCTTCATCTCTCTGTGCCTCAGTTCCCTCATCTGTAAGACGGGCTAATAACAGCACCTCCCTCTTGATTTACTCCTCTGTTGTGAGGAATAAATGAGTAAATCCATGGAAGGTGTTTTGAACCATAACTAGTACTGGTGAGAAAGCAGTTAAGTCAGCTGTTGTTACTTGGGAAACCAGGATACTCACACATACTTCATTTATGAGAGTTTATTCATTCAAAACATATTTACTGTCGGGCGTGGTGGTTCATACCAGTAATCCCAGCACTTTGGGAGGCCAAGGCAGGTGGATCGCTTGAACTCAGGAGTTCAAGACCAGCCTGGGCAACATGGTGAAACCTCGTCTCTACAAAACATATAAACATCAGCCAGGCATGATGGCACATAGCTGCAGTCCCAGCTACTTGTGGGAGCTGAAGTAGGAGGATCACTTGAGCCCAGGAGGTCGAGGCTGCGGTGAGCTGTGTTTGTGCCACTGCACTCCAGACTGGGTGACAAAGTGAAAACCTATCTCAAAAACAACAAAAAACCCAACATGTTTACTGAGCACCTACTTTGTGTCAGGCACTGTGCCAGGTGCTAGAGACACAGCAGTGACCAGGATGGATGAATCTCCCTGCCCTTATGGGACCGACACTCCAGTGAGAAGCGCCAATTGGATCAGGTGCATAGAGGATTTAGCACAAAGCTAGGCACAGTGCGAGTGCGTGAATCTTAGCTCCTCATTCACAAATATGTGCTGAGAACTTCCTCTGTGCTTAGCCACCGCCCACCCATGTGCACAAAGAAGAGAACAGCAGGGACCCAGACAGCCCTGGCCCCTGCCCTTGAAGGTCTCATACCCAAAGGAGAAGACAGACAGTCATCAAATTATGACACAAAGGCCTGTGTAATTATGGAGTGTTATAAACCATGAGCGTATGAAGTTAGGCAGGGCTTTGTGTAAGGAGTAATATTTGGTTTGAGATCTAAAGGATGTGGTAACATGGCAAAGAACAGAGGGAAAAGTATGCCAGGCAGAAGGATCAGGATATGCAAAGGCCCTGAGGCAGCCTCCTCAAGCAAGGTGACTTCAAAGCCATCACAATGCCCCACAGAGGCTCCATGCAGTCAGCCCTCACCTTTCTCTCCTCTCTGCTTCAGCTACATTGGCCTTGCTTTTCCCCAAAGAAGACAGAGACAGCCAGGCACAATCTCAGCACTTTGGAAGGCTGAGGCAGGAGGATCACTTGAGCCCAGGAGTTTGAGACCAGCCTGAGCAACATAGCAAGACCTCTTTCTCTACAGAAATTAAAAAATTAGCCAGACGTAATGAAGCGCACTTGTAGTCCCAGCTACAAGTGTAGTCCCAGCTACTTGGGAGACTGAGATGGGAGGATCGCTTGAGCCCAGGAGTTCAAGGCTGCAGTGAGCTGTGATCGCACCACTGTGCTCCAGCCTGGGCAACAGAGCAAGACACACCCTGTCCCCCCACACCCCAAAAAAGATAGATACAGTCCCCACCTAAGGGCCTTTGCACTTGCTGTTCTCTCTGCCTGGGACACTCTTCCCCCCGATATCGTCAGGACTCACTCCAGGTCTTTGCTCAGCTATCACCTTCTCAATGAAACCACCCTGATCATACTGTTTAAAACTGAAATCCCCCTACTCCAAACCTTTTTCCTTGCATGCATTATTTCCCCGTTACACTTATTTTCATCTCCCACTCTTTTTTGTTCATTTGTTTATATTTATATTTATATTTTTTGAGACAGAGTCTTGCTGTGTTGCCCAGGCTGCAGTACAATGGCGTGATCTCAGCTCACTGCAACCTCTGCCTCCTGGGCTCAAGTGATTCTCCTGTCTCAGCCTCCCGAGTAGTTGGGATTACAGGCGCCTGCCAGTGTGCCTGGCTAATTTTTGTATTTTTAGTAGAGACAGGGTTTCACCATGTTGGCCAGGCTGGTCTTGAACTCCTCACCTCAGGTGGTCCGCCTGCCTCAGCCTCCCAAAGTGCTAGGATTCCAGGCATGAGCCACTGCACCTGGACTGTTTGTTTAGAGACAGGGGCCTGGTGCGGTGGCTCACGCCTGTAATCCCAGCACTTTGGGAAACTGAGATGAGTGGATCGCTTGAGCTCAGGAGTTCAAGACCAGCCTGGGCAACGTGGTGAAATTCTGTCTCTACTAAACACACACACACACACGCACACAAACACACAAAGTCAAGTGTGCTGGTGCCCACCTGCAGTCCCAGCTACTTGGGAGGCTGAGGTGGGAGGATCGCTTGAGCCCGGGGACACAGAGGCTGCAGTGAGCTGACAGTGCACCACTGCACTCCAGCCTGAGTGACAGAGCGAGACCCTTCTCAAAAAAAAGAGAAAGCCTGTAATCCCAGCACTCTGGGAGGCCGAGGTGGGCGGATCATGAGGTTAGGAGATTGAGACCATCCTGGCTAACATGGTGAAACCCTGTCTCTACTAAAAATACAAAAAATTTGCCAGGCGAGGTGGCGGGCGCCTGTAGTCCCAGTTACTCGGGAGGCTGAGGCCAGAGAATGGCGTGAACCTGGGGGCAGAGCCTGCAGTGAGCCAAGATCGCACGGCTGCACTCCAGCCTGGGTGGCAGAGCGAGACTCTGTCTCAAAAAAAAAAAAAAAAAAAAAAAAAAGAGAGAGAGAGAGAAAGAAAATAAAAATGTGAAAATAAATAAATAGAGACAGGATCTCGCCCTGTCACGCAGGTTGGAGTACAGTGGTGCAGTCACAGCTCACTGCAGCCTCGAACTCCTGGGCTTAAGCAATCCTCCCGTCTCAGCCTCCCAAGTAACTAGGACAACAGGTGCGTGCCACCACACTCACCAGGTTTTTAAAAATTTTTTGTAGAGACGGGGTTTTGCCATGTTTCCCAGGCTGGTCTCGAACCCCTGGTCTCAAGTGATCCTCCCCTCCATAGCCTCCCAAAACACTGTGATTACAGGCAGGAAACACTCACCCTGCCCTCTTGCACTCTTTTTTATTTGAGACAGGGTCTCGCTGTGTTGCCCAGACTGGAATGCAGTGGCACCATCATAGCTCACTGCAGCCTTGAACTCCCAGGCTCAAGTGACCCTCCCACCTCAGCCTCCAGAGTAGCTGGAACTATAGGCATGCACCACCATGCCCAGCCAATTAAAAAAAAATTTTTAGGCTGGGTGCAGTGGCTCACACCTGTAATTCCAGCACATTGAGAGGTCAAGGCAGGCAGATCACCTGAGGTCAGGAGTTCGAGACCAGCCTGGCCAACATGGCGAAACCTCATCTCTACTAAAAATACAAAAATTAGCCAGGTGTGGTGGCACACACCTGTGATCCCAGCTACTTGGGAGGCTGAGGCAGGAGAACCACTTGAACCTGGGAGGCGGAGGTTGCAGTGAGCCGAGATCATGCCACTGCACTCCAGCCTGGGCGACAAGAGTGAGACTTCATCTCAAAAAATAAATAAATAAATAAATAAATAAATAAATAAATGTGATCATAGGCGTGCAGGCTCCAGAGACCTAGGCTCGGGCTTCCACCCCAAAAGGCAGCCTTGGAGAGCCCCTGCCTCCCTTAGGGGCTCTCTCCTCCACAGTGCCCATGAGAAGAGAGAAGAGACAGGAGCTGCCGTTTCCACCAAGGTCACCTCCAAGCACTGACAGTCCCCCAGCACCTTTGGAATGGCTCCATCCCTCTCGCACCTCCCGGGGGAGAAGGTGCTCTGGGGCTCTGGATACCCAGGTTGCTACTCACCCAGGGGCTCATTCAGGTTCAGGAGTGGGGTGCTGGGGTCCTGCAGGCTCCCTGGGGCTGGTCCTCCTGTCAGAAGGAAACTCTGTGGGAGAGAGACAAAGCCACCACCATCATCATCATCATTAGTATCCAAGGAACAGCCGGGAGTGGTGACTGTAATCCCAGCACTTTCGGGGGCTGAGGCCAGAGGATTGGGAGGATCACTTAAGCCCAAACGTTTGAGACCAGCCTGGGCAAGATAGTGAGATCTCATCTCTACAAAAATTTAAAAATTAGCTGGGTGTGATGGCATGTGCCTGTAATCTTAGTTACTTAGGAGGCTGAGGTGAGAGGATCCCTTGAGACCAGGAGGCTGAGGTTGCAGTGAGCTATGATCGTGTCACTGCATTCCAGTCTGGGTGACAGAGATCCTATCTCTAATAAAAATAAAAATAAAAGTAAAATAAAAATAAGGGCAAGTGCAGTGGCTCATGCCTGTAATTCTAGTGCTTTTGGAAGGCCAAGGTAGGAGGATCACCTGAGGTCAGGAGTTTGAGATCAGCCTGGGCAACATAATGAGACCCTATCTCTACAAAAAAATTTAAAAAATGAAATAAGCTGGGCATGGCGGCTCACGCCTGTAATCCCAGCACTTTGGGAGGCTGAGATGGGTGGATCATTCGAGGTCAGGAGTTCGAGACCAGCCTGGCCAACATGGTGAAACTCCATCTCTACTAAAAATACAAAAATTAGCAGGGTGTGGTTGCGCATGTCTGTAATCCCAGCTACTTGGGAGGCGGAGGTAGGAGAATTGCTTCAACCTGGGAGGAGGAGGTTGTAGTGAGCCAAGATCGTGCCACTGCACTCTAGCCTGGTAGACAGAGTGAGACTCCATCTCAAAAAAGAAAGAAAAGAGGCCGGGCGCGGTGGCTCACGCCTGTAATCCCAGCACTTTGGGAGGCCGAGTTGGGCGGATCACGAGGTCAGGAGATTGAGACCATCCTGGATAACACGGTGAAACCCTGTCTCTACTAAAAATACAAAAAAAATAACCAGGCGTGGTGGCAGCTGCCTGTGGTCCCAGCTACTTGGGAGGCTGAGGCAGGAGAATGGCGTGAACCCGGGAGATGGAGTTTGCAGTGAGCCGAGATCGCGCCACTGCACTCCAGCCTGGGCGACAGAGTGAGACTCTGTCTCAAAAAAAAAAAAAAAAAAAAAAGAAAGAAAGAAAAGAAAGGAAAGGAAAAGAAAAGAAAAGAAAAAGAAAGGAAGGAAAAAAATATATATCCAAAGACAAGATGGTGCAGTAGTTAAGGGATGCTGAGGTCCAGTGGCCACCCATTTGTGGTGTGACTTTGGGTCAGTCCCTGTCCAGTCATCCTACTTGTGTTCCTCCAGGGCCTCATCCCCCTTCTCCTTCTTCCTTCGCCCGAGGACCTGTACACAGAGACCGTGACAGCATGCAACTTTGCTCCGTGTGATCCTGTTGGTTAGCTCATGGGAGACACCAGCAGGTAGGGTATTTATTCTTCTCTGTGAGTTGGCGGTGTCCCTCCATGGAAGGTTTCAGCCCTCATTAGCTGGACTCCACTCGCTGCAGGATCCAGTGACCACCCCGCCCTGCACCTTCAGGCCAGGGCTGATGCCCACTTCCCATGCTGTGCCCCAAGGTACTGCACCAGGCTTGCTGATTTCCCTACACTATGTTAACACCTTTTTCAACAGTCCTGTTATTAAATTCTCCTCAACACTCCCTCTGAGTGTGCTGCCTTTCCTGTGCAGACTCTGATACAGTTGTTTAACTTCTTCTGTGTAAGTGTGTATAACAGTAACAAGAACATTTCAATAGTAGTTGTGGGGATTAAATAAGTTAATCATGCAAGGAATTTAGTGCAGTTAGTGTCTGGCACATGGTAGGCACTTAATAAGTGTAAGCTGTTATATATGTATATACACATATATACATATATATACACACATATATACATATATATATATAGAGAGAGGTTGTTTTTTTTTTTTTTCTGAGAGGGAGTTTCACCCTGTCCTCCAGGCAGGAGTGCAATGGCGCGATCTCGGCTCACTGCAACCTCTGCCTCCAGAGTTCAAGCAATTCTTGTGCCTTAGCCTTCCGAGTAGCTGGCACTATAGGTGTGCACCTACACCCGGCTAACGTTTGTATTTTTAGTAGAGACAGGGTTTCACCATGTTGGCCAGGCTGGACTTGAACTCCAGACTTCAAGTGATTATCCCGCCTCATCCTCCCAAAGTGCTGGGATTACAGGCGTGAGGCATTATGTCTGGCCTGTAAACTGTTATATTATCAACCACATCTCATATTCAAACAACCCTTTGCAGAGTGAAGAACCAGGGCACTGCTGTAAGCACTAGAGGGCCATGAAAGGTCCTAGAGGGAGGCCTTGCAGAAGTGACATAGTCCAGGCTGGCTTTTTTATTTTTATTTTTTTGAGACAGCGTCTTGTGCTGTCATCTAGGCCGGAGTGCAGTGGCACGATCATGGCTCACTACAGCCTTGACCTCCCAGGCTCGGGTGATGCTTTCACCGCAGCCTCCTAAGTAGCTGGGACTACAGGCACATGCCACCACACCCGCTTAAATTTTAATTTTTTTTTTTTTGTACAGACAGCATCTTACTATGTTGCCCAGGCTGGTCTCGAACTCCTGACCTCAGGTGATCCACCCACCTCGGCCTCCCAAAGTGCTAGGAATATAGGCGTGAGCCACAGCGCCCGGCCCTTTGGTTTGTTTTTGTACACCATTTATGGTCAGCCCACTGAGTGTCAGCTAAGGGCCTAATTTCCTTTAATCCTCATGGCAGTCCCGTGAGATGTAACTATTCCCACTTTCTGGATGAGGCAACTGAGGCTCCACGTGGTGACGTAACCTGCCCAAGGTCAGGTGGCAGTTACTGGGTGGCAGACCTGGGACTTGAACCCAGGTCAGTCTGATTCTAGTGTCTGCACTTTGAACTCTGCACTAGTAATCCAAGGCCAAGACCTGTTCTAGTTTGGGGAGGGGGTCCCATGGGAGCAGAGAAGATCCCTGCAGATACCAGCCACATGCCATTTCTCCCCTTAGCCTGCTTAATTTTTCCTTCTTTGCACTTATTGCCTTTTTTTTTTTTTTTTTTTGAGACGGAGTTTCACTCTTGTTGCCTAGACTGGACTGCAGTGGCACGATCTCAGCTCACTGCAATCTTCTGT